>NC_000003.12:109160119-109463149 GCF_000001405.40 Homo sapiens
ACCAAATCACTAACAACTGTTTAGAAATAATAAGAAATACATAACAAGAAATGTTGAATGATTTTACATGGAGAAGTAACTTGATTAGCTTTGCAGTTTAAATACTCTATATCGCTGGTGTCATTGTCAAAGAAGATTGCTTGGAGGGAGGCCAAGTGGGAGGCTGGGAAGCAAGTTTTTTTTTCTATCTTCCAAGGTTTTAGCTGGTTAATCCGATGAACTAATGAGTGCCAAATCATTTATAGAAAATTGCTAATAGAAAATCCATCTCTTTATCTAGGTAATGTGTATTATAGTAGTTGACACTGGAGATAATATTCTTTCCTCTAGCAAGTGGGGAAGACTTTTGGCAACATACCAAGCAGCCTTCTTAAGAGTTTTTTTTTTTTTTTTTCACTCTTGAAGCACAAGTTACATAAAGTCCACTGCTATAATAATTTCTTTTCTTTTTTTTTTTTTTTTTTTTTTTTTTTTTTTTTTTTTTGAGACGGAGTCTTGCTCTTTTGCCCAGGCTGGTGTGCAGCAGCACGATCTCGGCCCACTGCAAGCTCCGCCTCCTGGTTTCACACCATTCTCCTGCCTCAGCCTCCCGGGTAGCTGGGACTGCAGGTGCCCGCCACCACGCCTGGCTAATTTTTTGTGTTTTTTTAGTAGAGATGGGGTTTCACTGTGTTAGCCAGGATGGTCTCCAACTCCTGATCTTGTGATCCGCCCGCCTCAGCCTCCCAAAGTGCTGGGATTACAGGCGTGAGACACCAAGCCTGGCCGAATAATTTCTTTAGAAACCAAAAGATTCAGTTGTATATGTTCCAGTCTGGCAGTGTCATACAAAGTTACATTTGGAAAGATATTCAAGCAGTCTTTTTCTCTCTTGCTCTAATTTTACAACGGTATAAACAAAACTAAACATTGCTACATGATGACGGCTTATACTTAAGCAGTAAGAAAGTAAAAGACGCCATCAAACTTTCAAGTGTGGGTGACGTGAGTAATGAGGGTTTTGAAAAGAGAGATGGCAGCAGGAAAATCTGATAGACTCTCAAAGTCTAGAGATGACGTGTTTGGTTTTAAGCACTTGATTTCATGTTCTATCCTCCCTTCATCCCATTTCCTATTCAGAAAACATTATGCACAAACACAGACATTGTATTTGGGAAGTTATGGACTTACTTCCTAACTGAAGATTTTCATGTGAAAAAGACTTTAGTTAATAACATATCTGCATTGGTTCATTAATTGTTACCAATGTATTACACTAATGCAAAATGTTAATAGGAGAAGCTATGTTTGTAGGAATAATGTCATGTGAGAACTCTGCTCAATTTTTCTGTAAATTTAAAACTTATAAAAGTAAAGTCTTATTTTTTTTAATGACAGAGAGAAAGTAACACTTTGACATTACATAACTATAGCAGTGCCAGCACCGCTTGCCTACCAGAATGTTTTACTCAGAGATAGCATGATCATGCACTTGATTTGCCCAGGATGATCCAGTTTATGTCTGTTGTCCAGGTGTAATTATTAACTGAGCCTCCCTTTGTTCTCAGAAGTTTTCCATTCCCAATGATAAATTGCATGGTCACTGTACATAGAGGGGAAAAGAGAAGTAAAATCTTTTTAACGTATGTCTTTGACTGTGCCCCTTTTTTTTAAGAGTCTCATCTAAGCCTCATAATGTTCCTATGAGGACAACTTTGTCTTCTTCAATTTCCAAATGGGAAAACTGAAGCTCAGAGAGGATAGTCATTTACCTGAGACCATACAATTCATCACTGGCAGAACCACCAGTTAAACCTTGATCTCTATGACTCCAAAGCTCATGCTCTATTTACTGTAGTATTTCAATTCTGGAAAAAAGCCAGGTGATCTTTGGATATCTTTCAAGATGCTGTAATTTTTGAAGGAATTCTATAGCAGCTATACTAAGAAGCTCATATACATGGTACAAGGTAGTAGAAAGTAGAGATTATATATAAAGAGTTTTATTTACAAAACTCTGAGCACTTTGGGAGGCCAAGGTGGGCGGATCATGGGGTCAGGAGATCGAGACCATCCTGGCTAACGTGGTAAAACCCCTTCTCTACTAAAATACAAAAAAAATTAGCCAGGCGTGGTGGCAGTTGCCTGTAGTTCCAGCTACTCTGGAGGCTGAGGCAGGAGAATGGCGTGAACCCGGGAGATGGAGTTTGCAGTAAGCCGAGACCGCACCACTGCACTCCAGCCTGTGCCACAGAGCGAGAATCCGTCTCAAAAAACAAAACAACAAAAAAAGAACCTCTGATAAATTTTTCTTCAATAAATTATGATGATGTCACAGTTAATGTCTGTTCTATCCCTGGATAATCTGATAATAATGATGGCTGTAATCCATTATCTCCCATAAGTACAGTGATAGGTAGCCCTCAGATCTGCTGGCTGATCTCAGCATATCAGAGAAAAGCTATTAATTTGTGCCACTACATCTGTGCAGAGAGGAGGGAGTCTTTGGGGAAGCAGCAAATCCTGCAGGCTGTGGCAGCAGCTCACATTTCTGGCTGACTGGAAACACCAACCAATCTTTTTTTTTTTTTGAGATGGAGTCACGCTCTGTTGCCCAGGCTGGAGTGCAGTGGCGCAATCTCGGCTCACTGCAAGCTCCGCCTCCCAGGTTAACACCAACCAACCTTTTACTTTTCTTCCCCCAACACTTTTGGACTCATTTCAAAGACTGCAATATCCTGGCCAGATCTTCCATACACATTTTTCTCTTTCACTCCGAAATTCTCACAATGCATCCACCATCCCTACCATTTGCCATCATTCCAAAACAGTGAGGCCTGCCTTGGGATGGGATCATTTCAGTTGTGGCAGAAGAACAGTAGTAGCAGCTGGATTAGAAGTTGTTTCATAAAGGACCTCTTCAAAAGATGATCAAACTTTTCTGTCTCAATGGAACTTTAAAAAGTAGGTAATGGGCCGGGCGCAGTGGCTCATGCCTGTAATCCCAGCACTTTGGGAGGCCCAGTTGGGTGTATGGCTTGTCCTCAGGAGTTCAAGACCAGCCTGGGCAACATAGTGAAACCCTGTCTCTACAAAAAATACAAAAATTAGCTGGCATGGTGGCTCACCCCTGTAGTTCCAGCTACTTGGGGTACTGAGCGGGGAGGTTTGCTTGAGCCCAGGAGGCAAAAGTTGCAGTGAGCTGAGATCATGCCACTGCACTTCAGCCTGGGCAACACAGACCCCATCTCAAAAAAAAAAAGTTCATTACAAACTTTATTCTTTGTGTGGTGCTTTATATGCATCATCTCTATCATCAGACACACCTGGATTGAGCCTCAGCTTCACCACTGAGTTCTGCCAATAATACCTCTGTGTTCTATAGTTCTTTGTTCCTCTCTGTTCCACAGTTTCCTTATGTAGAAAATGGAGGCAATAAAAATACCTATCTCATAGGGTTGTGGTGGGCTGGAATGACATAAGGCATGTAAAAGACAGTCTGACAAGGTCAGTTCTGTGAGGACAGGGGAGATTGATTTCACGCCTAAATATGTAGCTTATTAAAGTATGGTCTGAAACCTGAGAAAAACAAGCAATGGGGAAAGAATTCCCTATTTAGTAAATGGTGCTGGGAAAACTGGCTAGCCATATGTAGAAAGCTGAAACTGGATCCCTTCCTTACACTTTATACAAAAGTTAATTCAAGATGGATTGAAGACTTAAACATTAGACCTAAAACCATAAAAACCCTAGAAGAAAACCTAGGCATTACCATTCAGGACATAGGTGTGGGCAAGGACTTCATGTCTAAAACACCAAAAGCAATGGCAGCAAAAGCCAAAATTGACAAATAGGGATCTAATTAAACTAAAGAGCTTCTGCACAGCAAAAGAAACTACCATCAGAGTGAACAGGCAACCTACAAAATGGGAGAAAATTTTCGCAACCTACTCATCTGACAAAGGGCTAATATCCAGAATCTACAATGAACTCAAACAAATTTACAAAAAAAACACAAACAACCCCATCAAAAAGTGGGCAAAGGACATGAACAGACACTTCTCAAAAGAAGACATTTATGCAGCCAAAAAACACATGAAAAAATGCTCACCATCACTGGCCATCAGAGAAATGCAAATCAAAACCACAATGAGATACCATCTCACACCAGTTAGAATGGCAATCATTAAAAAGTCAGGAAACAACAGGTGCTGGAGAGGATGTGGAGAAATAGGAACACTTTTACACTGTTGGTGGGACTGTAAACTAGTTCAACCATTGTGGAAGTCAGTGTGGCGATTCCTCAGGGATCTAGAACTAGAAATACCATTTGACCCAGCCATCCCATTACTGGGTATATACCCAAAGGACTATAAATCATGCTGCTATAAAGGCACATGCTCACGTATGTTTATTGCAGCACTATTCACAATAGCAAAGACTTGGAACCAACCCAAATGTCCAACAATGATAGACTGGATTAAGAAAATGTGGCACATATACACCATGGAATACTATGCAGCCATAAAAAATGATGAGTTCATGTCCTTTGTAGGGACATGGATGAAATTGGAAATCATCATTCTCAGTAAACTATCACAAGGACAAAAAACCAAACACCACATGTTCTCACTCATAGGTGGGAATTGAACAATGAGAACACATGGACACAGGAAGGGGAACATCACACTCTGGGGACTGTTGTGGGGTGGGGGGACGGGGGAGGGATAGCATTAGGAGATATACCTAATGCTAAATGACGAGTTAATGGGTGCAGCACACCAGCATGGCACATGTATACATATGTAACTAACCTGCACATTGTGCACAAGTACCCTAAAACTTAAAGTATAATAATAATAAAATAAAATAAAAATAAAAAATAATAACAAAATAAATGGGAAGGGATCCTGGACAGTCTTTCTTTTCTTTTCCTATCTTTTCTCTTACTCTTTTTTCATATTAAAAAAATTTTAATAGTCTTTATTTTCTCTAGTTTATCCAAATAAAAAAATAATCCTTTAGAAGAAATAAATAAATACATAAATAAATAAATAAAGTATGGTCTGGAGGCTCCTGGAGACCCACAAGATGCTGAAAGGGGTTCCGTCAGGTCAAAACTATTTTGGTAAAAATACCAAGATGTTATTTGCCTTTTTCACTCTTTCTCATGAGTGTAGAGTTTTCCAAAAACTACTTGCAACAGATACATGCAGAAGCACATAAGGGAATCCAGGGGCTTTCTATTAAAGTAGACCGTAAAGAGATTTGCCAGATTGTAAAACTATGTCATAATTCTATTTTCTTTTGTTTTGGAAAATATATTTCTGATACATGAAAAATGTTAATTATATTAACATGTAATGGTTTTATATTATCATTGAATGAATTAATAAATACTTTTTAAAAATAACCGGTTTTGGCTTGGTGTGGTGGTTCATGCCTCAGCACTTTGGGAGGCCGAGGCAGGCGATCATTTGAGGTCAGGAGTTCGAGACCACCCTGGTTAACATGGTGAAACCCCCTCTTTACTAAAAATACAAAAATTAGCCAGGCATGGTGGCATGAACCTGTGGTCCCAGCTACTCAGGAGCCTGAGGCAGGAGAATCGCTTGAACCTGGGAGGTGGAAGTTGCAGCAAGCCAGGATCATACCACTGCACTCCAGCCTGGGCAACAAAGTGAGACTCAGTCTCAAAAAAAAAAAGTCGTTTTCAATTTCTAATACAATACATATCAGTGGCTGTAACCCCCATAATCATGCTGGAGCCCGGCATGCTGGCAAGTGCCTGTAATCCCAGCCACTCAGGAGGCTGAGGTGAGAGAATCAGTTGATCCCAAGAGTTTAAGGTTGTAGTGAGCTATAATCAAGCCACTGCACTCCAGCCTGAGCTACAGAGCAAGACCCTGTCACTTAAACCAATCAGTCAATCAATCAAAACTCACTGACTCCTTAAATAATGTCTAAGAATGTAGAGGCTTCTCACGACCAAGAAACATAAGTACCACTAATCAAGCACAAGCCTGACACACAGTAAGCGTTATTAGTAAACCATATAGTAAACATGATTGAATGACAAGCATAGGGCCTGGCTTAGGATAACTGCTCGATAAATGACATTGCTATTGCTGCTGGTGTGGTGATGTGCGGATGGTAGTAATGAAAATCACAGTAGGAAGTATGCTCATAGCCTTCTACAAGACTGGAGTAAATAACGGTGATTTTCAGATACAAATCTTACCTTGCTTTAGGCTGCAGATGTAAGTTAGACTTTAATGTAACAAAATTATGTTAAGTGTTTCGACTCTCTTCCTCTTGGCTTACTCCTTTTCTAATGGAGATGCTCGTTCTCTTCTTACCTAAAGCATTGTAAATTGAGTTTGGGTCTGAAAAATTCAAAAGTGTTATGTGTGGTTTCAGACTGAAGGAGTTGGAAGTCAGAAACTTTGGATTTTACAAATTAAGGAACCAGAACATGTACTAAGGATTTGCTGTGAAAATTGGATGTGAGAACATTCCTCCAAACTTCTCATTGGATGGGGTGGTAGACTTCGCATCTCCCCAACCCTTCTCTCAATTTCTCCATCCTCCTGTATGTCTAGTCTAGCTACTGGAGGAACATAGATCACTTTATTTGGATATGCTGGTAAATTGGCTGTCCAGAAAGAAAAAAAAATCTTCAGTTTGTGGTATTTGCTGATTTCCATGGAGTAAATGCTGCTACCATGGGCAGTTTCAATTACTAATGTAATATTACTGAACTCCAAGTTGGGACGAGAAGAACATACTGTAATTGGCTCTCACAAGCTGATTTAAGCAGTTTCCCAGCACATCTGTTTCTGGCCCTCTATTTTGGTAGCGCAAAGTTGAAATATCTGACTTGCTCTCCTACATCTTTAATAGCTGGCCCATCCTCTCCTCTATTTTGTTGTCTAATACTCCCAGCTAGTCAATATCCCCAGGTCCCAGGATTATTTCCTGCTACTTCTGCCTTCATGCTTTAGCTAACAGTGTCACCTCTGGGTACTAATGTGCTCTACTACATCCTTCTGCCTACTCATTTGCTATCCAATTCTTTGTGGAAAAACTAAAGTGCTTCTTCCTCCCTATCTTTTCTGAACACACGAAGCTATCACTCATATATCTCCTGTAAAATGATAGGACATATTGAGGAATAATATCTAATCTCAGAAATGGTAACTTTATTATTACCCAAAACGTGTTAGTATGGTGTTGTTGGTGTTATTGAAATAGCTTAGGACTACATAGAGAGCACTGCATCGCTAATCCTGCCATTAGTGTACTAAGTTGTCATAAGAAAATCACCTAAGGCTGGGTGCGGTAGCTCACACCTATAATTCCAGCACTTTGGGAGGCTGAAATGGGCTTATCTTTTAAGCCTTGGAATTCAAGATGAGCCTGGGCAACATGACAAAACCTCGTTTGTCTCTACAAAAATTAGCCAGGTGTGGTGGTATGCACCTGTAGTCCCAGCTACTCGGGAAGCTCAGGTAGGAGGATCACTTGAGCCCAGGAGGTCAAGGCTGCAGTGAGCTGTGATGGTGGCACTGCACTCCAGCCTGGGCAACAGAGCAAGACTCCGTCTCAAAAAAAAAAAAAAAAAACACACAGAGAGAGAGGGAGAGAGGGAGAGAGGGAGGGAGGAAAGGAGGGAGGGAGGGAAGGAGGGAGGGAGGGAGAGAGGGAGGGATGGAGGGAGGAAGGAAGGAGGGAGGGATGAAGGAAGGAAGGAAGGAAGGAAGGAAGGAAGGACAGACCTAGACATTCTGAGCCTTGGTTTCCTCATTTGTAAAATGAAGGTAAAGGAATACATGATTTCAAAGAATATTGTCCATTTCCATTTATTAGATTCCATTATTCTGTTAAAAAAAGTAATTTTTATAAACAAAAATCTCAGGACCTACTCCTATTCTTAAAATTCAATGTCACTTTTATTTTGAAACAAGTCAGCTTCACCATGTTTTAGCTTATTATTACCCTTTTCTAATATTTCATATTTAAAGTAATCCTGTTCCCCATCAGCTTTCATCTCAGTTTCTCTATAAGATCAATTTTATACCTTTCCGACAGATAAAACAACATATAAGTGCTTTTGATGAGTGGTTCAAATGAAAATTAAAACAAAACTTTTTAACTAACTTTAAAAAAAAGATCATGTCAAAGAATTAAAAGCACACAAAAAGCTACCTAGGCAGAAAACTCCTTAGAGGGAAAGTTTGAGATTCTTGAATATTTTTAAGTTCCTTCTGGTGAAGTATTTTCTGTATGGCCATATCTTTAGGGTCTAAAAGAAGCCGTTAGAAAAAAACTGATTTGAGGCTGGGCTCAGTGGCTCATACCTGTAATCCCAGAACTTTGGGAGGCTGAGGTGGGCAGATCACCTGAGGTCAGGAGTTCGGGACCAGCCTGGCCAACATGGTGAAACCCCATCTCTACTAAAAATACAAAAATTATCCAAGCGTCATGGAGCACACCTGTAATCCCAGCTATTCAGGAGGCTGAGGCAGGATAATCGCTTGAACCCGGGAGGAAGAGGTTGCAGTGAGCTGAGATTGCACCACTGCACTCCAGCCTAGGTGACAGGGCAAGACCTCATCTCAAAAAAAAAAAAGAAAAAGAAAAAAGGAAAAGGAAAAAGAAAAAGAAAAAAACTGATTTGAGATAAAATTTTGTTCGCATGCAGCTTCATGGGAACTAGAAAATATATGGTGAGATCAAGTTTTATATTTACTGAGAAAGCCAAACTATATTCTTGAATAAAATGCAACTAACTCATAATTCTTTCCACAATCCTTTCCTTTATATCTTTCTAGAGATTCCAAAGTTTTTTGTTTTTTTTTTCTTTTTTTGCAGAGACAAGGTCTTGCTGTGTTGGCCAGGCTGGTCTCAAACTCCTGGGCTCAAGCAATCTGCCTGCTTCAGTCTCCCAAAATGTTGGAATTACAGGCATGAGTCACTGCGCCCAGCCCCAAAGTTTTCTTTTTTATCCCTAAGTTGAGTTCCAACCTTTTCAGAATCTTACGCATATTTTCTCTTTGCCCACATTAACTCAGTGTGTGATGGGGTAATTGCAAGGCAAGGAGCTGTGTGTAATCCCTTTCGCGTGGTTTGACTTGGCATTTTAAAATTTACAGTTTCACCAGTGGGAACAAGCAGAATGGCTCAAGCTGATATGAAGTGAAAATTTTCAGCTGTTTTCTCAGCATGCTAGGTAGTAAAATCAAGGAAATGCAGGTTGTAAGTGAATATAGAGGTCATCTATTTTCTTGCAACTTACAGTGTAGTTGAGGACCAGCAGCATCAGCTAGTTTGAAATGAGCTCAGGCCTCATCTCAAACCTGCTGAATCAGACTGTATTTTAACACGATCTCCCAAGTGATTTGCTTACCTGCAATACACCATCTCCAACTAAGTGGTAATGCAGCCTACACTTGAGTGTGTTCAGTCACAGCAATGCCCTACTTCAAAATGCAACTCATTCCAATTCCTTCTTCCTCCAAAATATCTAACTACTACTTAAGATTCATTTGGAAACATTGCCTTAATAACTTCTCTTGCTCAAATGGATCATTCAATGTCCAAAGTTATTAGTCCCAAACTTGTACCCAAGTGCAGTCTGAACCTCTCCATCCTTATTTTTCAATCTTGCTTCTGTGGTGCCTGTACGCCAACAAAATTGCTCTACCTGTGTTTCATAACAACTCTAGCAGTCACTTCTGCCAGTAACTTGGTCCACAACATTCTTCCTCTCTGGAACTCTCTTTTGTTCTCTCTCTACTCGTATAGATTCTATCCACCCATAAAACCCTCACCTCTTGTGATTTTCCAGTCACTGTAACAGGCTTTCCCTGTTTTCATTGGTTTCATCATTATATAGGCATGGTAAGGCCAACATAGCAAGAGATGATTGCCATTTGAAAAGGTTGTTTGTACATTGTAATTCCCAAGACGGGGAGGCATGCTATGCTGTGGGACTATGTATGGAGAAGCACCAGGGTCAGTTAGGAGGCAGAGTGTGAGGGGAACCCAAAGGCAAGAGCCTTTAATGTGGTTTTCATGAGGTGGAATGGGGAAGGAGTAAGCAGGCTTAGGATTGGCTAGCATGAATGATTTTAGCTGGCTCTGGGGCATAGAGGCTGTGCCTAGTTGTCTGATACCTGGCCCTGGGATAATAAGGGCATGTGGAGAGCGGCCTGGAGTATGAGATGCCAATAAGAGAGGTAGCTGGAAGTATGAGCTCTGGATTAGTTGGTTTGCATTTGAAAGCCATGCTCAGGCCAAGTTATTTACTATCTCCAGTATTTACTCTCTCTAGGAATTCGCTAGCCCTGAGAGGGGAGTCCCTCTGGGGTTAGCAAGGCTCCAGCTATCAAAGCATCAGAACTTGGAAAATAAAAGACATGGTTAATGAATCTCAGGAGTACTTTTGTCTTAGTCTGTAGAAGCAACATTTGTCTTTGTACTTTCCATAGGAGGCAAGGAGAGGAAAATGTGATAATTCAATCATCCTGCAGATGGACTTCCAGCTTCCACTCTCAGCGATAACAGTGCACAAGGGCATCTTGGGCATGAAGGAAGATTAATGGGAGAAGCCAAAGCAACGGTAAGAAAGTTCTTCTTCAAGCATTTCTCCCCTGACATACACCCAAATCTCTCTTGTTCTCCTATAGTAGAGCTAGAGATGCTCTCTAGATATTGTACCCAGGCTTTAATTCATCAACCAAAATGTTCACTGATGACAAAACTGGTAGTCTCCTGCTGGACAGTCACATAGATGGCTCTGATTTCAGCAAACAGGGCATCTCCTCTAGGGTTTCGACTGCCTTGCCAAATTCCTGATTTCTCAGGGAGAAAAGGCAAAGTGTCTTAGCAGCCTGATGCATGTCTTCGAAAAAGCTTAACAAGTATTCCCGGTTTGTGGTGGAGCATGGGTATGTGTGCACACATACATAGGTACGGACACACACACACACAGAGTCATGCACACACAGGCATACACACTCAGAACAGCAGATGACAGATACTCTGACTTATATCC
The DNA here is from genome assembly GCF_000001405.40 of Homo sapiens. Taxonomy (NCBI): domain Eukaryota; kingdom Metazoa; phylum Chordata; class Mammalia; order Primates; family Hominidae; genus Homo; species Homo sapiens. The sequence goes on from NC_000003.12 coordinate 109,171,158, forward strand.
CAGTCAAGACATGCCTGAGCCAAATGGAACTGTTCCTTCTTTTCCTTTCAGTCCAACTAAAGTCCCACATTACTACACAAGGTACCCAGCTGATGGCAATGTGATTAATGCAGGCCAACTGCTGCAGATCTGCAGTCAGGAAAATCCATTTTGTCTCCCCATTTAAGTTCTGGGAGCACTCTTGGAGAGAACACTTGTGAGATCTTTTTAGCCAGCTGGATGTAGGACATTGTAATATTAGGGAATGTGATAAAGATTTGCTTACGTCCTTGTTCACCTAAGGATGATAGACAAAATCTTAGACAACTGAAAAAGGACAAAGGCATGAATTATTCAAAACAGCAAATAATCTGGAATCAATTCTTATAATGCAAAATTACTGTTCAAAAGTGACTTCTTGTTTCTGTGATCCTTAACTGCCCATTCACATGCACTAATGAGCTGCCAGGAAGGTAGCTGAAAGCTCTTTGTTTCTGGAAGGGCTTGCTCACTGTAGGTGATAGAGCAGGGCATCAGTCATTTCTCTGAGAGATTCCCAGGTGTCACTATCCAGAAGTCTTTTCTCTTGGCTTGGCAGATTCTCAAATGTCCCACATCGGGAGGCGAGGGATAGGTATAGACCTAGTTGATACCATTCTGGGATACAAGTGGGAAGGAGGAGCTGAAGAGTCGCACCATTCAATATGTACTGGTTTTGCTGTTCACTGTTTTTGAGGATTTCCTTTTCCCACTCCAATCAATCATCATCTGGTCCCCGACTCCAGCTCTTTTTTTTTTTTTTTTTTTTTTTTTTTTTTTTTTTTTTTTTTTTTTTTTGAGACAGAATCTTGCTCTGTCACCAGGCTGGAGTGCAGTGGCGCAATCTTGGCTCACTGCAACCTCCGGTTCTCGAGTTCAAGTGATTCTCCTGCCTTAGCCTCCCGAGTACCTGCGACTACAGGCGCCTGCCACCATGCCCAGCTAATTTTTGTGTTTTTAGTAGAGACAGGGTTTCACCATGTTGGCCAGGATGGTCTCAATCTCTTGACCTTGTGATCCACCTGCCTTGGCCTCCCAAAGTGCTGGGATTACAGCCATGAGCCACCTCACCCGGCCCACTCCAGCTCTTTTAACAGTGAGATGGGTAGGCTGCCTGACTGCATGGGTTAGGGGAGGGCATCCACAGTTTTAACTATTTCTTGAGCAGAACTTCAGTCAATCCCATTTCCAGTCATACATGCACACATGCCTCCAGATGTATCTAGTGTTCCTTGTCTGTGGGAGTTTGGCGGTAAGAATCAGCTTACTTCTTATTTTTCCCCCATTACAAGCACTGATGTTTCAATTTTTTCTGATTGATTAAGGTGATTACCACTGACGCATCTGCTTACCCAGTTGTTAAGTTTTGTTGCTTCCCTTGAATGCTGTCATTACTTATCTAGGTTCTTAGACTCTTATACCCTCTTTGGGAGGGGTGGGAGAAGAACCTGTTAAAGAAGGATGAGTTAGTCACACTTCTCCAATCATGACATATCAACAGGGAAGGGCCACCTCTTGTTTATTTGTTTATATGTCGATTTATCTTTTATCTTTTTTCCACTCCCAACCCTTTTCTTCTCCAAAGACAATGTTTAATGTGCATGGTTTTGTTTGAGTTCTTAAAAATGTGTATTTTTTGTTTTGTGTATATAAATGTAAACATACACATGGTATGGTGTTCAAATTCTTATTCAATTTCTTAGTCTTTTTCATTCAGCATTATGTTTTTACGATACAATCACATTACACTGTCTACCTCTAATGACTTATATCTTTCCTTATTCCTTTACTGGTATTTCCTTTAATTATGGTTTGATTGATTGGAGTTTTGTATTATTTTTTTTCTCAAAACATACCTATAATTTAGCTCTATCATTTTAGTTTTTTCTAAAATAGAGCAAGAATTCAAAGATATTCTTCAGCAATTTGAGTGCAAAATTCTCCCCAAATTTTGGTGATTTTACCCCAATCTTTTATAGCTACCTCACTCACATCGAATCTAACACTTGCATATTCCTCTCCTGAGGGCTCATAATTTTTATTAGAAAGAATAATTGTCTTTCAAACATATTTTAATAAGTGTCGGCAAAATATAATTAAATTAGATCACTGTAATAACAGGTACAACTAGCCTAATCCCGTTTGAGGGTAAACACAACAGAATCTTGGTAAACATACCGCTCAGTTGGAGGAAGAAGTATGGCAGCATATTAGACAGCAGCGAGTATTCAGCAGGCCATGGGCATCATTTGGAAAATCTTACATGTGAATGTGAACATTGGTTAATCCAGAGAGTCATTCCACAGAACTTCTACTATAGGTTTTGTTTGCTTGCTTGTTTCTGAAAACACCCTATCATTCTCATTCTCTTTTGTTTGATTTATTTAGATTTAATTGTGCTTAAATAAGAGTAGCTCCACCACAGGCCAGAATGGAAAAGAGTTGAAAGTAAGTCTCTGAGAAGCTGGCAGGAAGATACTGGTACTGTTTTTGCCAAATGTTTTTATCCTAAATATGCGGTATCAAGGTTCTAGCAAATCAAATCTCCTCACACTTTTACACTGTTGGTGGGAATGTAAATTAGTTCAACCATTGTGGAAGACAGTGTGGTGATTCCTCAAAGATCTAGAAACAGAAATAACATTTGACCCAGCAATCCCATTACTGAATATATACCCAAAGGAATATAAATCCTTCTATTATAAAGACACATGCATGTGTCTGTTCATTGCAGCGCTATTCACAATAGCAAAGACATGGAATCAACCCAATTGCCCATTAATGATAGAACTGGATAAAGAAAATGTGGCACATAGTATACCATGGAATACTATGCAGCCATAAAAAGGTACAAGGTCGTGTCCTTTGCAGGGACATGGATGGAGCTGGAAGCCATTATCCTCAGCGAACTAATGCATGAACAGAAAACCAAACACCACATGTTCTCACTTATAAATGGGAGCTGAATGAAGAGAACTTACGGACACATGGTGAGGAACAACACACACTGGGGCCTGTCGGGTGGAGATGGAGAGGGAGAGCATCAGGAAGAACAGCTAATGGGTGCTGGGCTTAATACATAGGTGATGGGTTGATCTGTGCAGCAAATCACCATGACACACGTTTATCTATGTAACAAACCAGCACATCCCACACAGGTACCCTAGAAGTTAAAATATATGTTGACAAATTTAAAACAGGAAAAAAAAGTTTTACACTATTCCATTGTATGGATACTTGACAATTGATTAAAACAGTATTCTATTTTAAAAAATCAAATCTCCTCTTTCACCTAAGATTTAAAATAGGTTGATGGTTGAAGAATAGCTACAGAGATGTCTGAACCAAAAATCAAATAGTACAAAGCTTTGGGTTGTTTACAGTCATCAACCACTTAGGCAGGTTCATTTTCCCAGTCTGCATTCTCAGCAGCAGTTCCGGTACGATCTCAGGTGAATCCTTGTATTCTTCCGGGAAACTTGTCCTTAAATGCTACAAAGAACCTTTCATCCAAGAAACATAAAACACTCTGTAGACATTATCTCATTCTCCCTTCAGAACGTCTGTGGAAAGAATCAGTAAATAATAAACTGATGCTGTACAAGAAAAGAAACTGAGGCTTAGAGAGGAAATTGGCTAATTAAAGACTATTCCACAGGTGTTAACTAACAGACAGGAGTCAAGTGCCACTTTTTGTGGAAACCCCTTTTCCCATTCTACTTACAAAAAAGGAAAGGGAAGTGAATACATAAATAAATTTAAGCATATTTTGACATTAGTTTCATAATTCATTTAATCTAGTTTAATCTAGTACCAATAAAATACTAGTATCAATCAAAAAGAGGAGTTTGAATTAATGCTGAAGCTGCTTTTTCCTTCTAAGTTAAAAGTAGATATTACTTTGTTGTTGTTTTTAATTGATACTTGGAAAACAGAAATGGAATGAGAAGCTCAAATTAATTAAAAAAACCAATAGCACATAGTAAAATTTTTGTTGTATTTCTGGCACCCTAGATTTTTTACTGGCATATGAAACCTTTATCTGCCAATGATGAGCTAGAAGACAACCAGCTGAAAATGGCACAGAAATTTATATTTCAAAGGAAAAGAAAATATAAACTAAAAATAATCATTCTCCCATTTCTAACAAATTATTATTGAAATTTACATTTACATCAGGGCTGGAAGAAAATCTGTTTGCATCGAATAGGAGGCAAATATTTATACTTTTGGTTTACTCTAAACCAAATCAAGATCAAGTTAATCAGAAATCAAATTGAATTTTATGTGTGGTGGGGGCCTCAGTTTGTGTCTGAGCTGTGTTCATCTTAAGATTCACTCATTTCTTGGCATAGCTGCAGAACTGGTGGCCCAAGGCTCCCAGGAGTCTATTTATAGACAAGCCTGTGGAGCTGTATTCTGGGAGGAGGGCCCTCCTTATCCTAAAGGAAAATTCCTAAAGGAAGACTCATATGAAGTGCTCCCAATTGTCTAGAATAATGGGAATAATGAGACAGATGTGAGAGGACGGACTCTTTCTCTGGTGCAGGGTCAGGCACTAAGACCAGAGGTGGCACAAGGCCACGAAGTCTGAAGGCAGAACTGCTGTCTGACACGGAAGTGACAAGTCATCAAGAAAGTGCACTCACTTCTCTGTGCTCTTGGTGCCCATCATGATGAAAAATTCAAGATTTTAATACAGGTGCAAAGCCAATGGAACTCATTTATAATTTACAATTACATGGTTCATATTATGCATTGTCACATTTCCAATAGAGGCATTTTGTTTGCCCTCTAGGACAAGGGTACACAAGCTCTTTTTCTTTTTTTTTTTTAATTATACTTTAAGTTTTAGGGTACATGTGCACAATGTGCAGGTTAGTTACATATGTATACATGTGCCATGTTGGTGTGCTGCACCCAGTAACTCGTCATTTAACATTAGGTATATCTCCAAATGTTAACCCTCCCCCCTCCCCCCACCTTACAACAGGCCCCATTGTGTGATGTTCCCCTTCCTGTGTCACATATACACTATGGAATACTATGCAGCCATAAAAAATGATGGGTTCATGTCCTTTGTAGGGACATGGATGAAGCTGGAAACCATCATTCTCAGCAAACTATCGCAAGGGCAAAAAACCAAACACCATATGTTCTCACTCGTAGGTGGGAACTGAACAATGAGAACACAAGCTCTTTTTCTAAAGAATTTGATAGTAAGTTTTATGTGCGTCCGTGTGAAGAGACCACCCAACAGGCTTTGTGTGAGCAATAAAGCTTTTAATCACCTGGGTGCAGGCGGGCTGAGTCCGAAAAGAGAGTCAGCGAAGGGAGATAGGGGTGGGGCTGTTTTATAGGATTTGGGTAGGTAAAGGAAAAAGGGGGGTTGTTCTCTGGGGGGGCAGGAATGGGGGGTCACAAGGTGCTCAGTAGGGGAGCTTTTGAGCCAGGATGAGCCAGGAGAAGGAATTTCACAAGATAATGTCATCAGTTAAGGCAGGAATAGGCCATTTTCACTTCTTTTGTGGCGGAATGTCATCAGTTAAGGCAGAAACCGGCCATCTGGATGTTTACCTGCAGGTCACAGGGGATATGATGGCTTAGCTTGGGCTCAGAGGCCTGACAGTAAGTATTCTAGGCTTGCATGTCACATAGGTCTCTGGCATTTTCTTTGTTTTTTGTTTTGTTTTCACAACAATTTAAAGATGTAAAAACCATTCTTAGCTTACCGGCCAAAGAAAAGTAGGCCATGAGCTGGCCCCTGTTCTAGAATGTCGGGCCTTATGCTGGTATCTGGGTAGCGTGTGATTAAGGGCTTGGTATGCTGTCCTTCCTTCCTCCCTGTGCCACAATTATGACACTCAGTCAAATTGTTGAGTTCTTTCACCAATCCTGAATATTCATATCTGAGGCCTCCAGCTGTGATTAAAGGATAAATAAATAGATAATCTTGTGCCATTCCAGGGGTTACAGGCAGCAATGTTCTGTGCTCCATGTTTTGGAACAAGCTAGAGTTGGGTTAATGAAGGGCAGTTTCCTCATTTTAGGCTACTATAGGAGCATGGACTCCACACGGTGGCTCTTGAGTAACAAGCTAACCAGCCCACAGGAATACTAGGGAAGGAAACAGGGCCCTGGGCAGATATTAGCAGTCAGGGCTTGTGGGGTGAGCAGTAGCAGGAGCCACCTGAGGCTCTGCAGATGTGCCACACCCGTGGACAGGCAGCCTGGGAAGCTCTGGCTGTGGGCACTGAGCTAGAAATTGAAGAAGAAAAGGAATGTCATGACAGGTGCCATATGGGAGCTGGCAGGACTGTGTTTGCAATCACCTGTGAGACACCACCTGGAGACATCCAGGAAAAAAGGCAGCAGGGACTTTGTAGAGGATGGGGACAGAAGCAAAGGAACACTGTCTTCTATTGTTAGTGTTACCCAATTTTATATTTTAATCTAAAGGCTTAAAGATGGCCTGGAGAAACACAGTTCCCAGGGGTTTGCCAGATTGATCCTGATGTTGTTTTCCACTCACATAAATGGAAATAACAGTTTTCTAAAAGAGAATAGTGCTGTGTGATCAGGAAACCAATATGCCATCTCCAGTCTGGCTACTCAATAGCTGCATGACTCTGGAAAGTACCTTAATTCTCCTGGCCTCAGGCAGTTTCTCCATATCACACAGAGAATTAAAGCAAAAATGTCTAAGAGCTCTTTTTGTTTTAAATGTGTTCTATAATTATTTAATGTTAAAGCCATTAATTAATTAAAAACTGTTGATTGAGTCACCTGCTATGTTCCCAACATGGTGCTAAGTAATGAGACCACTGAAAAAAAGTTCCTCTGCAATCAAGAATCTCTGTTAAAGTAAACTAACAATCATGACTCAGGTTATTTCAAGCTAGGGTAGCGGTATGCCTGTGTTGCTAGGAGATTGTAGAGGATTTCTACACTTGCATAGAAATGAGAACCTGGAGCAGAGTTCCGGTGTTATTGAGCAGCAAGAATGAGAGCAGAGGGGGAAGCAAAGGTGGCACATTGATTATAACACACAGCTGAGGTCTCGATCACACTAGATGTCTCCAGTCAGTCGTGTGGAAATCGATGTGCTTCAGAACAGTCTGTAAGTAGAAATCTGTGTGCTTTCACAGTCTGTAAAGGGTGGGGATAGGGCATGGGGAGAAAGGCGTAAGAGTCTACCTGTTCCTCATTGGTAAAAATAATTCCATCCTTTACATTTACAGATTGGATGACCTGGCTCCAGGATCAGGGAAGTCAGAGCCCAGACCTCGGTTCACGGTGCTTCCTCAGATTCTGGGAATGCTGCAGGAAGCTGAACTTCAGGGGCCCAGTGGGTTCAGGCCCCAGACACCAGGGTCTTTGCAGTCCCATCATGGTGAGTATGAAGGAGCCATGCTAGAGCACAGCCCTCATCTGGAAAGGGCTAAGGGTGGTAGGGTTAAGAGTTGTGGTGATGATGGGGTAGGGGTTCTTCACTGAACAAGTGACCCAGAAAGCAGAGAAAGCCCAGTGAATCTGGAGAGATGCAAAAACTAGGGCCAAAAAAGACTAAGGCAGAGTTGAAAAGGCTCCCCAGAGGAGGTGTTGCTTGAATTGCAGCTGGTAAAAAAAGAAGGAGTTTCCAAGTCAACAAGCTGGGGAGGGTGGGTGAGAGTTAGTGGGGATGATAATGAAGGGTTGGGAGCAGGCAATTTTCAGACAAAAGAATAATATTTGCAAAGGCACAGAGTGTGAAAGAAAATGATCAGTCCAGTGAACTGCAAGCACTGCCTGGCTGGGAAATCATGGCACAAGAACAAAGAGAGGCTTCTTTACTCCGGACAGTCATTCCATCATTGCCAATTACCAACCAGAAATTGAACCTGCATGGGACAAAATGGAAAAGATTTTGTTATACACAAATGTCATGATAGAGAGATGACAAATCATCATCATTCATTTATTTATTCATTCATTTAATTCAATCAAACAAATATTTGTTTTATACTTACTGGGTGTCAAACATTTTTTTGTACTCAAGATTTAAACCACAGGAAAGTCCTGTGCTCTATGTAAGCTGTGTTCTTTGGATACTCTGACACAAGCATATTTTTAGTTACTGCTCTTCAATCTTCTTAATTTCTTCAGTTTATAGTTTTGATTACCAGGGTGTGTACGTGTGTGTGGTTGGTTGGGTGTGGGTGTGTGTATTAATTCCCATGTTTTCCTAAATAGGGGTTCATTAATTCTTCATTCTATACTTAATTCTCTCATATGTGGCATCTGTGAAATGAGTGTGGCAACTTATTAATTAAATACTGACTCTTGGAACATTTTGAGCACTGACAATTTTAGTCATAAACAGACGACTGCTCTTTTCTTGCCCCAGAGCAATGATAACATACATTCAATTGTTGTTACCTGTTTTTATAAAATGTGTGAAAGGATTTTTTTATTCACAACTTTGACTATTACCACTTGAGTTCATGTGAATGATATTTTAACATGCCTTGAGTTTTTACCAAGCCATTCTGTACTGCTGGATTTAAACATCTTTGCATGAAGCAGAGTTGGCGTGCTATTATACGTTGCAGACTTGTGCTTCTCTTGTTTTTCTGGCTCACTACCTCTAGCACTCCAATTCCGAAAATTCGTGGACTCCACCTGGTTCTACAATCCAGTGCCTTCATCGTTACTCACTGTTCTTCACTCCCCTCAGGTCCTTTCTTCCGTCTTTACGGGGCTTAGAAGTCATGGTCCATTGTTGTAACACTTCCTTGTAGACACCTACAACTCCCTCCCAACACACACTTTCTTCCTCTAACTTGTCTGAAAAAAATCCTCAATTCTGATTACTCCAGCTCTCTGTTTACTCTATGCCTGCACCTGTGCTATGGTTGGGGAAAAAAGCAAAACACAGCTACGCTGACAGATCTCACTGTAAATTCATGACCAGAAATCTCTCACATGGGCCCACGGCACTGCCAAGGAAAGGCCACTACATTTCAAGAATCTCCTTCTTTCATTTCTTTAGGCGAGCATTTAATATCTTCTCCTTTGACAAACTTTCAATATCTCCTCCTCCACCCTCATTCTTGGTCAGTGGCTTTGGTTCCTATTTCCCTTAAAAAAAAAAAAAATGATAAGAAGAAAACTACATACTCTCAATCATATCTGCTACCCTACTTGTACCCATGCTCCTATATACTCACATTCCGCCAGTTATTCAAGATATAAACTACCTGGACTCCTATCTGAGGACAGCCCTCCACTTGTCACTGGATTCCATCCTCTTCATCTGCATTCAAGAATATCGCTATAAAGGCCTGGCGCGGTGGCTCATGCCTGTAGTGCCAGCACTTTGGGAGGCCGAGGTGGGCAGATCACGAGGTCAGGAGATCAAGGCCATCCTGGCTAACATGGTGAAACCCCGTCTCTACTTAAAATACAAAAAATTAGCCGGGCGTGGTGGCAGGCGCCTGTAGTCCCAGCTACTCAGGAGGCTGAGACAGGAGAATGGCGTGAACCCGGGAGGCGGAGCTTGCAGTGAGCCGAGATGGTGCCACCGCACTCCAGCCTGGGCGACAGAGCAAGACTCCGTCTCAAAAAAAAAAAAAAAGAATATCGCTATAAAAAAAAAAAGAATATCACTACAGCCATTCTCTCCTTTCACTTCTGCATCATCAATTTTCACTCCCTCTACTTGTTTCTTATCAGCCTATAAACGTGCTATATTTCTTCCACCTCAAAAGAAAAGGAAAAGAACCTTCTCTTGGTCTCACATTCTTCTCCCTCTCCCTCCACTATTTCTCTGCACCCATTAATTCTCATCCTCTCCTCCCATTTACTTATGAACGCTCCAATTTTTTTTTTTTTTTGCCCCCAATACCACAAAAACTGTTCTTGTCATGATCAACAATTTGTAAAATCCAGTGGTCAGTTCTCGATTCTTATTTTACTTGACTCATCAGCAACATTAGGCAGAATTGGCCACTTCTGCTTCATAAAATATGTTCTTTACTTGATATTTGGGACATCAAGTTCTCTTCCCACCTCACTGGCTCCTCCTTTTCAGTATCTTTTGCTGATTTTCAAATCTTTCTGACCGCTAAGTGTTGCCGTGCTCAAGCTAAGTGCTTCTCTTCTCTGTTTACATTCTCTCTCTGGTGACTTTAGCCTGGCCTGTAGCTTTAAACATTATCTGTATTCTGATAATGTCTAAATTTCTTTCTCCAAATTGGAGATTTCTCTGGGTTTTGGGACTCTTATATCCAAATCACACTAAATATTTTCACATGGATATCTGTGAGGCATCTCAAAAGTAATATATTCACTATTCCTGTTCTCTTCCCCCATTCCACAAAAACCAGCTTCCTTCCACCCATTTTTCCCACGTTGGTAATTGCCAATAGATTTTTCCAGCTCTTCAAAACAAAGACAGTGCAGTATTCATTACTTTTTAATTGAGATAAAATTCACATGCCACAAAATTCACTCTTTTTAAGTATACAATTCAGTGGGTTTTGTGCAACAATCACCACTATCTGATTGCAGAAGATTTTCATCAACCCGAAAAGAATCCTTGGTTCAGTCATTCTTTTTTTCTTGCTGTTTGTTTGCTCTAGTTTCTTTTCTTAGGAAAATGCAAATTAAAACCACAATGAAATATTACTGCATACCTATCAGAATAGCTAAAATAAAAAATAGTGATAACACAAAATGCTGGCAAGAATGTGAAGAAAGTGGATCATTCATACATTGCTGGTGCACATGCAAAATGATACAGCCACTCTGGAAATAGAGACGTAGTTTGGTAGTTTTGTTTTTATTTTTCATTTAAGTCATTCTTGACTCCTCTTTCTCACACATTGCACTTCGAATCTATCAGCAAATTCTGCTAGCTTTACACTCCAAACACATCCAGAACCTAAGTACTTTCTGTCACCTACACTGTTATTAAAATTGGGATGTTCCAGGATTACAAAAACAGTGCCCTACCTGGGCTCCTTGATTCTCACCCTTGTCTCCCTGTCAACAAAATAGCTGTAAAGAGTCTTTTAAAAATCGAAATTAGATTGGCTGGGTGCAGTGTCTCACACCTGTAATCCTAGCACGTTGGGAGACTGAGGCAGGCAGATCACCTGAGGTCAGGAGTTTGAGACCAGCCTGGCCAACATCATGAAACCCCATCTCTGCTAAAAATACAAAATTATCCAGGCATGGTGGCGGGTGCCTGTAATCCCATCTATTCGGTTGGCTGAGGTGGGAGCATTGCATGAACCCAGGAGGCGGAGGTTTCACCGAGCCAAGATCACGCCATTGCACTCCAGCCTGGGCGACAAGAGTGAGACTCAAAAAAAAAAAAAAAAAAAATCTAAGTTGAATGTCTCAATACGCTCTTCAAAATTCTCTCATGGCTTTCCTTCCCTTTAGAGTAAAATCTAACCTTTACGCAGTTTCCTTCAAGGCCCTGCATGATCTGGTTCTGTTAGTTCTCTGACCTCTCTCTTCTACCTCTCTCCTGCTTGCTTAGTGGGCTCCAGCCACAGCAACCCCCTTGCTGCTCTTCAAACATGCCAAGCACACCCCCAACTCAGCCTCTCTCTCATCAGGTACCCAAGAGGCGGCCTCCCTCGCTTCCTCCACGTCTCTGCTCAAATGTCACCTTATCCATGAGTCCTTTCCTGAAATTTGTACATTAAATAATATTCACCAGCACTCCCAATCCTCCTGGCTTGTTTTAGTTTTTTTTTTTTCCCTCATAGCATGTATTTCCATTTGACATAACACCAATATACTTGCTTATGTACTTACTCTTTTTTTTTTTTTTTTTTTTTTTTTGAGACAGAGTCTTGTTCTGTCGCCCAGGCTGGAGTACAGTGGTGTGATCTCGGCTCACTGCAACGTCTGCCTCCCAGGTTCAAGCGATTCTCCCACCTCAGCCTCCTGAATAGATGGGATTACAGGCACCCACCACCACGCCCAGATAATATTTGTATTTTTAGTAGAGATGGGGTTTCAACATATTCACCAGGCTGGCCTTGAACTCCTGACCTAAGGTGATCCACCTACCTCGGCCTCCCAAAGTTCTGGGACTACAGGAGTGAGCCACCATGCCCAGCCTATACTTATTCCCTGACTTCTCCCAACTAGTATGTAAACTTCAAGCTGACAAGGAATTTGTCTTAAAACAGTATCTGGCATGTAAGAAGCACTCAATTAATATTCATTCACTGAATGAAAGAAGAAAGGAAAGAGCATATGACAAGAAAAACAACAACAACAACAACAAAAAGGATAAGCAAGACAATCTACGTTTATAACAGAAGAATTGAATCTAGGGGTGCTCGTTAAGAATTGTGATCAAGCTTAAATTTTTCCCAGAAAAAAAAAAGATGTTTAAATAGTACAAGAAAATGAATACGACAGATTGCATCTTGTAATAAGTAAGTTCTAAAGAGAGAGAGTGTTCCATGTCTGAAAATGTCTAGCTGATAGCATCATGGGCATAATAGTGGATCTTCATCTAAGTTTATTCAGTCTTTACCCAACTTGTCCTGGATGGCCAAGAGACTAGCAAAGGTTGGATGCAGGTGGAACATACTCTGACTCAGGGATACTTATTTCATGATTAGACAGCAGTTTCCTAATCATTGTCCATCCCTTCTCCCCATGCACACGATTCAGCCCTTAGGGTTATCTCTGGATACCCATCACTTGGGTTGCTGGGCACTCTTGTGTAAAGAGAACCAGCCCTGAGAAAAGAGAAATTTCCTTCAGCAGTCTACACCTTCATAGATGAGGGTAGTAGCAACAGGAGAAATCTATTTTACAGATTAAAATCAGAAGAAAGGAGAAATTTCTGCTAAGACAGAGGAGAACAGTAGACTGGCTATCAACAAGATAAACTATAGAAAAGCGATCACTAGCGTATGAACCATCCCCCAAGGCACTGTAGGTCAAAACAGATGATCTAGGAACCTGCAGATGAATCCCTCTAGAACAAGAAAACAACATTAATAAAAGTTTATATTTATTGAACTTTTTGTTAAGTGGTTACCTAAACCTTTTATGCATATTGATGAGTTTAATTCTCACCATAACCTTACCGGGTAGGCATCATTATTATCTGAAAGGCAGCGAGATTAAGTAACCTGCTCAAGGCCACATAATTAGGAAATGAAGGGGTCTTGAGATGAACCCAGACAATCTGGCTTTGGAGCTCATCATCCGTTTTTTTAAAACAAAACAAAACAAAACAAAAAAAACCCTGTTGTATACACTATAATATGCATTTTAAAGTGTACAATTTAATTATTTTTAGCATATTTGTGAAGTTGTGCAACCATCACTACAATTTTAGAACATTTTCATCACTCCAAAATAAGCTCCATACCCATTGTCAATCACCCTCCATTTTTCTTCAGCTCCCCAAACCCAAGAAACAACTAACCTACTTTCTATCTCTATTGAATTAGCTCTTCTGAACCTTTCAGATGAATGGGATTATACAATATGTGGTCTTTGATTCATCCATGTTGTAGCATGTATCAGCATTCCATTTCTTTTTTATCAAATGATACTTGGTTGTCTGGATACACCACATTTTATTTACCCATTAATCAGTTGAAGAACATTTGCATTGTTTTCACATTTTCCTGTTATAAATAATGCTTCTGTGAACATTCATGTACAGGCTTTCATTGCTTTTGTGTATACATCTAGGAATGGAATTGCTGGGTCATACAGTAACTTGGTATTTAACCTCTTGAGCAACACATGGTCTTAATCACTACACAGGATATTTCACACAGTGGATATGAAGTCACAACTGTCTCTCAAGATTTTGGGGTTGTTATTGCCTCTTACATTCTAAAAACTTTGTGTTTTTCTTGTTTTGAAATTCAACATACTGTTATTTCAGCATAAAATGGAACTTGGCTAATTTGAAGCTTGAGGTCAACACATTTTAATGAATCTATGATATGTGCCAAGGACTATTATAAGATCTATGATGGATACAGGGAAAAAAATATATTTCTATGAACAGTCTTTATAGCTTTAATAAACCCTCATTGAGCATCCACCAAGTGCCACTCACATTAATCCCTCATTGGCCAGGCATGGTCATGTAAGTCTGTAATTTCAGCTATTCAGGAAGCTGAAGCAGAAGGATTACTTGAGCCCAGGAGTTTGAGGCTGCAGTGGACTATGATCATGCTTGTAAATAGCCTCTACACTCCAGTGTGGGCAACATAATGAGATCCTGTCTTTAAAAAACAAATCAAGACAAAACAAAATGCCAAATCATAAACTCTGTCTACTTGTAACTTAAAATCTTCTGGAGAAGACAAATACATGTCAATGTGAACTTTTATAAGAACAACTAAGTATAAATATGTGTTGTTTTGAGATCCTATAATAGGAGCAAGAACTCAGGGAGGTCAGAAAAGGCTTCCTTGAGAAAAAAACACTTAAGTGAAGATCTGAAGGGTGGGAAGAGTTAACTGGTGAAATGCAGGAGGGGAGAGGGTCACTGGCAATTAAAACAGCCTGTGCCAAGGCATTGATGCAAGAAGGAACCATGTAAGCATGAAGTCTGCAAAGAAGAGAGAGCGAGGGCTCAGGGAGCAGAGGATGCTGGGAATGAGAGGTGAAGGGGCCAGACCATGCAGAAACTTATAGGCCAATTTAAGAAGTTTGTGGCCAGGCGCGGTGGCTCACACCTGTAATCCCAGCACTTTGGGAGGCCGAGGTGGGCAGATCACCTGAGGTTAGGAGTTTGAGACCAGCCTGGCCAACATGGTGAAACTCCATCTCTACTAAAAATACAAACATTAGCCAGACATGGTGGCAGGCACTGGTAATCCCAGCTACTTGGGAGGCTGAAACAGGAGAATCACTTGAACCTGGGAGGCAGAGGTTGCAGTGAGCTGTGATCACACCATTGCACTCCAGCCTGGGCAACGAGAGTGAAATTCTGTCTCAAAAAAAAAACAAAAAAAAAAGTTTGCTTTTTAATATTAAATAAAAGAGAAGTAAAATGTGGTATGTTCATCTAATGAAATATTATTCAGACATAAAAAGAAATGAAGTTCTAATACATGTTACAACATATAAACTTTGGAAACATTATGCTAAGGGAAAGAAGCCAGACCAAAAAAAAAAAAAAAAAGGAGAAATGTATGATTTAAATACAAAACCTAGAATAGGCAGATTGAAAGAGACAGGGAGTAGACTAGAGGTTAGCAGAGGATAGGGAGGAGGGGGAAATAAGAAGATATTGCTTAATGTTTATAGAGCTCCCGTTTGGGATAATGAAAAAGTTTTGGAAATAGATAGTGGTGAAGGCTGCACAATATAAATGTACTTAATGCCACTATATTATACACTTAAAAACTGTTAAATTGACAAGTTTTATGTTATATATATTTTACTACAATAAAATTTTTTCAAAAGAAGAGAAGCCATTAACAAATTTAAAATACGCTGTGTAAGGGAGTAGAACATGACATGATCAAATTTAGATTTTGTCAAGGTCACTTTAGTTGTAGTATAGAACTGGATGAGATCCAAAATGGATATGAATGGACCAGTTAGATCAGGACAGATCTAATAAATATAAATTTTAGATTAGTAATTGGTGGAGATGTAGGGAGGTAATAAGGATGTCAGTCTGAATAGGGAATACTGTAACAGATCCAAGTTTGAGTAGGTCAAAATTTGAGTTGTGTAATGCCCATGGAGTGATATCAATTAGATAGTTTGTCATGAGTCTGGAACTCAAGGGAAAGATATAGACTAGAGTTATAATAAAAAGACTCAAATCTCTCTTTTAAAAAACTGTGACATTGTTGAGGCCACAAGATTTGCCTATATGGACAAATTTGGAGAAAATACAACGTGGTAAGTGATCAAATACCAAAATGTTTTGCATCAATAATAATTTTTAAACTATGGAAATATAGAAAAGAGAGAGACAAATGCAGTCCAGAAATACTGGGATACATTACTTGAAGGAGTGGGGGTTGGAGGTGGCCCAAGAATTTGGCATGATTTGATTTGTCAAAGAGGAGGGGAAGAGAGGGTTGTTGGTGGAAAAGCTATACTAATCAGTGGGAAACTGTGAGGGCTCAGCAATGGTACAACTAAAGAAAAAGAACTGAGGCTGTGATGGATGGTATAACAAGGCTATAACATGATTATACATTACCACCACTGGGTGCTTCAGACCACTAACTCAAGTGCACGGAAGGCGTTGTGCTGGCCTCTCACCACAGGGCCTGTGGAAGCAGCCCAGCCTCCTAGCAGGACTCCAGGCTCTCCTGCTGAAGCTCTATTCTGAGAGCCAACCGCCATACCCAACTTGGCGCTTGCAGCCTCACCACTCTGTAGAGCACTTGTGCTGTTCTCTGTAGGTGGGACCACCTGGCCTCCGGAAGAAGCCATTAAAGACCTAGGGCCATCAGTGACTCCCCACAGAGTTGGTTAATGGAGATGAGCATTATTCAAAGGGGAGCATGCTCTGGGGCTCTGAGCACAGTGGGTCCCTTTCAGGAACACAGAGATTCATCATCACACATCCCTACTGCTGAATCAGTGCTCAGATTATACTCCTGGATCCGTTGCTTGGACCTTGGCAGAAACAAATATCTAGTATAGGGTACCCAGCTTAGTGCCTATCCCCACATGTACCCTTTAGCTTTTGTGCTTTTAAGATGGGAAAATGCACCAAATCTACAGAAATTTCAAAAAGAAAAGAAGGAAAGACAGGAAGGGAGAGAGGAAGGAAGAAGGGAAGGAAGGAAGGATGGAGGAAGGGAGGGAGGGATTTAGAGAGGAAGGAAGGACTCATCGTTGAAGGAACTATGAAATTGGCACTCCTGATTTTTTTTTTTTGAGCAATTTGGCGAAATAGTAAATTGTTTTTAAAATCTGTGCAGTCATTCTACATTAGGAAAATGACTCTAAGGACATGATCTAAATAAGTTTTATGCACAGATGTTCATTATAGAATTATGTGAAATAGTAAAAAGTTGTAAAAAAAAAAAAACCTTAATGTCCAACAATTGGCAAATAGTTAAGTGAATTAAGATACCATGCATTGTAATATTAGTCATCAAAAATATTTTATAGAAATTTATTATTTTTATTTACTAAAGCTTAAAATATTTTGTATTGTAATATTAAGCCACAAAATCAAAATAGTGTGATCTCAACATTTTTAGGAGGAAAAAAAGACTGAAGAGATATTTGAAAAAAAATAAATAGCAGTTATCTCTATGGGTAATGGAATTATAGGTGATTTTTAAAAAATTTACAGATTTTCTTCAGTATGCACATAGTTAATTTGTCATTGTAAATAAATAAACATCTAATTAGAAAGAATAGAAAAAAACACAATGGGAGAGTGAATTGGAAATTCTGATTAAATCATTTTACTTGTATGGAATTCGGAATTATGTCACATTCTGTTCCGTCTGTTGACCACAAGCACTGCCTTTCCCCTCCCCAGAGTCATCCCACTTAGTCAATTAAGTCAGTGGAAGCTCATTCTTAGAGGAAGTTCCAGGGCAGGCATCTTTTCTGTTTGCCATCGAGAAGCTGGCTGGCATGGTTTGGAAGGAAAGCATCCCGCCTCGTGAGTGTCAAACACTGATTTCAGCCTGGCCCCTGTGCTACGGTGCCTAGTGTGACAAGGTGCAAGGCCAAGCAGGGGCAGCCTAAACTGACAGCTGGTGCCTTGGGCTTTGCCAGCCTCACTGAGTGGCTAGCCAGCTTGAAAAGGCAACAGGAAGCAGATGGCCAGCCCAGTCCTCTCTCTGGCTGGCCTATGACAGCCATCTGGAGAAAAGAAAATTGATCCGCCGCCTGGAGAGGAAGGTGCTGGTAATAAATAACTCTGATTGTCACATTTTGCACACTCAGGGCCCAGGGAAGGGCTGTGGAAGCTCTCCAGGTGTTGATGGGAAAGCAATCCCAAGCATCATAGCTCATAGGATACACACAATACCCTTACTGGAGGCAGCGCTTTCTGGGATCAGGAGCCCACAGGACTCAACAACCCCACTAATACAACAGGACTCACAGTGGTGTGAATGCCACCCACGCAGGCATATAATAATGCAGAAAGCCCTTTCTTCTCTCAGGAGTGCAGGCAGAACAACATGCCACTTTATGAGATCCTCCATTCCTCTGCATTTGCCTCTCTGTCCCAAGTTCTCCAGCTGTCCTTTATGCCCCTGAGTTAAGTATCAGTTCTGTAAGGAATCATTTGTAGCCTAAGTTCAGTTACTCCATGTATCTTCAGATGCATTCCTTTTTGACTTAAATTTCTGGCTTCTCCAAATGAAGATTATAAACCCCAGTTCTTTTTTTTTTTTTTTTTTTTTGAAACGGAGTCTTGCTCTGTTACCCAGACTGGAGTGCAATGGCACGATCCCGGCTCATTGCAACCTCTGCCTCCCGGGTTCAAATGATTCTCCTGCCTCAGGCTCCCAAGTTGCTGGGATTACAAGCACCTGCCACCACACCCAGCTAATGTTTGTATTTTAGTAGAGATGGGGTTTTGCCATGTTGGCCAGGCTGGTCTCAAACTCATGACCTCAAGCAATCCACCTGCCACGGCCTCCCAAAGTGCTGAGATTACAGGCGTGAGCCACCATGCCCGGCCTAAATTCCAGTTCTTTAACGTTTGGGAGACTCTGTGTTCTGGAAGTTGAAGTATCAACAAAGGGGTGCGTGAGCGAAGGCAAAAGGAAAAAAGAGAGAAAAAGGTGGGATAATCAACTAAGTCTCCTGCTTCTGAAGGTCAGTGTGCTGTCTGCATTTTCTGTGCTTTCCTGCAGCTCCGTAGCCCACCGTTCAGTCAGGCAGACCATCACTCCCTGGTTAAGAACCTCAGCAGCCTTTTAGATACCACCGCGGGCAAGTGCCGCAAATGACTCTGGGCAAATAGAAAAAGTGTGCTCTCCAGACCGACGCAGCCCCTCTCCAAGGAATAGGACATGTAGGGTAGAGCAAGGGCTGAATTTTGGACCTCAGTCACCCCTTTGGTTGTGTTAAAGCAGGGAACCGCCAGAACAATAGCCTGCAGAGACACTGACTGGAGGGTTTAGCCCACTTCAGGTTGTGAAAGGAAAATAAATCTTGGGACACCAAAATCACTACACTAAAGGGGAAAAATCAAGCTGGGAACTGCTTAAGGCAAACCTGCCTCCCATTTTATTCAAAGTCATCCCTCTGCTCACTGAGATAAATGCATGTCTGATTGCCTGAAAGACTAATCAGAAACTCAAAAGAATGCAACGATCTGTCTCTCACCTATGACCTGGAAACCCCTCCCCCACTTCAAGTTGTCCCGCCTTTCTAGACAGAACCAATGTACATCATACATATATTGATTGATGTCTCATGTCTCCCTAAAATGTATAAAAGCAAGCTGTGCCCTGACCACCTTGGGCACATGTCCTTAGGACCTCTTGAGGCTGTGTCACAGGCGTGCATCCTTAACTTTGGCAAAATAAACTTCCTAAATTGCCTGAGACCTGTCTCCGATATTTTGGGTTAACAAGGTCTTCACCACTAACACAAAAATAAGGCCCAAATTTTATCATGTACGTAAACTGCAATTCATTAAAGGATCTCAAAACCCATAGTTTATTTTTATTTATTTATTTATTTATTTATTTATTTATTTATTTATTTATTTATTTATTTTGAGACAGAGTCTTGCTCTGTCGCCCAGGCTGGAGTACAGTGGTGTGATCTCGGCTCACTGCAACCTCTGCCACCCAGGTTCAAGCTATTCTCCTGCCTCAGCCTCCGGAGTAGCTGGGATTACAGGCACCCGCCACCACCCCTAGCTAATTTTTGTAGTTTTAGTAGAGACGGGGTTTCACGATCTTGGCCAGGCTGACCTTGAACTCCTGACCTCGTGATCCACCCGCCTCAGCCTCCCAAAGTGCTGGGTTTACAGGTGTGAGCCACTGCGCCCGGCTGGTTTATTTATGTAAGCATCAATGCATTTATTCAACAAACATTTATGAAGGCCTACTCCATGCTCAGTGCCAAGATAAAAAGTTGAGTAAGCCATGATCTCTATTTATAAGGAGCTCCTTTGATAAGGAAAACGTAAGTGTTTATATATATATGTGTGTGTGTATGTGTGTGTGTGCATGTGTGTGTGTTTGTACCTGAATTTATCTGTTGATTATTGATTATCTATCATCTATCTACCTATCTATCCATCCATCCATCCATCAATCGATAATGAAAACTAAATGTTTGGTAAGCATGAGGGGAACCTCCTCTGCATGGAAAAGTTAGAAAAGCATGAAAGCATTTGAGCTGGCCCCTAAAACTGTGAGTAAGACTTCTTTCTATCAAAAACCCTATTTTGGGGGAAGGGGGACAGCATACCCTGTTAAAAATCTACATTCTGACTAATAATAATGTGACTAATTTCTGGCCAGTGAGATGTGAGTAAATATGTGAGACTTCCAAGAAGTCTTCTTAAAGGGGAAGGAATGAATATTTTTCTTGTTTTTGCTTTCAGCCTGGAACTCAAATGTGATGGCTGAAGTCCTAGAAACCACCTTGAATTATGAGGTGTACTTAAATTATGGGGTGTACTTAAGTCATGTGCTGGGGGTGGTAAAACAGAGAAATAGGAGTCTGGGGCCTTGATACCTGTGGGGCTGCCACACCATCCTTGGACTGCCTCATTCTTGGCTTTTTTTATGTAAGAGAAATTTAAATTTGTATCTTGTATGAGACACAGGTAAGTTTTTTCATTATATATATATATACAAATCGAGGCCGGTCACAGTGGTTCACGCCTGTAATCCCAGCACTTTGGGAGGCCAAGGCTAGCGGATCACCTGATGTCGGGAGTTCGAGACCAGCTGACCAACATGCAGAAACCCCGTCTCTACTAAAAATACAAAATTAGCCGGGCTTGGTGGCCCATGCCTGTAATTCCAGCTACTCAGGAGGCTGAGGCAGGAGAATCGCTTGAACCTGGGAGGCGGAGGTTGCAGTTAGCCGAGATCATGCCATTGCACTCCAGCCTGGGCTACAAGAGCGAAACTCCGTCTCAAAACAAACAAACAAACAAAAACAAACCAACAACAACAACAACAACAAAAGAAAATCGAAATCTAATGACATAGATGCCGGGCGCAGTGGCTTGGTTGGGCACGGTGGCTCACTTCTGTAATCCCAGCACTTTGGGAGGCCAAGGCAGGCGGATCACCTGAGGTCAGGAGTTTGAGACCAGCATGGCCAACATGTTGAAACCCGTCTCTACTAATAATACAAAAATTAGCCGGGTGTGGTGGCAGACACCTGTAGTCCCAGCAACTTGGGAGGCTGAGGCAGGAGAATTGCTTGAACCTGGGAGGCGGAGATTGCAGTGGGTTGAGGTCACACCACTGCACTCCAGCCTGGGTGACAGAGTGAGACTCCATCTCACAAAAGAAAAAATAAAAAAGAAAGAAAGAAATCTAATGACATAGAGACTTAAACAGCATGACATGTTTGAAGAATGACATAAAGCTCATAATATTAGGTTGGGGTTGGACAAGGAGTATGGTAAAAATAAAGATGAATAGGTATTCTGAAAGGAGATTAATTAGGGTTTTGGATCCATATTGAAGGATTTGGATGTCTTTACAAACAAAAGGGATGTGATCATAATTGTTTCTTTGGAAACTGTATAGAAGGAGAGTGGGTTAGAAATAAGAGAAACATGGAGCAAGGAAATCATTCAGTAGATTGTTGCTAGAGTCCAACCAAAAAATGACAAAGGAGTAAAAGACATGGACAGATCAGAAGATAGTTCTGAGGCAGGAGAATAGGGAATTAGGGTAGCCAAGGGTTGGGGCATAAGCAAAGGAACAGCAGGTGCAGCCAGTTCTAGGCAAGACTGGGCTGCGTACAGGCCATATCTTCAATCCTGTGACAAGACAGATATTTCTACTTCAGCCTCTGATTGGTTGCAGGCCAATCCTTCATAGGATGTAACCAATTGGAGGCCTCTAAAGGGCACCTAGGGGTGTTGCCAAGTTCTTTTGGCTTTATAAAAATCCTAACTGGAGAGGCTCTTGTGCAGCTTGCTGGAGCCCAGTCCCACTCAGTGAGTTGTCTTCAATACATCTGTGCTTTCATTACTCCCTTATTCTGTTGCGTTGGCTTTGGTTGCTTCATTCTTTTGTTACTTTGTGCATTTTGTTCAATTATTTGTTCAACAGGCCGAGAACCTGGGCAACTCTATTCGGTAACAGTTCTAGGGCAGAACTGACCTCCCAGTGGATAAGGAGGATGGAGTTCATGATTCCCGCTTGGGCAGATGGTCATAGCATTAGCTAAAACAAAGACACGGTTGGAGAAATGGGTCAGGAGGCAGGTTCTAGTGAAGTCCTACAATTAACTATTTATCTTGTGACCTTACACAAGTCACTTAACCCCCATGAGTCTCACTTGTAGTAGTGATAAATAGGAAAAGTTGAACTCAGAAGTCCCTACCTCTTTTATAAATATATGTATTTATAAAATATAAAACATATATAATATATATTATAACTGGGGCCTGTTGCGGGGTGGGGGGAGGGGGGAGGGATAGCATTAGGAGATATACCTAATGTTAAATGACGAGTTACTGGGTGCAGCACACCAACATGGCACATGTATACATATGTAACTAACCTGCACGTTGTGCACATGTACCCTAAAACTTAAAGTATAATAATAAAAAAGTAAAAAATATATATATTATATAAATGTATATTTATAAAATATAAAACATATATTATATAATATATTGTATAATATATGTATTATATTATATATTTTATAAATATATACAATATATAAATTATAATTTATAAGTATAAATTTATAAATATATAAGTGTACAAATTATAATACATATATTATATATCCATATATAGTATATAGTATATTATATTATATATTTATTATATATATATATATATATATATATATATATATATATATATATCCATTTCACAAAACAGTTAAATTCCCATGGTTCTGTGTGGTGACATCTCAAGGAACAGAAGCTGTTGATTCAACTCCACATACCAGGACGCAAGCTCTCACATAAAACATCTGAGGAACTATTCAACAAATTTATAGTTGATCCTTTTGTTAAAAGTCTATACATTTCCTTTTTATTTTAGTAAATAGGCAATAGATTCATACAACTTGAATGGAAAAGAGGCCGACAGATACATTCGGTCTATTTTCCAGAGCCTGAAGCTCCTAGGAAAGAATATGAATTAACTCAGTCAATGTGGCTGGGTGAAAATTACACTATGTAAATAGATGTCGGGAAAATTAATAGATTATCCTCATACTTACATCACTGTGCCAATTATTAGAATCCAAAATAAATATCTAGAAAGGTTTCTAGTTATAAAATCTCAGATTGTATAGATTACTTTTTCTTTTGCACAAATTTTGGGAGTTGAACTGCCTCTTTTACCATACCCATGCCCCCAAATCAAGGTCCTAGCATCCTCAATAAGAATTTGTTCTTTTAGGTAGCATTTTTGTTGTTGTTGTTAAAGCTTGAGATTTCAAACTGAATTGCTCTGCAAGGGTTTTCTCATCTTAGGTATAATAACAGAGTGGTGAAGGTGAGGTATGGGAATTCATTGAGTTGATGTTAAAAAAGTCCTTCAGGCTATGGGAGCCCTGATATACTCCTCTCCTCAAAAGCTAACTTTATCCATACATTCCTTTATTTAATATTTATTGAATGTCAGCCAGTCTTATGGATCACAAAAAATGGAACAGAAAGTAGAAAGATAAATATTTCTACCCTCATGGAGCTTATGATAGTCTAGCACAGAGGAGCAGAAACGGGTAATAATTTAAATGTAAATTCTGGGTTGGAATGTGGTAAGTACTAAGGAGAGAAAAATAGCACAAGAAAAAGGGATTGTATATATTAGATTATTTTTTAATTATCTTTTTTATGGGGCAACACCTTTTTCTGTAAAATAGAATGAGTGCTTCTGATTGTGCGTATTAAAGAGGAAGATTAAAACTTTAAATAAGGTTTCCAGAAAGGCGTCACCAAGAAGATGAGTAAGGACCTGAAAGAAGTGGCCTAAGGATGTGAGGCCTATATTTGAGGAAGAGCAATCCAAGCCGGTACAAAGGCACTGGGGCAGGAAATTCCGCAGGCCGTTTGAAAAACAGGAAGCAGGCCAATGAGAGAAGGGAGTGGACAGGGGAGTTGAGAGAGTTAAAGAGGTAACAAAATAAGAAGCTGAGATGTGAAGCCTAAGGGATCTCCATCAGATTGGATGGGACAATAATAAAGTCATTTCTAATGATTTGCCAAGTTACAAAGCAGAAGATGAAGTCATGGAAAGCTGCTGAGATATCAGGGAGCTAAAATGTCCCATGTTTTAAAGAAAAACCCATTCTCTACCAGACTTTTTTATTTCTGTACTGATTTTAAATTTAGCTATGAGAATAAAACTAAAGAAAACTGACTTCAGGGAAGGTCAGGAACTCAGCTGTTAAAAAGCCTTTCTAAGGAAGATATGCAATATTTTCCAGCTGTGCTTAGACTAAATTCATTAGGTTTGTCCATGGTGAATGATGAGCTCTAACAGTCACTCACAGCTCTGTGATGCTGCAAGTCATCTACCCCTCTGCTGCTTTCCTGGTCTCCATCTTATTCTGCCTTGATTTTTTTTTTTTTAATAAACCCATCATCCCATTCAGCCTGATTTCTACTGCAGGCTGAGTTCTGCAATGAGTTCTCAGCCCACAATGAAATTTTCATCAGCTGAGTCATTGTAGTTGAATAGACATAGTCCCGTCCCCAGGAAGAGGACAAGATGACCTAATTGGGCTTTTTCATTTCTACCACCAGTGATACCATGAATACAACACAATAAGTAGTGTGCTTAGCATTGTAAAAGAGTAGAACTTCTCTATATTTAAAATAATCAGTGCTCAGTAGAAGCAGAACAGTGTAAATTAGTGACTCTAACACTGGAAGTTAGAACATGAAAGTTTAATTCCTAGTTTTATTACTGATTTACCATGAGATCTTAATTGATGTGTGGCATTGTCCTCAGCCTTATTGTCTATAGCTGGAGAATCTAAGCCTTCTTTTATTCTGTAGCTTCTGATTATTGGCACTATCAGAAATGAGAAGGAGCACAGTAATCAAAGCCATTTCCATTTGGCTCAAGAATTATTAATTTACTTTTGTGAAACTGACTTTTTGGGAAGTCACACCATTTGAAATTAGAGTATAAAGCACGCTGTTGATTCCAGAAAAATTAGAAATTATATGTACTGTATATGCTTTGTATCTCATGACCTTCCTCCCTTTCTTACTCCTCTTTCTTCCTTCCTTTCTCCTCTTTTTTCCTTCTTTCACCGCCCAAAGTAAATCTGCCTTTCCTCTTTATTTTCAAGCAAGCTTTCTAGATCACACCTTGTCTAGAGGCTGGAAAATAATTTAGTTTTTAAGAAGGGAAGTTGGAACCCCCTGGACTTTAAATACTCATGTTTATAACATCTTTTCTCGGATAAAATAGCAGGTTAAACAAAAAACAAAACCCAGGTAACTAGATCAGATTATAAGTACCAGCATCCAAGGTCAGAAAAATCCATGCACAACAGTTTCCATGGACTACCCTGCTTTGAGTAGACCAAGGAAGCAGTCAGCAGAGGCAGGCTTTTTGCTGGATGCAATGAATGCAAGGCTTACTTTTGAACTTAATATCATCTAGCGTCTTATCTCAATTCTAGATGAAATCTAAAGTATTTTCCTTCCTCCAGTAATCCAAGTTACCTACTATCTAGGCCTCTTAAAAACAGGAAGTCTTAGAAAGTACCCTCAGAAGTATTTAAGGAGCTGAACACAGTGGAAGTTTTATATATGTATGTATATATATATAATATATATTATATATACATAAAATATATATATACTTTAAGTTCTGGGATACAGTGCAGAACGTGCAGGTTTGTTACATAAGTTTACACGTGCCATGGTGGTGTGCTGCACCCGTCAACCATCATCTACATTAGGTATTTGTCCTAATGCTCTCCCTCCCCTAGCCCCCACCCCCTGACAGGCCCTGGTGTGTGTTGTTCCTCTCCCTGTGTCCATGTGTTCTCATTGTTCAACTCCCACTTATGAGTGAGAACATGCAGTGTTTGGTTTTCTGTTCCTCTGTTAGTTTGCTGAGAATGATGGTTTCCAGCTTCATCCATGTCCCTGCAAAGGACATGAACTCATCTTTTTTATGGCTGTATAGTATTCCATGGTTTACATGTACCACATTTTCTTAATCCAGTCTATCATTGATGGGCATTTGGGTTGGTTCCAAGTCTTTGCTACTGTAAATAGTGCTGCAATAAACATATGTGTGCATGTGTCTTTATAACAGAATGATTTATAATCCTTTGGGTATATACCCAGTAATGAGATTGCTGGGTCAAATGATATTTCTGGTTCTAGATCCTTGAGGAATTGCCACACTGTCTTCCACAATGGATAAAAACCCTAGAAGAAAACCTAGCCATGCAGTGGAAGTATTTAAGGGGCTGAATGCAGTGGCTCATGCCTGTAATCCGAACACTTTTGGAGGCTGAGACAGGAGGATTGCTTGAAGCCAGGAGTTCAAGACCAGCCTGGACAGTATAGTGAGACCCAGTCTCTACAAAAATTTTTTTTAATAAAAAATTAAAACATTAAAAAAGAAGGGCAAAGTGCCATGATATATAAAGTTTACCCTTGAATGGTTTCCAGGGAAAAAAATCTAGACAGATATCACAAATGATAAAGCAAATGGAGTTAAATGTTAATAATTGATGAATCTGGGAAAAAGGTATATGAGTGTTATTTGTACTATTTTTATTTTTGCAACTTTTCTGTAAGTTTGAAATTATTTCTACACATATATATAAAGCAGGTACTAACAGTATAACAGTATTTTGTATATATATATTACACATATGTATGAGTCTATATATGTACATATTACGTGCATAGAGAAAGCTCTAAAAGAAAAGGCACTAAGGTATTACAAAGAGGATATCCAGGTGGAGGGAATGTAAAGTTTTATTTTTCTCCTGCCTATATTAGTTTTCTACATCACACACATACTATATCTGTAATAATAAACATATTTTTAAAGAGCAAGTAAATGAAAACCAGGAAAATATACCATTTGTATTACAAGGAACACCAAAATTTTGGCCATAAGTCCTTCAAGAGGACTTACGAATCATAAATTGCTTTGACTCCTTTTGAGCAATGCTCTTACCATCATATATAAAGAATCTTTAGGGATGTGCAGCCACATATGTTGATGCTGAGGCCTGATTTATAATAAACACTAAATATGTCAGCTAGGTCAACCACTCACCATGGTGTCTGGTTAGGTCTGGATGAGCATGAATTTAAGTATATTGCTATTCATTCATACCTCAAATCCACCTCATTTACGTGTCCCTGAAATTTGTCAGTAATGGTTTGTCTTAGGTGAAATTACCAAGGTGTGAGTAGTATATGAGGTTGCAATCCAACAGACAATGGCTGGTGAATACCACTGGCTTGTTTCCCTTCTTTGACTGGACATAACAGCTCCCAGACCTCAATTTTGACATCCATACGGGTAACAAAGGCATAGCAGGGTTCGTGAAGGCCAAGTTAAGTTTCCCCAACTGCCTTTCACTGCCTGGTTTCAGGCTTTCAAGCAGCAATCCCTGAAAAGTTGGAGAGGCCACATGGCCATCAGCTGGTGTCTTGTGCCCTTGCTGGCCTTAGTCCTCTCTTGATAAGGCAATCTGTGAAGTTGTTGATGGCTTAGCTTTTAGAGAATACCCTTCATACTCTACTCTGTTCATCACTCACCTCAGAGAAGCTTTTAAAGTTGGTGTCATTTGGGCTAACAGGTATTTTTTTCCAGAAACAGTATTTATTCTGCGCTGTGTCTTTATATCATAGTTCATGAAGCTTTGTCAGCATTTGTACTTACCAAGGGACATCATCAACCCTGCCCTTGCTAACTTTAAGTCTTTGCTCTGGCTTTCCCAGAATCCTGCCAAAAATGATTATGTCATCTAAATAGATAAATGCCTCTAGGTAATTCATATCCCCCAATTACCTTCTCCATTAAACACTGAAAACTGGCAGAGGCCCTGGAAATATGTTCGGGCAGTTTTTCAAATTAATATTCCACCCCTTTCTCACATACAGGGCAGATGAAGTCAATTTTTTTCTTGATCTCCTTTAGCCGTATGTGTTTAATCATTCTTACTCCTCAAGTCCAGAAGTGACTTCCAATGTCTCCTTGGCAGTCAGTCCAAGATGGCTTGAACTTCTGGGACAGGTTGCTAGTCCATTTTGGTGCGCATATTCAGAATGCAATAGTCCATGTAATGATAGTTTGCCAGATTGTTTTTACACCACTATGATGGGCCATACCTAAGGCTCTAGAATTTGGGTATAATGATGCTAATGACTCCTTAATATGCTCTCATATGTATTTCGTTTTTGACCTTACAACCTATCTAGAATGCTCCTGGAAAGTGTGTGGATCATTTTAGTTCTGTTCTTTGTTGTCAATCTGAACATAATGTAGTTTTCATTCAAGGAAGGAGAAAAATTGTTCCTATCTTAAAAGTTGTTCTCCGGGGGAGGAGCCAAGATGGCCGAATAGGAACAGCTCCGGTCTACAGCTCCCAGCGTGAGCGACGCAGAAGACGGTGATTTCTGCATTTCCATCTGAGGTACCAGGTTCATCTCACTAGGGAGTGCCAGACAGTGGGCGCAGGCCAGTGTGTGTGCGCACCGTGCGCGAGCCGAAGCAGGGCGAGGCATTGCCTCACCTGGGAAGCGCAAGGGGTCAGGGAGTTCCCTTTCCGAGTCAAAGAAAGGGGTGACGGACGCACCTGGAAAATCGGGTCACTCCCACCCGAATATTGCGCTTTTCAGACCGGCTTAAGAAACGGCGCACCACGAGACTATATCCCACACCTGGCTCGGAGGGTCCTACGCCCACGGAATCTCGCTGATTGCTAGCACAGCAGTCTGAGATCAAACTGCAAGGCGGCAACGAGGCTGGGGGAGGGGCGCCCGCCATTGCCCAGGCTTGCTTAGGTAAACAAAGCAGCCGGGAAGCTCGAACTGGGTGGAGCCCACCACAGCTCAAGGAGGCCTGCCTGCCTCTGTAGGCTCCACCTCTGGGGGCAGGGCACAGACAAACAAAAAGACAGCAGTAACCTCTGCAGACTTAAGTGTCCCTGTCTGACAGCTTTGAAGAGAGCAGTGGTTCTCCCAGCACGCAGCTGGAGATCTGAGAACGGGCAGACTGCCTCCTCAAGTGGGTCCCTGACTCCTGACCCCCGAGCAGCCTAACTGGGAGGCACCCCCCAGCAGGGGCACACTGACACCTCACACGGCAGGGTATTCCAACAGACCTGCAGCTGAGGGTCCTGTCTGTTAGAAGGAAAACTAACAACCAGAAAGGACATCTACACCGAAAACCCATCTGTACATCACCATCATCAAAGACCAAAAGTAGATAAAACCACAAAGATGGGGAAAAAACAGAACAGAAAAACTGGAAACTCTAAAACGCAGAGCGCCTCTCCTCCTCCAAAGGAACGCAGTTCCTCACCAGCAACAGAACAAAGCTGGATGGAGAATGATTTTGACGAGCTGAGAGAAGAAGGCTTCAGACGATCAAATTACTCTGAGCTACAGGAGGACATTCAAACCAAAGGCAAAGAAGTTGAAAACTTTGAAAAAAATTTAGAAGAATGTATAACTAGAATAACCAATACAGAGAAGTGCTTAAAGGAGCTGATGGAGCTGAAAACCAAGGCTCGAGAACTACGTGAAGAATGCAGAAGCCTCAGGAGCCGATGCGATCAACTGGAAGAAAGGGTATCAGCAATGGAAGATGAAATGAATGAAATGAAGCGAGAAGGGAAGTTTAGAGAAAAAAGAATAAAAAGAAATGAGCAAAGCCTCCAAGAAATATGGGACTATGTGAAAAGACCAAATCTACGTCTGATTGGTGTACCTGAAAGTGATGTGGAGAATGGAACCAAGTTGGAAAACACTCTGCAGGATATTATCCAGGAGAACTTCCCCAATCTAGCAAGGCAGGCCAACGTTCAGATTCAGGAAATACAGAGAACGCCACAAAGATACTCCTCGAGAGGAGCAACTCCAAGACACATAATTGTCAGATTCACCAAAGTTGAAATGAAGGAAAAAATGTTAAGGGCAGCCAGAGAGAAAGGTCGGGTTACCCTCAAAGGAAAGCCCATCAGACTAACAGCGGATCTCTCGGCAGAAACCCTACAAGCCAGAAGAGAGTGGGGGCCAATATTCAACATTCTTAAAGAAAAGAATTTTCAACCCAGAATTTCATATCCAGCCAAACTAAGCTTCATAAGTGAAGGAGAAATAAAATACTTTATAGACAAGCAAATGTTGAGAGATTTTGTCACCACCAGGCCTGCCCTAAAAGAGCTCCTGAAGGAAGCGCTAAACATGGAAAGGAACAACCGGTACCAGCCGCTGCAAAATCATGCCAAAATGTAAAGACCATCGAGACTAGGAAGAAACTGCATCAACTAATGAGCAAAATCACCAGCTAACATCATAATGACAGGATCAAATTCACACATAACAATATTAACTTTAAATATAAATGGACTAAATTCTGCAATTAAAAGACACAGACTGGCAAGTTGGATAAAGAGTCAAGACCCATCAGTGTGCTGTATTCAGGAAACCCATCTCACGTGCAGAGACACACATAGGCTCAAAATAAAAGGATGGAGGAAGATCTACCAAGCCAATGGAAAACAAAAAAAGGCAGGGGTTGCAATCCTAGTCTCTGATAAAACAGACTTTAAACCAACAAAGATCAAAAGAGACAAAGAAGGCCATTACATAATGGTAAAGGGATCAATTCAACAAGAGGAGCTAACTATCCTAAATATTTATGCACCCAATACAGGAGCACCCAGATTCATAAAGCAAGTCCTCAGTGACCTACAAAGAGACTTAGACTCCCACACATTAATAATGGGAGACTTTAACACCCCACTGTCAACATTAGACAGATCAACGAGACAGAAAGTCAACAAGGATACCCAGGAATTGAACTCAGCTCTGCACCAAGCAGACCTAATAGACATCTACAGAACTCTCCACCCCAAATCAACAGAATATACATTTTTTTCAGCACCACACCACACCTATTCCAAAATTGACCACATAGTTGGAAGTAAAGCTCTCCTCAGCAAATGTAAAAGAACAGAAATTATAACAAACTATCTCTCAGACCACAGTGCAATCAAACTAGAACTCAGGATTAAGAATCTCACTCAAAGCCACTCAACTACATGGAAACTGAACAACCTGCTCCTGAATGACTACTGGGTACATAACGAAATGAAGGCAGAAATAAAGATGTTCTTTGAAACCAACGAGAACAAAGACACCACATACCAGAATCTCTGGGACGCATTCAAAGCAGTGTGTAGAGGGAAATTTATAGCACTAAATGCCTACAAGAGAAAGCAGGAAAGATCCAAAATTGACACCCTAACATCACAATTAAAAGAACTAGAAAAGCAAGAGCAAACACATTCAAAAGCTAGCAGAAGGCAAGAAATAACTAAAATCAGAGCAGAACTGAAGGAAATAGAGACACAAAAAACCCTTCAAAAAATCAATGAATCCAGGAGCTGGTTTTTTGAAAGGATCAACAAAATTGATAGACCGCTAGCAAGACTAATAAAGAAAAAAAGAGAGAAGAATCAAATAGACACAGTAAAAAATGATAAAGGGGATATCACCACCGATCCCACAGAAATACAAACTACCATCAGAGAATACTACAAACACCTCTACGCAAATAAACTAGAAAATCTAGAAGAAATGGATACATTCCTCGACACATACACTCTCCCAAGACTAAACCAGGAAGAAGTTGAATCTCTGAATAGACCAATAACAGGCTCTGAAATTGTGGCAATAATCAATAGTTTACCAACCAAAAAGAGTCCAGGACCAGATGGATTCACAGCTGAA
Organism: Homo sapiens; assembly: GCF_000001405.40. Lineage (NCBI taxonomy): Eukaryota > Metazoa > Chordata > Mammalia > Primates > Hominidae > Homo > Homo sapiens. Next base: position 109,203,295 of record NC_000003.12, read on the forward strand.
TTCTACCAGAGGTACATGGAGGAACTGGTACCATTCCTTCTGAAACTATTCCAATCAATAGAAAAAGAGGGAATCCTCCCTAACTCATTTTATGAGGCCAGCATCATTCTGATACCAAAGCCGGGCAGAGACACAACCAAAAAAGAGAATTTTAGACCAATATCCTTGATGAACATTGATGCAAAAATCCTCAATAAAATACTGGCAAACCGAATCCAGCAGCACATCAAAAAGCTTATCCACCATGATCAAGTGGGCTTCATCCCTGGGATGCAAGGCTGGTTCAATATACGCAAATCAATAAATGTAATCCAGCATATAAACAGAGCCAAAGACAAAAACCACATGATTATCTCAATAGATGCAGAAAAAGCCTTTGACAAAATTCAACAACCCTTCATGCTAAAAACTCTCAATAAATTAGGTATTGATGGGACGTATTTCAAAATAATAAGAGCTATCTATTACAAACCCACAGCCAATATCATACTGAATGGGCAAAAACTGGAAGCATTCCCTTTGAAAACCGGCACAAGACAGGGATGCCCTCTCTCACCGCTCCTATTCAACATAGTGTTGGAAGTTCTGGCCAGGGCAATCAGGCAGGAGAAGGAAATAAAGGGTATTCAATTAGGAAAAGAGGAAGTCAAATTGTCCCTGTTTGCAGACGACATGATTGTTTATCTAGAAAACCCCATCGTCTCAGCCCAAAATCTCCTTAAGCTGATAAGCAACTTCAGCAAAGTCTCAGGATACAAAATCAATGTACAAAAATCACAAGCCTTCTTATACACCAACAACAGACAAACAGAGAGCCAAATCATGGGTGAACTCCCATTCACAATTGCTTCAAAGAGAATAAAATACCTAGGAATCCAACTTACAAGGGATGTGAAGGACCTCTTCAAGGAGAACTACAAACCACTGCTCAAGGAAATAAAAGAGGACACAAACAAATGGAAGAACATTCCATGCTCATGGGTAGGAAGAATCAATATCGTGAAAATGGCCATACTGCCCAAGGTAATTTACAGATTCAATGCCATCCCCATCAAGCTACCAATGACTTTCTTCACAGAATTGGAAAAAACTACTTTAAAGTTCATATGGAACCAAAAAAGAGCCCGCATTGCCAAGTCAATCCTAAGCCAAAAGAACAAAGCTGGAGGCATCACACTACCTGACTTCAAACTATACTACAAGCCTACAGTAACCAAAACAGCATGGTACTGGTACCAAAACAGAGATATAGATCAATGGAACAGAACAGAGCCCTCAGAAATAATGCCGCATATCTACAACTATCTGATCTTTGACAAACCTGAGAAAAACAAGCAATGGGGAAAGGATTCCCTATTTAATAAATGGTGCTGGGAAAACTGGCTAGCCATATGTAGAAAGCTGAAACTGGATCCCTTCCTTACACCTTATACAAAAATCAATTCAAGATGGATTAAAGATTTAAACGTTAAACCTAAAACCATAAAAACCCTAGAAGAAAACCTAGGCATTACCATTCAGGACATAGGCGTGGGCAAGGACTTCATGTCCAAAACACCAAAAGCAATGGCAACAAAAGACAAAATTGACAAATGGGATCTAATTAAACTAAAGAGCTTCTGCACAGCAAAAGAAACTACCATCAGAGTGAACAGGCAACCTACAACATGGGAGAAAATTTTCGCAACCTACTCATCTGACAAAGGGCTAATATCCAGAATCTACAATGAACTCAAACAAATTTACAAGAAAAAAACAAACAACCCCATCAAAAAGTGGGCGAAGGACATGAACAGACACTTCTCAAAAGAAGACATTTATGCAGCCAAAAAACACATGAAGAAATGCTCATCATCACTGGCCATCAGAGAAATGCAAATCAAAACCACTATGAGATACCATCTCACACCAGTTAGAATGGCAATCATTAAAAAGTCAGGAAACAACAGGTGCTGGAGAGGATGCGGAGAAATAGGAACACTTTTACACTGTTGGTGGGACTGTAAACTAGTTCAACCATTGTGGAAGTCAGTGTGGCGATTCCTCAGGGATCTAGAACTAGAAATACCATTTGACCCAGCCATCCCATTACTGGGTATATACCCAAATGAGTATAAATCATGCTGCTATAAAGACACATGCACACGTATGTTTATTGCGGCACTATTCACAATAGCAAAGACTTGGAACCAACCCAAATGTCCAACAATGATAGACTGGATTAAGAAAATGTGGCACATATACACCATGGAATACTATGCAGCCATAAAAAATGATGAGTTCATATCCTTTGTAGGGACATGGATGAAATTGGAAACCATCATTCTCAGTAAACTATCGCAAGAACAAAAAACCAAACACCGCATATTCTCACTCATAGGTGGGAATTGAACAATGAGATCACATGGACACAGGAAGGGGAATATCACACTCTGGGGACTGTCGTGGGGTCGGGGGAGGGGGGAGGGATAGCATTGGGAGATATACCTAATGCTAGATGACACATTAGTGTGTGCAGCGCACCAGCATGGCACATGTATACATATGTAACTAACCTGCACAATGTGCACATGTTCCCTAAAACTTAGAGTATAATAAAAAAAAAAAAAAAAAGTTGTTCTCCTAGTCTCTCCTTCCCCTTGTTGGGTACTGAGAAATCAAAATCCAAACATTTTGCTTTAATTTGGTAGATACCATGGATGCAACTCTGTTTAGAAAATCAAGGGTATGTCATATGTCTCTGTTTGGCCAATGTGTCCATTCTCTTTTTTTAGGTAGCAGAAAATAAACATGAGTAGAAAAACACATCTAAATATGCAAGGTTGGCCGGGCGTGGTGCCTCATGCCTGTAATCCCAGCACTTTGGGAGGCCAAGGCGGGCAGATCACGAGGTCAGGAATTTGAGACCAGCCTGGTCAACATGGTGAAACCCTGTCTCTACTACAAATACAAAAATTAGCTGGGCATGGTGGCAGGCGCCTGTAATCCCAGCTACTCAGGAAGCTGAGCCAGGAGAATTGCTTGAACCCAGGAGGCGGAGGTTGCAGTGAGCCAAGATGGTGCCACTGCACTTCAGCCTGGGTGACAGAGCAAGATTCCATTTAAAAAAAAAAATGCGAGGTCTGCCTGCTGCTAACACCACTGGCTTGCCTTTCTAAAAGATTGGAATTTATTCTCCTAAGTAATGACCCACTCCACAGGCTTCCCAGAACAGTGCATACAATACTAGATTATCTATCTCCTAAATGATCCCAGAGCCACGGGGAAAAATTCAAGTCTAAAATTTAAAAAATTAGTAAAAGCAAGAGTAATTCTCTGAACTTAAGTCATGCAGGCTCAAAGCTGTTTACCTCTGACTTCTGAGATGACATCAACATTTCCCATTAGAGCTTCAACCTTATATAATTTGAGGGCTTTCTATAAGAGAAATAATACAAAATTACATATGAAAAATTAGATGTGAAGGAGACTGTTTAATTAGAATGAGAAAAAAATAACAGCACATTACAAAATTCAAAAAGCTGGCTGTGGCAAATAAAGACAGCCATGATTTCTTTGCTACTCATCCCATTGAGAGGTGAAGTCTAGTTCCACTTTCCTTGAATGTGGACTGGCTTCAATCACTTGACAAATTTGCTATGGCAGAAGTGAGACTGGGTCACAAGAAGCTTGTTATATACTTTCACTCAGGCCTCTTGGAACACTCGCTCTTGTAACCCATCCACAATGCTGTGAGGAAGCACCAGTATTCCCAGGAGACCTATGTGAGCAGGAACCAAGGCTCCTGGTTGAACAGCTTCCAACTGAGCTGCCAGTCAGCAGCCAGCAACAACTCTCCAGCCATGCAGTGATTACCCCTACTGTTGAAAACTATTCTCTAGCCATTTGCCATAGTGATTAGAATGAGGCTCTGGAGCCAGACTGCTTAAACTTGAATATCTGACCCCACTTTATAGCTGCATGACTTTGGGAAAGTTACCTAAGTACTATACTTCAGTTTCCTCATCCAAATAATGGAGAAATAACTTTCTATTGCAAATGGTTTTTGGAATTAAACAACCTGAATTGATTATTATGTGAAGAGCATGTAAACAAATGCCTGCAAGTGTTCAATAAATGTGAGCTATTGTTGTAAGTAGGTATTGTCTAAGCTTCCACAAAACTCTTTGATGCTGGCTACTAGAGAGCGTTCAGCAGTCTCCTAATGCTAACCTGCCCCTCTTCTGTGTGATTCTCTGAGGTCTTCTCTTTGGTCTCTTACCCTCAGACCTCCTCTCAGGCTTCAGTACTTTCCTGGCTTCCCCCAGGAAGATGGAGTAGATCAGGCACATCATCGACTTTCCAGGTGCATCTTTCTGGCATAAATTCTGTATCCTTTTTCTTCAAGTCTTCCCTTTGAATACTTTACTACTTGCCAGTATTTTATTCATACTATAAAATTATGATTTCTCAAGGCAATCTGTATGTTCTGATTAAGAAAAAGTTTTCATACAAGGAGGTTGGCTCAGGTGAGTACAAAGATGAATGTTTTAAAGATACATGTTCTCCCTATACTTCAGCATCAGACAGGAATTTCCTCATCTTCTTTGACCTTTCTGCTCTGAATCACATTCCTTCTCACCCTTTCAAGAACTTTACTCCTGAAGTTATGCCTTTTCTCTTCTGCATCAACCAAACTTTCTTTCCTATTGGGTCTTTCCTCTTATGCAAATATGCACCATTACCATTCATCCTTAAAAATAAAATCAAATAAAACACCCTCTGACCCAACAATCCCTTCCACTTATTAACCCAATTCTCTTTTCTCCTTTACAACCAGTTTTCAAAATGTTTCTATATACATCATTTCAATTTCTTCATCTCCCATTAACTCTCAATCAACTTCAGTCTCAACCATAACCTGAAACTCTGTCATCCTAAGGTCAATAACAACATCCAGTTCTCTGACATCATCTGAATTGACCACACGGAAGCACTGGCACAGCTGTACACTATCCTATTCTTGAATTATTCTCCCCTTAGCTTCCCTGACATCATCTTCTCCTAGTCTGGCCACTCCATTTCACTCTCCTTTTTCTCTTCTTCATCTGAATGTTACATTCTACCTGGCTCTTCACCCATTTTCTTTGGATGATCACATCCATTTATGTAGCTTTTAAAACCATCTATTTGTTCACATTTCCCTACTTAATATATCTATTCCACCTTCTGTGCCCCTACGGTTGTATATTCAACTGCTACCCTGACATTTCTTAGCAGTTTTACATGCATCTCAAACACAACATACCAAAATACAACTATTGACTTTTCCCAGGACTTGGGAAAATTGAATGAGAAGGCCAAACTTGGGCATAAAGCACAATAGAATAGGGGAAACTCATCTTCTAATAATTTTTTAAGGAAATAACTTAATATTTAATGTTTTAAAATAACACCACATAAGTAGTCATAAGGGTTAGGACTTGATTAGACATCTTTATGTTTACGTTATAATTTAGTATTGTTTTCATTTCATCTTATTTTTAAAGAAAGGAGGCAATGCAATATTTTTAATGCATAAGACTTCTACAGAGGCTAATCAGTCTCCATCCTCCCTTAGTTTTCAACCTATCAGTAAATACATCGGCACTCTCATCCATTCAATTTTAAAGCCAGATACCTGGTTATCATTCATGATAACCTCTCCAATTTCCCACATTCAATCCGTGAGCAAGTCTTGGTGTATGGTTCCCCAAAATAGCTCAGTCCATAGGCTGCTCTTTACCACTGCCACAGTTACCCACTTGTAATCTCTCACCTGGACTACTGCAAAGAACCTGCTTACTGCACGTTCCACTTTTACACTTGCTCCCTTCTAATACATTCTTTAATCAACATAAAAATTTTAAAAATTCCAGTGGCTCACACCTGTGATCCCAGCACTTTGGGAGGTTGAGGCAGGTGGATCACCTGAGGTCAGGAGTTTGAGACCAGCCTGGCCAACTTGGCAAAACCCCATCTTTACTAAAAATACAAAAATTAGCCGGGTATGGTGGAGGGCAACTGTAATCCCAGCTACTCGGGAGGCTGAGGCAGGAGAATCGCTTGAACCCAGGAGGCAGAGGTTGCAGTGAGCTGAGATGGCACCACTGCACTCCAGCCTGGACGACAGAGCCAGACTCCATTAAAAAAAATTAAAATTCATAATGTCACTTTAGAAGTCTTTTTAAAAATTCATAATGTTGCTTCCATTGCTAAGCACCCCTTAATGGTTTCTCACTGCTTTTCAAATATAATTTCAAGCAGGGCATGGTGGCTCATGCCTGTAGTCCCAGCACTTTGGGAGATCAAGGTGCACATTTGAGGCCAGGAGTTCGAGACCAGCCTGGCCAACACGGTGAAACCCCCACCTCCACTAAAAATACAAAAATTAGCTGGGCATGGTGGCAGGCACCTGTAATCTCAGCTGCTTGGGAGGCCAAGGAAGGAGAATCACTTGAACCTGGGTTGCAGTGAGTCAAGATCATCAAGTCACTGCACTCCAGTCTGGGTGCAGAGAGAGACTCTGTTTCAAATATAAATATATATAAAATATATAATTTTATGTAATATATAATTTTATTTTATGTATAATATATATATAATTTCAACTCCTTGCCATGGCCTTTTGCTCTGCCTGTGCCGGTCACTGTACTTTTCACCGTTACACCCTGGACACCAGTTCCTATTCCAGTCTTATCTTGCCCTTTCTCATCATTTTGTCTCTGCATTCTTCAGTGACATCTTCTCAGAGAAACCTTCTCACTGGAACCCACCCTCTAGCCTTCTCTCACCTAGCCCTGTTTGTTATCACAGTTTGTAATTTTCATTTCATTTGGAACGTTCATTTCTTTTGCTTGCTTCCTTTTCAAATGTCTCTCCCACTGGTCTGCAAACTGGATAAGATCAGAGGCCTTATTTACTGTGTCTTTATGCCTGATGCATAGTAGGGGCTCAAAAAATTAATGGTGAATTAATGGATTATACTCATAAGTGGATTCAGGGTTCACACTAATCCTATGACAATAGATCCAGTGCTTCTTCCATGCCCTTTCCCACTAAAATAAACAACTCTAAAATTCTGGGCACTAGACTAAGTCAACTTATTTGCTTTTAATCACAAGACATAATAAAGAATCAAGCCCGTAGCCTGTTTTTAGTGACTGGCAATAGAAAGAATAAATAAGTAAATGAGCAAGTGACTCGCATCTTCTATTTCCTCATTAGTAAAATAAGAAGGACAATAATTTTTAAGTTCTTTCCAGCTCTAAATTTCAAGACCCCTGAAAGTGTCATCAGGCAAATATTTCAATGACAGGCAGGAGGTTCAGACGCAAATCTAGACTCTGCTTCTGGAAGCTTCATAGCAAGTTTAGTCTTGGAAGTGATACAGAGATTTTTCAGAAATTCATCACAACATGTTATGTCATCTTCCTGTCTCTATTCTGTTTGAAAAAAACAGAGATATTCTTTTGCTTATTTCTTTTTGAAAATGGGGATGTTATATGAGCTTCACCATTACTTTGTGAATACTGATGAGCTTAAGAGGTGCTTATAGTTTACAATATAATCCACATGAACACTTAGTAAAGTGTTTGTTGCAAAATAAGTCTCTCATAAATGGTAGTATATCTATGTAAGTTTTCTGTATGTATGCATATAGATATACACCAAATTTCACATTGTCTTTGACACCCGAGATGTTTCCAACATGAAAATAGGAAAAGCTGGCTTTTTTTTTTTTTTTTTTTTTTTGAGACGGAGTCTTGCTCTGTCGCCCAGGCTGGAGTGCAGTGGCACAATCTTGGCTCAGTGCAACCTCCACCTCCCGGGTTCAGGCAATTCTCCTGCCTCAGCCTCCCCAGTAGCTGGCATTACAGGTATGCCCCACCACTCCCAGCTAATTTTTTGTATTTGTAGTAGAGACGAGGTTTCACCATGCTGGCCAGGCTGGTCTTGAATTCATGGCCTCAAGTGATCCACCTGCCTTGGCTTCCCAAAGTGCTGGGATTACAGGAATGAGCCACCACACCTAGCCGAAAGCTGGCTTTTTAAACTTCCTGTCTCAATCCTTTCTGAAGAAGAAATATTGGACGGCTTTGAAAGATAATTTAGAAGGATAGATTTGGCCTCTTTGACTATGCACACACTGTTTTTCTACTCTGAATATGGTATATTAAGAAGAGTGAGCAAGTTGACAAAATTCAATAAGGTATTTAACAGCTTCTGATGCTTTCTAACCCAGGGTTTCTCAGAATTAGTATTCTAATATCTGTGGAATTTTTTATTAGGCTTTAGTAAATCTATTTGATGTGTTAAAACTCAATCACACACTAAATGCAGCTGAGCATTTAGACTGTTAATTTCAGTCCCTCTATACATGGGTATTTACTCCAAATGACCTATCACATTGAATAAAGATTGTTTTCTAAGACATTTTTTAAAGCCTCTCACTAGTGTCTACTGAATTGGTGGTCAAGTACTAAACCATAAAAATCATCCATTAGAAGCTGGGAAACATACAACCCAAGATGGAATAAGCTTGGTAATCATTTTGACAAGGGTGAAATCGAAGTAAGAAACCTTGCTTAATCCACTGAACCGAATGTGGGGAAGTGTAATAAAGACACCGCCCTCCAGCACTGTACTCAACCAGATACTTCCGTCTGGGTTGGAGGAAATGGAACCACCAGAAGCAGCCTAACTCATGGCATGGTGGTCTGTACTCAGCTAAGCTTTGACAAGCTGGCACCCAGTCCTTACTTGGGCACAGGCACAAATCTAAAATCCGCTCTTAGGCACAGATGCATTGGCATGAAATCTGTCCGTAGGCCCAGGAACTGGGACTTTTGGATACATTTGCATAATATATCATTCCAACAAAGTAATTGAAACTGTGGGGGGTGGGCAAATGTGATAAAATACAGCAGGCAGAGGAGGAAAAATTCAGACATTGTTGGCATCAGACCCACAGTCTTAAGAGGGAAAAAAAGTATTTTGTGTAGAAAATTTCTGGAAGAATGTATGCCAAATTGTTAATAGTAGTTATCTCTTAGAGAAATTATTGTTAAAGTTTTTTTTTTGAAATTGCACATTTCTATAACTTTTTTAAAGCATATATTACTTATGTGATCAGAAAAAAAGAATTGGAAAGCAAAAAATGTGCCACACCCATAATTTATTTGCCAGCAATCAATTCCCAGTTCTTCACTTATAGACCACTGAAAAAGAAATCTGGAATTTCTCCTTTTTGATATACACTTGCAAGGACCAACCTGTCAACCCCTTTACAAATGTTAAAAGATTCCTGGTCTTCTTTATGGAATAAACTCCCCACTAAGTAGATTTGCCTAGTATTCAAGGTGAGGTTGAGTCATATGTATAAATAAAGACTTTTAGTTCATCTTCAATAAGACAGAATGTTCTTTAAACCAACGGTACTGGAAGCAAATAATTTCATTAAAAAAAGTTTGGTCAAAATATTGAATGGTGTTTTTCACCTGCCACAGCAATTAAAATGCCTGTAACAAAATACCATTGAGATAAATTATAGTCCTTTGTTCAGAGCTCATCAGAAAAGATCTAATTTATAGCATTGACTATAACTTGTGAAAAAGTCTCTGTCTGAAAGCTAATACCATGATAAATTTTAATCATGTAGATAGAACTAGCTTCAAAGCCGTATTAATTATACATTTAAGCTCTACATACAAACTCATACATCACAGTACACCCAGAACATGTAAAATACAGTCTGAACCAAATTAAAATATGCCAATTTCCTCAGCAGTTATTTGCTTTTGATATACTGTAGTTATTTCAGTCCAGTCTTTATAAACATTAAATTACTGCTGTGTTTTCTTAGCCATTTTGCTTCCTCAGAGAGAACTCTAAGCTCTGGTTAACTTTCTGATTTTATACTTCTGCAGAATACAAAGTGACATCCAGAATGCCTTTCTTCATCCAAGCTAAGTAAAAAGGTTAAAAGTTGCTAGCAAGTTTTACCTTTCCACAAAGTCTACCAGCTGTGCCCACCACCCACCACAATTCCTACTCTCACACTCCTATTACTCTAGTTTTTCACCCCAGCATCACAAATACAGGTCAAGTCACCAGAGTCCCATAAGTATAGGCATATATTCCCTGCTTCAGAAATGGCTTCACTACCACTACTGAAAGCAGCCAGTCAGCAAACTGTTAGCAATCTGTGACAGGATAAGGAGCTGTGCCAGATGTGAATGAACATACTGCTTCCTTCATTGAGAAAGTCTTTTTACAAAGAAAATATGAGCTGAACTGAATGGCATGCTTAGTGTTGTAGTGAGAATTGTATATATGTAACATATCACAGTGATAAATAAAAATAAAAATTTGTAGATTCAAAATTTAGTTTTTTTAATCTCTCCTGTCTTTAGTTTCCTAGTTTCCTTCCCTAAAGTAACCACCTTTACCACTTTATAGATATTCTATGCATATGAAATTGTGTGTGTGTAGAACAAAAAAAAAGTATTATATACAATATTCTTTACTCTTTTAACATTGCATATTGGATATTGCCCCAAATCAATACATATAGAGTAGCTTTATTCTTTATGAAGGTTGCATAGTTTCTCATGCCATGCCTGTACATAATTTATTTATTTTTATTTTTTTATTTAACCAGTTCTCTAATATTAATATTTCTGCTGCCTTCAATCTTTTTGCTACTCCAAGCAATGCTATGATGAATATACTTTTAAGTTTGTCATTTAAGGTGTGCTGAGTATATAAGTAGGTAAACTCCTGTAGTAGAATTGCAAGATCAATGGGTATGTGCATTTGTAATTATGATAGATATTGTTAGATAGCCTCTTACAGAGTTTACACCAAATTGTATCCCCAAAGGCAGCGTATAAGATGCTATTTTCTTACACTCTTTCAATACAGTATGCTATCAAATTTCTTTTTTCTTTGCCAAATTGACAAGGGAAAATGGCACCTCAGTATAGTTTTAATTTTTAATTTTTATTATGTATAAAGTAAATACCTTTGCTTATGTTCAGACCCATCTGTATTTACTTTAATGCAAACTATTTTATACTGTGTTCATTTTTTATTGGATTATTGGTCTTTTTCTTACATATTTATTTGTATATGCTGAGGAACATACCCTTTGTTCTATGTCATGAGGTGCAAACAAATATATTTTCCTGGTTTGTCATGTCTAATTTGTCTTTGCTTAAGGTATTTTAATGCCATGACAATTTTATTGTAATTATATGTGGCCAAATTAATCAACTTTTTCTTTTATGATTTCTTAGTTTTGGATTAACCTTAGAAAAGTCTTCCCAATACACACACATACGAACACACACATACCCACACACCTATGTGTATACATATATAGTATTTTCCTAGTATACTTATATTTTAAGTTTTCTTTGTACATCTTGGAAAAATCTGGAATTTTGTTGTAAGTAATGAGGTAAGGATCCAAAATTAATTTTATTTTCCAGATAGCTATCCAGTTGTCCCAATACCATTTATTATTAGTTTGGTGCAAGAGTAATTGCCATTACATTGCTTACCCTCTGACTTTCTATCCCATTCTTGCCATATATTAACATCTGATACATATTTGGATCTACTTACAGACTGTCTTGTTTATTCCATTTATCTGCCTGTCAATTCATGCAAAAATTAATGTAATTATTATTATATTAATGTAATTACAGTAGTGCTATATTTTAACATTTGGGTGGGTAATTAACTTGCTACTCCTCTTTTTCAAGAATTTTCTTGATGTTTTAAAATTTTCTGTATGAATCAACACTTCCAGTTCCAAAAACAAATGCATAGATAAACAATAAATACTCTTACTGTATTTATTGGTACAGTAAGAGAATTAAGCTTATTACTTAAATTAGGAAGAACTGACATGTTTATAATATTGAATCTCTGTATTTAAGAAAATGTATGTTTTTCCATTCATTTGTGTAGATTTCATACACTTCTTGTTACATTTATTTCTAGAAATTAATTTTTGTTGCTATTGTAAATGTGATGATTTTTTTCATTATATCTTCTAATCGGTTATTGTCTGTACCTAAGAAAGCTGTTGATTACTCTTTATTATTGTATTCAAGTAGTTATGAATTCCCCTACTGTTTGCTATAATTTTTTAGTTTATTCTTTTGTGTATTCCATGTAAGCAAGTATAACATTTGCAAAAACAATTTTACTTTCTTTTTTCAAACATATATATAACTCATTTCTTTTTTCTAATTGCATTGGCAAGTATAGTCAGGACTATGTTAATAAAATAGTAGAGATAGTAGACACTCTGGCTTCTTCTTGACATTAATGGAACAACATAAACCCATTTTAAGCTAATAGTCACCATCTAAAAGCTAGCATCATATTTAATGTGTTCCCAGTGTGTTTTAATTAAACATAATGCTGGCTTTTAAAAAGTGACTATTAGTTTAAAATGTGTCCATAAAGTCTTTAATTGATTGAGGTTTTTTCAGTGCTTGTTATATTATGATTTATATTATATTATACATATGATTATATTATTTCTCTTATTTGTTCTTCTCATAGGTGAATTATATCAACAGAGTTACTAATGTTGAATCAATTTCCCCATTCCTGGAATAAGCCAATACTATTATCCTCACCAATGCTCAGTCATTGTCTCGGGGCGCAAAGCAGGGGAAGAAAGTGTGGTTTTTTCATGAACACCAAGTGGATCTAAAAGGGTGGCATCCAGAGGCTGTCATCAACTACGCTCCTCATAGCAGCTTCTCTTAAAGGAAATTTGAGCGGCACATTTCTGCAGCCAACACATGAGTCAATAAAGCACTGGAAGTCAAAAAACCTGAGCTTCAGAACAATGACTTCCAACCAGCGGTCCATGTGATCTTGGACCAGTAATACACTCTTTGAGATTCACATTATTTCTTGCTGGATAATATAACAGAGTAGTGCACTAGTGTTTTTCAAGGTATTTATTCTAATACTAGCTCCAAGAATAGTGTTTAGCACATAACAATCACTCGATAAATATTTGTCTGAAGAAAAGAAATGAATGAATAAATGAAAGAGACATTAGGAAAGAGAAGATGAAGCCCTTTAAAAGCATATGTATAAAAGGAGCTTCAAAATATGGATTCTATCTATATCTTGTTACCATTCTCTTCCTATCACATTCCATTCCTCAGATACTGAATTTACAGAGCATAGCAGCTGCTTGAACACGTAATGGCTTTTATAACTCCACATCTTTGTGCATGCCGGTCTCTTGCCCTGGAACGCCTTTTGATCCTCTGTGACTGACAAAAACTGTCAGAATCCAGCTTCAATGTCCCTTCTTCTCTGAAGACTTTCTTGACATCTCCAAGTTAGGAATCATTTCTCTCTCCTTTGTGTCCTCACAGTATTTTTTTGGTATATCTGCTATAGCATTTACTTACTCCATAGTGATTCGTCTGTATATCTTCCTCCTCCCACTAGATGATGGAACACATTAAGAGACCCTTAACTAATGAGCTACAATTAAATGTAGGCATGGAAGGATATTGATTTCTCTCATTTATTCTCAGCTCCTGGGGTAGGCAGACAGTGAATCAGATGCCTCTGACCACAAGCACATTCATCCATTTATCCCATTGTGCAAAAACACATCTGCTAAGCATACCATGATTTGAAAAAGATAGGGAAGAACTGCCTTAACATAACAATCCATGTTCAACGTCTTTGTACACTGGGCACCTTGGATGGAGCCTGGTGCATAAATATTAGCAATACATGAACTCACATCTTTTGCATACTGAATGAGTAAAGAAATCGTTCTTAGTTTCAAATTGTTATTGAGACTTGGCATTCACTGTTACATAATTATTTTATTAATATCTGTCTTTTGGCTAGACTAAAATCCATTGGAGATGGAGTCATGTTTATTTTTTGCTTATCATTGTATCCCTAGCACAATGTTTGGCTGGGGCTGGAATATGGTAGATATTTAATAAGTACTTGTTGGATAAAGAAAAAACAAACAAATTATAAGACTGCCCCAGGTGGCTTAAATTAAAATCTTTTTAGAATCTTTGTACCTCAGGTTGGCCTGTCAGGCCTGCCATGTCCTCAACAGTTCCTGGGGATCCCTATACTATGTTCCAGCTCATCCATGCAGAGTGCTTTCTACCTGCCTGGCTTTCATAATAGCTGCTTATTTCCTGATTACCATTACCTTGCATGTTCTGCATCTGTCCAGCCATCAGAGAAAGGGCAAGTATAAACAGACTAACTTTGGTACTAGTCACTGGCAGTCTCCTTCCAGAGGCATAGTTAAGTACTTATATTGCCCTCAGAACATGTCTGTCTATGGGCTCATCACACGGTACTGTAATTGTCTGTTAACCTTATCTTTGTTGCTGCAATGCTGGGCCACATGGCTAGCATCTCATAACTGCTTATCCAGTGTTTGTTGATCACTCACTATATTGGAAATTATTAATCAACCAACCAATTATCACATCAAATAAATATTAAATGATCTGGTGTTCTCTGCAGTCAATATTGAGTCCAGCAATGGGCTTGGTGTTGAATGGATGCCAATAAAGGACAAAATACTTCTCTGCAGAGTTCACAGAAAAGAAAATTTTTTAAAAAAGGACAAAAGTGTTCCAGGGAAGGTTAAAACAGCATTGGGACAATGGAAAGGGTAAAAGCATGTGTTTCAAAGCTGAACTTTCTGAGCTTGAATCTCATGTTTTCTACTTAGTAAAGGGATGCTCTTGGGTAAGGATATCTGGGATATCAATCTTGTCACTTACAAAAGAGAGATGATAAACACAAACTACCACTTGGGTTGTTTCAAGGATTAAGCAAACACATGCATTTAAAGTGTTTGGAAGAGACTAGGCATGGTGGCTCACACCTGTAATTGCAGCACTTTGGGAGGCTGAGGCAGGCAGATCACATGAGGCCAGGAGTTTGAGACCAGCCTGGCCAACATGGCAAAACACCATCTCTACTAAAAATACAAAGATTAGGCTGGATGAGGTGGTGCACACCTGTGGTCCCAGTTACTCAAGAGGCTAAGGAGTGAGTCTTAGCTCCTCAGCTAAGGAACTAAGCGAGGTGGCAGCGAGTCAAGATTGCATCACTGCACTCCAGCCTGGGTGACAGAGCAAGACTCTGTCTCAAAAAATATATAAAATTTTTTTAGAAAGTGTTTGGGCTAAAAGAAGCTATTTATTTGAGACTCAACAACCAGCCCAACCATATGCTTCCATTTTGAAACAATTGGAGATGGCCTAATAGGAAGAGCTCCAGTCTGCAGCTCCCAGCGTGATCAACGCAGAAGATGGTGATGTCTGCATTTCCAACTGAGGTACCTGGTTCATCTCAATGGGACTGGTTGGACAGTGGGTGCAGCCCATGGAGGGTGAGCTGAAGCAGGGCAGGACATCACCTCACCCAGGAAGGGCAAGGGTTCGGGGGATTGCCCTTTCCTAGCCAAAGGAAGCTGTGACAGACTGCACCTGGAAAATCAGGACACTCCCGCCCAAATACTGCGCTTTTCCAACAGTCTTAGCAAATGGCACACCAGGAGATTATATCCCACGCCTGGCTCAGCAGGTCCCACGCCCATGGAGGCTTGCTCACTGCTAGTGCAGCAGTCTGAGATCAACCTGCGAGATGGCAGCCTGGCAGGGGGAGGGGTGTCTGCCATTGCTGAGGCTTGAGTAGGTAAACAAAACAGCTGGTGAAGCTTGAACTGGGTGGAGCCCACCACAGCTCTGCAAGGTCTGCTGCCTCTGTAGACCCCACCTCTCAGGGCAGGGCATAGCTAAACAAAAGGCAGCAGAAACTTCTGCAGACTTAAACCTTCCTGTCTGACATCTCTGAAGAGAGCAGTGGTTCTCCCAGCATGGCGTTTGAGCTCTGGGAACAGACAGACTGCCTCCTCAAGTGGGTCCCTGACCCCCATGTAGCCTAATTGGGAAACATCTCCCAGTAGGGGCCAACTGACACCTCATACAAGCAGGTGCCCCTCTGAGACAAAGCTTCCAGAGGAAGGATCAGGCAGCAATATATGCTGTTCTGCAGCATCTGCTGGTGATACCCAGGCAAACAGGGGTCTGGAATGGACCTCCAACAAACTCCAACAGACCTGCATTTGAGGGACCTGACTCTCAGAAGGAGAACTAACAAACAGAAAGGAATAGAATCAACATCAACAAAAAGGACATCCACACCAAAACTCCACCTGTAGGTCACCAGCATCAAAGACCAAAGATAAATAAAACCACAAAGATGGGGAGAAACCAGAGCAGAAAAGCTGAAAATTCTAAAAACCAGAGCACCTCTTCTCCTCCAAAGGATTGCATCTCCTTGCCAGCAATGGAACAAAGCTGGATGGAGAATGACTTTGATGAGTTCACAGAAGTAGGCTTCAGAAAGTCGGTAATAACAAACTTCTCCGAGCTAAAGGAGGATGTTCGAACCCATCGCAAGGAAGCTAAAAACCTTGAAAAAAGATTAGACGAATGGCTAACTAGAATAAACAGTGTAGAGAAGACTTTAAATGACCTGATGGAGCTGAAAACCATGGCACGAGAACTATGTGACACATGCACAAAATTCAATAGCCAATTTGATCAAGTGGAAGAAAGGGTATCAGTGATTGAAGATCAAATGAATGAAATAAAACGAGGAGACAAGTTTAGAGAAAAAAGTGTAAAAAGAAATGAACAAAGCCTCCAAGAAATATGGGACTACATGAAAAGACCAAATCTACATTTGATTGGTATACCTGAAAGTGATGGGGAGAATGGAACCAAGCTGGAAAACACTCTGCAGGATATTATCCAGGAGAACTTCCCCAACCTAGCAAGGCAGGCCAACATTCAGATTCAGGAAATACAGAGAACGCCACAAAGATACTCCTCGAGAAAAGCAACCCCAAGACATATAATTGTCAGATTCATCAAGGTTGAAATGAAGGAAAAAATGTTAAGGGCAGCCAGAGAGAAAGGTTGGGTTACCCACAAAGGGAAGCCCATCAGACCAACAGCGGATCTCTCAGCAGAAACTCTACAAGCCAGAAGAGAGCGGGGGCCAATATCCAACATTCTTAAAGAAAAGAATTTTCAACCCAGAATTTCATATCCAGCCAAACTAAGCTTCATAAGTGAAGGAGAAATAAAATCCTATAAAGACACATGCACACGTATGTTTATTGCGGCACTATTCACAATAGCAAAAACTTGGAATCAACCCAAATGTCCATCAATGATAGACTAGATAAAGAATATGTGGCACATATACACCATGGAATACGCGCAGCCATAAAAAAAGGATGAGTTCATGTCCTTTGCAGGGACATGGATGAAGCTGGAAACCACCATTCTGAACAAACTATCACAAGGATGGAAAATCAAACACCACATGTTCTCACTCATAGGTGGGAATTGAACAATGAGAACACTTGGACACAGGGCAGGGAACATCACACATGGGGGCCTGTCATGGGGTGGGGGGCAAGGGGAGGGATAGCATTAGGAGAAATACCTAATGTAAATGACGAGTTAATGGGTGCAGCAAACCAACATGGCACATGTATACATATGTAACAAACCTGCACGTTGTGCACATGTACCCTAGAACTTAAAGTATAATAATAATAAATAAATAAATAAATAAATAATAAAGTTGATTTCTAGTTTAAAAAAAAGTGTTTGGAAGAGCCTCTGGTACACGGTCAGTGCTCAGTAAATACTAACCATGATTATTATTGTTATTATTAGAAATTATTTCAAGGAGGAGCCCCAGACCCTGAAGAGTAGTAATAACTGCCATTTATTGAGCACTTACTACATGCCAGGGAGTCTGCTAAAGGTTCCATATGTGTTTATGGAACCAAGCCAAGACCTCATTTAGGCCTTGCCACAGATCCCGTGAGCCTACATACCATTAAACACACTCTACAGATGAGCAACTGAGGATTCAGAGAGTTCAAAGTATGTTGCTCAAAGTGGTAACAATTAAGTGCCCAAACTCTCTTCTCATCTGGTCCTCCCTCCTGATCCTGCTTCCTTTGTCTACAGAAAAAAAGCAATTTTAACCCCAGAGAAATTGAAAGAATCTGGTTTTTGAGGACTGGACTGTTTTTAAGGACTTGGGGGAGGTGGTATTAAGGGGTTAGAGGACAGATTTTATAAACTTCTGGTTATAACTTTCTGGTTAGAGATTTTGCAACATTTAAAATGTGGCATGATGACCAGTGATGAGCATTTTTTCATGGCTTCCAATCCTGCACCTTCCACCTAATAAATCTAAACAAAATTACAAACTTCCAGGTCCTCATCTTTTTTTTTTTTTTTTTTTTTTTTGAGATGGCGTCTCACTCTGTCACCCAGGCTGAAATGCAGTGGCACAATCTTGGCTCGCTGCAACCTCCGCCTCCTGGGCTCAAGTAATCCTCCCACCTCAGCCTCCTGAGTAGCTGGGAACACAGGCACATGCCACCACGCCTGGCTAATTTTTTGTATTTTTGGTAGTGATGGGGTTTCATCATGTTGCCCATGCTGGTCTTGAGCTCCTGAGTTCAAGCAATCCACCTACTTCCAAAGTGCTGGGATTACAGGCATGAGCCACTGCACTCAACTTTTAAATGTTTGTTTCGTCTCTAAGGAATAAATGAGATCATTGTAATGTACGTAAAACAATTGACACAGAATAGTCACTTGATAAATATAACTATTAATTTTAGAGCATAACTCATATGTTTTATAATGACCTAAATTTTACCTGCAAAACTACTCTCAGAAATTATGTTAATCTTTAAAAACTCATGATAGCCACCAAAAATGTTTTTCATAAATATTTTGATCTTAGAACTCTTAGAAAGAAAATCACATAACTACATTGCTTTTCAATACTTACACTTATATTCTAATTGTAGTTTTGATCCTACACTGAAAAAAAATAAAAATTTTAAAAAATGAATTTATCTCTTATGGTCAAGCCCACAGAAATGATCCTTTTAAAGTGAATACTAACCAAAAGCTCATAGACCAATGAAACATTTTAGAGACCCCTGAAATAAAGCTGCACACCTACACCAGCTCATCTTCAACAAAGTTGACAAAAATGAACAATGAGGAAAGTACACTTTATTCAATAAATGTTGTTGGGAAAACTGGCTAACCATATGCAGAAGAATGAAATTGGACCCCTACCTATTACCATATACAAAAATTAACTCAAGATGCATTAAAGACTTAAATGTAAGACCTCAAACTACAAAAGTTCTAGAGGAAAATCTAGGAAATATTCTTCTAGACACTGGCCTAGGCAAAAAATTTATGATGAGGACCCCAAAAGCAAATGCATCAAAATCAAAAATAGACAAATGGGACTTAATTAAACTAAAGAGCTTCTACATAGCAAAAAGAAATGATCAACAGAACAAACAGACAATCTAGGGAATGGGAGAAAATATTTGCAAACTATGCATCCAAATATGATCTAACATTCAGAATCTATAAGGAACTTAAATGAATCAACAAGAAAAAAGCAAACAACCCCATTAAAACATGGGCAAAGGACATAAACAGACATTTCTCAAAAAAAGACAACTAGCAGCCAACAAACATGAAAATATGTTCATCATCACTAATAATAGAGAGATGCAAATTAAAAGCACAATGACATACCGTCTTACACCAGTCAGAAGGGCTATTATTAAAAAGTCATCCCAATGTACAGAGAAAAAAAAAGTCCAAAAACAACAGATGTTGACAAGGTTGTGCAGAAAAGGGAATGCTTAGTGGGAATGTAAATTAGTTCAGCCACTCTGGAAAGCAGTCTGGAGATTTCTCAAAGAACTAAAAATAGAACTACCATTTCCACTCAGCAATTCCATTACGGGGTATATACCAAAGGAAGATAAATCATTCTACCCAAAAGACAAATGCTATCATATGTTCATTGCAGCACTATTTGCAATAGCAAAGACGTGGAACTAACCTAGGATTGGATTTTAAAAATGTGGTACATATACACCATGGACTACTATACAGCCATAAAAAAATTGAATAATGTCCTTTGCAGCAACATGGATGCAGCTGGAGGCCATTATCCTAAGCGAACTAATGCAGAAACAGAAAACCAAATATCACATGTTCTTACTTACAAGTGGGAGCTAAATCTTGGGTTCACACAGACATAAAGATAGGAACAATAAACAATGAAGACTCCAAAAGGAGGAGGCAGGTGGGCTGAAAAACTTCCTTTTGGGTTCTATGTTCACTATCTGGGTGATGGAATCAGTAAAAGACCAAACCTCAGCACCGCACAATATACCCTGTAACAAACCTGCACATATACCCCCTGAATTTAAATTTAAAATGACAATTAAAAAATCAAATAATAAAGTAAATATTAAACAAAAGTACTCCCTTTTCAACTTCTAAGATACACATAATAATTGAAAATACAAGAACCTGGCTGGGCGCTGTGGCTCATCCCTGTAATCCCAGCACTATGGGAGGCCGAGGCAGGCAGATAACCTGAGGTCAGGAGTTTGAGACCAGACTGGCCAACATGGTGAAACCCTAACTCCACTAAAAATACAAAAATTAGCTGGGCATGGTGGTGGGCGCCTTTAATCCCAGCTACTAAGGAGGCTGAGGCAGGAGAATCGCTTGAACCTGGGAGGCAGAGGTCACAGTGAGCCAAGATCACGCCACTGCACTCCAGCCTGGGTGACAAAGTGAAACTCCATCTGAAAAAAAGAAAAAAGAAAATATGAGAACCTAAGATACAAATATCCAATCATTATATTAACATGAACTTTTTAAACAACTTTTTCTCTTGCTCACTTCGGCAGCACATACACTAAAATTGAAACTGATGCAGGATTTTTCTTGACCCCTTCCCTAGACTCACGGCAGGGACATTCCCCTCTATTTGGCCCACCACGCTCAGCCCCTTGCAGAAGGGAGCACGTAAGCGAGTGAGTGCAGGATCTGGCCGGCTGCTCTGCGTGCTGACACAGGAGCAAGCTCCGTGTGGAACCCGCGGCCAGACTAAGCGTGTTGCCTCAAGGGGAATGCAGGCACCCAGGTGAAGGTGCTTTCAACCCTGAAGTCCCAGAGGAGGTGTTACAGCACTCTTTTAGTTCCACCATCCACAGTCCAACAACAGCTGTGTCCTAGCAGCTCATTTGGCCACTTGCCTCACTGAGGAGGATGGCTGCCCTCTGCTGGCGAGGGCAAAGGGCCAGTATGACAGCCTTTCTGGGTGCCCATACTCGGTGGGTCCCAAGTTCTTGTCCAGAGTCCAAGAAGCATGAGGTCACATGGATTGTTAAAGGATGGTGAAGGCAGAGAATTTTACTGAGCAATGAAAACAACTCTCAGCAGAGAGGGGAGCCGGATAGGGGATGAAAACGGCGGGTCGTGGTTCCCAAAGTTAGATTGTCTCTTCTCTGAAGTTAGGCTGTCTTCTCCTCTACCAACTGAGTCTGGGGTCTTTATAGGCAGAGGATGGGAAGTGCATGCTGATTGGTTTGTGAGTATGCAAAAAAGGTTAAAGCAAAGACACCACTCAAAGATGGGCATGACAGTGTAGAAAACCAATTAGGAAAGGGTAGATATACGTTAAATAGGTGAAGGGTGGGGATCAATCAGAGGAAAGCATGCCAAACAGGAAGACAAGTTCTCAATCCAGTCTGAGGATTTAACTTGTAGCTTGGCTTTCAGGCTTTAAACCGTCTTCAGCTTGGAGGTGGGGTTTCACTGGGGACCCTCCCCTTTCTGCCTAGGCATTTGGCTGCCTTCTGTCACTCTCAGAACAATACAGAGATTATCATGGCCCCTACACAAGGATGACATGGAGATTCATGAAACATTCCATTTAAAAAAACAGTAAAAATAAATAAAACAAAAAAATTTTTAATTGACAATACTTATACATAATGATATGATGTATAGTGATCAGATCAGGGTAATTAGCATATCCCTCATCTCAAACATTTATCATTTCCTTAAAACATCAATACATGTCTGACTGGCTATAGTAGTCAATTTGGATAGATGGAGGTTCTATTTCAGTGGATGAAATACACAGGCTTTTAGAAAATTCTGAGTAGGTGGAAAGGTTTTTTTTTCTATAATCTGAGTGGAGATTTCTTTTGATCTGAGAGGACAGCAAAGATCAGGTTAAAAGTTTGCATGAGAATATATATCAATTATTTAAAAAGCAAAGATTGTAGTTGATAAGATGGTTTCTAGAGAGAAATGCATTTCTCTGTAGAGAAGATTGTACAGCCTTATAATTGTTTCCATTCACATGGAACAACTCCAGCTGCTTTCAAAAATCAACAAATGATAAGCAGAAGGAAGATGGAAAGAAAACAACAGAATTTTTGCTATGTCCAACTGATAAACACTGGATTGCCTATAAACTATGTTGAGCATAATTAAGCACAGAATTAACATCATTTGTAATGCAATGAAAAAAGGCAGCTGAGACAAATGCGAAAGATCGCCGATACATTGCTTTGATGATCTAAATCAACACTGCCAAGTTTTATATTTACAAAAAAATATGAACAAAGGGTCAAACAATTAATTTTCCTTCTGGATGCATGTGCATAAGCTATGGCTAAAGGTTCGAAGAAATTTTCATCCCATTATTCATCGTTTGTTAAATCTTAACTTCTTCCATGAACCATGCCCATCAGTGTATCTAATTACCTAGAATGAATCAAAAAAACAGTTCTAACCTTGTATTTCTTAGCTACAGCATCATGGGCAAGAGATAAATGTTTTTACTAAAACTTTCAGGCCCCTATTTATGATAGAAGTCAAAAAAGAACACATTGTTTGATGTTTCCAATGTTTTAAGTATGGTGCAATCACTTGAAATATGTCATTCATTCACTCAACAAACATTTACTAAGACTATATTTTGATAGGCAGGTTCCCTATTAAGTGTTAGAGATATGTGTTATAAATTTCTCACAGTCTAGTAGGAGTGACAGGCATATACAGATGCAATTTTAATACAATAAGAAATGCAGTGATAGCACAGAATTCTGATGTGGAGTGGGAAGTAGGTGGGGAGTGGTGGCAATTTGCACAGACAAAAGACATTTTACTTTACCTTGTGGGAGAAAGGAGTCAAGAATACTTTCTTAGAGGAGATGATGACTACATTGAGATCTCAAGGAGGAACAGGATGGATTTTCATAAAAATCTTCATTAGTAGGTAGCATAATTTTCTCCATTTTATAGGTGAGGAAATGGACATACTCTGACTCAGAGCTGCTGAGTGGCAGAACCAATATTTTGAACCCAAGCCTACCTGATCCCGGTGTCATACATTTCCCAATGTACTGTATTTTATCCACTGGTAGGAGAAAAGTTGAAAGTGGAAGAAAATACTCTATATTTAGCTCCAAGTCATAAAATCTTTTTACCATTACTGATCTGACCTAGCAATTCCAGCACAACATTCCCTTCTTACAATTTTTCCCATGTTCAGCTAAGAAAATATAATTGCTGGCTTGTATTTCTACCATATACTCTTAGAAATTCTCAGGAAAAGCCAAGACATTATAGTTACTTTGGAGAGGAATAGGTATGAAAACCTAAAACTGTCACTAAGAACAGAGGACATTCTATTAAAATCTTTGTAATAAGTGGCCAGGTGCTGTGGCTCACCCCTGTAATCCCAGCACTTTGGGAAGCCAAGATGGGAGGATTGCTTGAAGCCAGAAGTTCAAGACCAGCCTGAGCAACATGGTGAAACCCCATCTCTATAAAAAATACAAAAATTAGCCAGGCTTGGTGGTGCACCCCTGTGGGCCCAGCTACTGAGGAGGCTGAAGTGGGAGAATCACCTGAGCCCAGGAAGTCAAGGCTGCAGTGAGCCATGGTCATGCCACGGCACTCCAGCCTGGGTGACTGAGTGAAACCCTGTCTCCAAAAAAAAAAAAAGTTGTAATAAGTGTCTGGAAAAATTTTTAATGAGAGGGAGGTGCGGCAGCCTGAAGATCTTCTGGAATAAGGAATTTATTTACCTCTTTACTATAGTGCAGAAAAGGAGTTTCTTGATCACTTGCCTACCTTTATGAAAGAATTAGGGCACAGTTTTATTTTTGACCTACTATATTACCAAATTGAAAAAGACTAAATAAGAAATTTAGAAAATTAGGAGCTATCCTGATTACCAATTGCCAGCAGTTCATGCTACTTCAGATTTAGCAATCCATGAAAGAAAACTAAGAGATTTCATTGACATTACCATTACCATTGATGCATATCCCTATATGAGATTGGGAATAATTTACAGATAAGTTCATTTAGCAGATATTTATTGGTGACCTACTATGTGCCCAGCCATGTTCTGCCCACTAAGAATTTAATGTTGAGCAAATCGTAGTACCTGCCCTTAGGAAACAATCAAGCAATTAGAATATAAATGCATAGAGCCCAGCCCACTCATTTTACCCATGTGGAAATAGATGTTAAGAACATTAGTTTGTCTAACTCTGTTCATTCATTGTTGGTGAAAGGAAAATTGATACATCCTTTTTTGGAAGACAATTTGGAAATACATCTTAAAGTTGAAAATGTTCTTAGTTTTTGACACAGCTATCCTAAACAGGAATTTATTTTTCAGATGTACATGCAGAAGATCCAAAGATATGTGTCTGGTAATATTCTTGCAGCATATTCATATTATGGACATACTGGGAACAATCTAAAAATCTATCAACAAATGATTGACTGAATGACATATTGTACAGGAATTTACAAGATGAAGTCAATTTGACATAATGTAAACATGGGAAGACATTCAAGACCAATTGATATATGGAACAAAAGGTGTAAAACAGCTTGGATAATATGGTTCTTTCTTAGTCTAAAAAAGAGAAAAACACTACAAATACATGTTTAGAAAAATAAATACTGTGGAAATTAATACCAAATTATAAGCAATGGTTAATAAAATAGCTACAGATAATTTTCATTTTTATGTAGTATATCTCTATAATATTGTATTGGACTTTTTTCTTTTAAATGAGGTCTTGGTATATTGCCCGAGCTAGTCTTGAACTCCTGGGCTCAAGCAATCCTCTTGCCTCAGCCTCCTGAGTAGCCGGGATTACAGAAGAGTGCCACCATGACTAGCTATTTTTTCATTCTTTAAAAAAGGAGAATGTTCAACTAAGTTGATGTGATCTATAAACACTTTTTCTCTTAAAAAAAGATTAGACTTTTTAACTTTCTAGGCTTTTATAGCTATGAAAGTACTTTGAAACTACAAAGCCTTAGGCAAATTATGGGATTATTTCTTTGTACTAATTATCAATAATACATATATTGGAGCACTCTGGAAAAGAATATGCTTATGCAGAAAAGATTTTTAACTCTTAAAAATAACATTAAAAATTAGAATAATAGCATTGTTTTATAGTTTCTTATAAGCATTCTTTAACTTTAGTTCAGGTCTCCTGAGTCCTAATCCAGTTCTCTTTTCATTCACTTTCTTGCCATATGGGTTATCTGTTAAAAGCTTTTGCCTGAAGGCAAAAATTCTTCTAAGCAACCACTAATTCTCATTACAGAAAATGCACATTTCAGAGTGTTTCTATGAATGGAAAAGAAAGCTGATGATAATGCTAATAAGCACTTGTAGAAATATACTGTGGAAACTAAACTTTATACCACAAGAATGTAAAACTAACCAGTGACTTGACCTGTCCATGTGGAGACCTCACAAATTACCTAGAAATAACAGTAACCAATGCACTTGGGAGCCATTTTTGCAGAAAGTAATCATAATCTTATAAAATAAAATATTTATATTTAGATGCAAGAAGGCAAAATATGGAAGTGCTCCTCTCCATCAAACATAAAACGCTATCAAACTGAGATCAGAAACTCCATGTGTAAGAATGAGGCACATGATGGGAGAACTGAAGTTTCTACAAGCCTGGACAAACTGCAGCCAGGCTCCAGGCTCCCTTGAAAGAGAGAAGTTGGCTGGAATTGCAAAATGAAGTGTCAAACCACCTAACAGATACTTTAATGCATGCTAAGTGCTTTATTTGCAAATTCATAGGATTCACAAACCAGAAGTTGAAGAATGCAATATTTAAGAAAATGTAACACTTACCAGTCTTCAGATTTGGCCACCTTTGTGTGCCACTGTGAAAAATAAAGATATCAGTTCATTCAACTCAAACAAGATTTGAATTGCCCAAATGGGTGGTTGAGTATGTAAAAGGATGTAAAAATGGAAATCTCTTCTGAGGACGAAGCCAAGAGCCATCAGACAGCAGAGACAGCTGTGAAACAGGCCATCTCTACAACTCAGAATAAGGTCTGTGCAGATATTTCTATACCTCTCACTTACATAAAAGGCATAAACCGGTACTCTCATTTCAAGCCTAGTGAGAGGGCTCATAGGAACCACTTGGAGAACATATGTGTCCCTACAGTATGGGGGGCCCTAGGGAATAATGCTGTCACCCAAGAAATCTGAGGGGTGAGAGAGGCACTGTCTAGAGGAGAAGCCAAAGGAGGGAATATGACATTGGATAGCCTAAAATCTCAGAATTTCCAGAGCAAAGGGTCCATGGGTGTTCCCTATGGACTTGATGTCGGTTGTGGGTACAAAAGCCAGTGTGGGATTATCTTAGAATCTGTTAGTGAGGTCTCTCATGGGGCTAACAGACCTCAGCAAAGAGATACTAAGGGCTTCACCAGATTCCATGTTGCTGGAGGAAGGAGGAATCCACCATCAAAGCACAGATGTATTTCCCTATTTTAAGGACTGCAGTTGAGAGAGCTTCAGTGACAGGGACTCTAAAGTACCCAAACAGAGTCAGCTGTATAATTAGACATTTGAATGTTTGCTGGAGGTTTTATCATATTAAGAAATGATTAATGTCTAAGTTTGATAAAGGTATTGCGGTTTTTAGGTAGATAGATGGTAGATAGATGGATAGTTAAACATTAAATATTGAAAAGGAATTCTTAAATTTTAGAGTTTTGCTGACCTATTTATAAATGAAATAGAAATGATATATATGAGATTTACTTCAAAAAAAAATATGGGGGGTGAATGCAATGGCTCATGCCTGTAATCCCAGCCCTTTAGGAGGCCAAGGAGAGCAGATCACTACTAAAATACAAAAATTAGTTGGGCATGGTGGCAGTCACCTGTAATTTCAGCTATTCAGGAGGCTGAGGCAGGAGAATCTCTTGAATCCAGGAGGCGGAGTTTGCAGTGAGCTGAGATAGCACCATTGCACTCCAGCTTGGGTGACACAGCAAGACTCCCTCTCAAAACAATAAAATAAAATAAAATAAAATAATATGAGGCTGGAGCGTAGGGCAAAGCTTCACAACACTGGATTTGGCAGTTTCTTTTCTTGCACAGGCAACAAAAGAAAAAATAGACAAACTGCACCTCATGAAATTTTTTTAAATTTGTGCATCAGAAGATACTACCAACAGAATAAATAGACAACCCATAGGATGACAGAAAATATTTGCAACTCAGGTGCCTGATAAGGTACTGATATCCAGAATATACAGAGAACACCTAAAATTCAACAACAATGAAACAACCAATCTAATTCAAAAATAGACAAAGGACTTGAATAGGCATTTTTCCAAAGACATACAAATGCCTATCAATGTGCCCAGTGAAGCTGGGCACAGTGGCTCATGCCTGTAATCCCAGCACTTTGGGAGGCCGAGATGGGTGGATCACTTGAGGTCAGGAGTTCAAGACCAGCCTGGCCAACATAGTGAAACCCCATCTCTACTAAAAATACAAAAATTAGATGGGCGTTTTGGTGGGTGCCTGTGGTCCCAACTACTCAGGAGGCTGAGGTGGGAGAATCGATTAAACCCGAGAGATGGAGGTTGCAGTGAGCAGAGATCACACCACTGCCCTCCAGCCTGGTGGCAACAGACTGAGTGAGACTCTGTCTAAAAATATAAAAATAAAAAATTTTTAGAAAGCCAATGAGCACATTAAAAGATGCTTAGCATCACTAATCGTTAGATAAATACAACTCAAAACTACAATAAAATGCCACTTCATGTTCATTATGTTGACTACTTTCCAAAAGCAAAAAGTAGAAAATAAATGTTGGCTGGATGTGGAAAAAATGGAATACCTGTACACAGTTGGTGGTAATACTGATACGGACAAGAGGCAGGGAAATACCAGGTAGAAAAGGATGGGATCCCTGGTGAGGGCTCTACCCTCAAGCCTGGACCCTTGGCCCAAAGTGAGAACGTGCATTCCTGTTTTCCCAAATGAATGTTGCCTTTTCCAAAACCACCTTGGCCTGCCCCACCCCGCATCCTGTACCCATAAAAACCCCACGCCCCACCGGTGGAGTGGCAGAGCAACATGGCAGGGAAGTAGAGAAGAGAAGAAGCAGCTTGACATTGGTGAGAAGCAGCTTGATGGTGGGCCTCAGAGAAAAGTTTGGCGGCAGAGAGCTGAACTCCAGGGGAAGACCACCTTCCTGCTCCATCCACTTTCCAGCTCCCCATCCTGCTGAGAGCCACTTCCACTGCTCAGTAAAATTCTCTGCATTTATCATCTTCAATTTGTTCATGCGATCTGATTCCTCCTAGATAACAGACAAGGACCTGGGTGCAGGTGCAAGAGGCTATCATACTGACTCTCTACCCTCCACTGAGTTGTCTAACATTCAAAGCCATCCATGGATGGCAAAACTAAGAAAGCACGCTGTAACTCATGCTCTCTGGGGCTCCAGGAGTCATGGGCAACCCCTAGATGCTGCCTCGGGCCCGCACAGAGTTCTGCTCCAGCAGGTTGCCCAGAGTGCTTGTCCTGGCCTCTGCGCTCACTCTTCTGCATGCTCCCCTTCCCACAAGGGCTTGAGAGCTGTGGGCTGAGTAAACGAGCCAACCCTTTCATGAGTCCCATGAAAGGGTCAAGCGACCTATCCCATTTCAATATAAAATGGTACAGCAACTGTGGAAAACATGGTGGTTCTTGAAAAGATTAAAAATAAAATTACCATATGATGTGGCAATTCCACGTCTGGGTATATACGCAAAAGAATTGAAAGCAAGGTTTCACAGGAGTATTTGTATACCCATGTTCATAGTAGCATTATTCAAAATATCTAAAATAATGGAACAACCAAAGTGAATACTGTGAGATGAATTGATAAGCAAAATGTGGTATGTACATACAGTGGAGTATTATTCAGCCTTAAAAAGGAGGAAATTTTGACATGTGTTATAACATAAATTAACCTGGACAACATTACACTAAATGAAATAAGCCAGTCACAAAAAGACAAATACTGTATAATTGCACTTACATTAGGTAGTTAGAGACAGAAAGTAGAATAGTGCTTGCCTTGGGCTTTAAAAGAATATAGGGATGAGTTTGGGGAGATTGAAAAAAACAAAACTGGCCATTAATTGATAATGCTTGAAGCTGAATGAAAAGCACATTGAGGCTCATAAAGCTATTCTACTTCTATATATGATTGAAATTGTCCAAATAAAATTTAGAAGAAAAACAAAGAGTAAGTTTTACATCTTTGCTAAAGATGCAAAGCAATGTATATAATGCCATTTTGTTGGTGTAAGAAAGAAAAGAGAATAAGAATCCATACTATTTGCCCAATTTTGAAGGGAACAAAAAGCAAGTGTTAGACAAATAATCCAAACTAAAAATGCTTACAACAAAGGATGTGGAGATTGAAGTGTAGAAGGTAAGGATGAAAATAAGACTTTTCTGAGAATACCTTTTACTATATTTCTGATTTTTTACATATGTGAAGATTTTAAATATTCACAAGATCAATCACAGTTAAAAAGCACATTCTACAGTTGAAAATAAAGTAAAGTGAATGCATCTAATTATGTCAAATTGGTGAACTAACCACAAAGAGAAATAATTATCCCAGGTCATTTTGAAAAAAAATAGGGGGGGTGTGTGCTCTGACATTTCAACCCAAGGATATAGCCTAAAGATGAAGTAAGGAAATAAACCTTCAACTTCACTCAACAGATTTGTTACTGGTAGGAATACCGGTATTGCAATTTTGAAACAACGTTCTATATTTTGAAAGATAAAGCAAATAATAAAATTTGTTCATGTAATTAGAAATTAAACTTTACAATGTAAGAGAAAAGGGTATACAACTATAAAATTAAGCAAGTTAAGGAAAAAATCTGTATTAGTAAATTAGAATTGGAAATGTTGCCATGAGGTCATAATTTTTGTTTGTTTTATTTTGTTTTGAGACAGAGTCTCACTCTGTCACCCATGCTGGAGTGCAGTGGCGAGATCTCAGCTCACTGCAACCTCCGCCTCTCAGGTTCAAGCAATTCTCCTGCCTCAGCCTCCTGAGTAGCTAGAATTACAGGCGTGCGCCACCACGCCCGGCTAATTTTTGTATTTTCAGTAGAGACAGGGTTTCGCCATGTTGGCCAGGCTGGTCTCAAACTCCTGGCTTCAAGTGATCCACCTGCCTCCGCCTCCCAAAGGGCTGGGATTACAGACGTGAGCCACTGCACCCAGCCAGGCGGTCATAATTAAAATATATATCCCTCTGTCTTGGAACATGGGGGTGAGGGGGTTGCTGAACTCTTGAGAAAAAGAAGACACATTGGCGGCTCAGGACATGATTCAATTTTTTAATGACAAAAAGTAATCATGACACACACCCGGATAGGACGGGAAAAAAAAAAGGAAAATAAATGCTTCGGGGGTGGGGTCAAGATGGCTGAATAGAAGCAGCGGGAATCGGAGACTGCCATCCAAAAGATCTGAAACAGCATGCGGATTCTGCACCTGCAACTGAGGTACCCAGTTCTGTCATTAGGACTGACTAGGCAGCTGGCGTGACCCACGGAGAGGAAGGAAGAACAGTATGGTACAGCGACTTACCTGAGAGCCACACCGGTCAGGGGCTCCCCCAGCCAAGGGAGGCAATGGGTAAGCACGCTAGCCTGCCTGGGAAACCCTTTTTTTCCAGAAAACTGCAACCCACAGATCGGAAGATCCCACTCGGGAGCCCAGGCCACCAGGGCCTTGAGTCTCAATGGAAGCATGCAGATTCTCAACAGCCATTGGGTTAAAACCGACCTAAGTAAGCCTGCTGAGTTCACAGTGGGAGGGGCAGCCATGACCACTGCTGCAGCTGCCTGCAGTCTAAGCCATCTGAGCTTCTTGGGGGAGGGGCGGCAGCCAGCACTGTGGCTGCAGGGCTTCCCTGCAGGAACTCCAATTCTACCCAGGGGCTCAGGGACAGAACTCTGATCTCCCTAGGCCTGAACCCCTAAGGGGGAGGGGTGGCTTAAGTCTCCACAGACGAGCAGACTTACAAAAAGTAATCCAGTCAGCCCAGACAAGCGGGTTCCCCCCACCCCCTCCCCGGCACAGTACACCTCCTCCACCAAGGGATAGCCAAAGTGCCTCCTTAACCAGGTCTTGCTTCCCATGCCACCCAACTGGGTGAGACCCCCCCAACAGGAACTGTCAGATATCCTATACAAGAGCATTCCTATTGGCATCAGGTCAGTGCCCCTCGAGGTCAGGGATCCCAGAGGAAGGAGCAGGCACCCATCTTTGCTGTTCTCCAGCCTCCTTGAGTGACATTTCCAGAGGCAGGAGCGAATCAGATGAATAGGGCCCAAAGCGAACCGTCAGCAAACTGCAGCAGCCCCACAGAAGAGGGAACTGACTACTGAAAGAAAAACAAACAAACAAACTGAAAGCAACAAGAACAGCATCAACAAGAAAAATAGTCCCCAAAAAAACCACATCCAAGGGTCAGCAGTCTCAAAGATCAAAACTAGAAAAACTCATGAAGATGAAAAAGAATCAATCAAAAAAACGCTGAAAACCCAAAAGGCCAGAGTGCCTCTTCTCCAAATGATCGCAACACCTCTCCAGCAAGAGCACAGAATTGGACAGAGAATGAGATGGACAAATTGACGGAAGTAGGCTTCAGAAGGTGAGTAAAACAAACTTTGCTGAGGTAAAGGAGTATGTTCTAACCCAATGCAAAGAAGATAAGAACCTCAATAAAACATTAGAGGAGATGATAACTAGAATAACCAGTTTATAGAGGAACATAAATGACCTGATGGAGCTGAGAAACACAGCATGAGAACTTCATGAAGCATATACAAGCATCAATAGCCGAATCGATCAAGTGGAAGAAAGAATATCAGATATAGGAGACTATCATGCTGAAATAAGGCAGGCAGATAAGATTAGAGAAAAAAGAATGAAAAGAAATGAACAAAACCTCTGAGAAATAAGGGACTATGTAAAAAGACTGAACCTACGTCTGATTGGAGTACCTGAAAAAGATGGGGAGAATGGAACCAAGTTGGAAAACACACTTCAAGATATTATGCAGGAGAATTTCCCTAAGCTAGCAAGACAGGCCAACATTCAAATTCAGGAAATACAGAGAACCCACTAAGATACTCCACGAGAAGATCAACCCCAAGACACAATCATCAGATTCTCCAAGGTCAAAATGAAGGAAAAAATGTTAAGGGCACAAAGAGAGAAAGGCCAGGTCACCTACAAAATGAAGCCCATCAGACTAACAGCAGATCTCTTGGCAGAAACCCTACAAGTCAGAAGAGAGTGAGGGCCAATATTCAACATTCTTAAAGAAAAGAATTTTCAACCCAGAATTTCATATCTGCCCAAACTAAGCTTCATAAGTGAAGGCAAAATAAAATCTTTTTCATATCCGGGCATGGTGACTCATGCCTGTAATCCCAGCTACCTGGGAGCTGAGGCAAGAGAATTGCTTGAACCCAGGAGGCGGAGGTTGCAGTGAGCTGAGATCACACCATTGCACTCCAGCCTGGGCAATAAGAGTGAAACTCTGTCTCAAAAAAAAAAAAACCATTTTCAGACAAGCAAATACTAAGGGAATTTGTCACCACCATTCCTGCATTGCAAGAGCTCCTGAAGGAAGCAATAAATATGGAAAGGAAAAACTGGTACTAGTCACTGCAAAACACATGAAAATATAAAGACCAATGACACTATGAAGAAACGGCATCAACTAGTGTGCAAAATAAACAGCTAGCATCATGATGACAGTATCAAATTCACACATAACAGTATTAACCTTAAATGTAAATGGGCTAAATGCCCCAATTAAAAGACACAGACTGGCAAGTTGGATAGAGTTGAGACTTATCAGTGTGCTGTATTCAAGAGACCCATCTCACATGCAAAAACACATACAGGCTCAAAATAAAGGAATGGAGGAAAATTTACCAAGCAAATGTAAAGCAGAAAAAAGCAGGGGTTGCAAACCTAGTCTCCGACAAAACAGACTTTAAACCAATAATGATCAAAAAAGACAAAGAAGGGCATTACAAAATGGTAATGGGATCAATTCAACAAGAAGAACTAACTATGCTAAATATATGTGCAACCAATATAGGAGCACCCAGATTCATAAAACAAGTTCTTAGAGATCTATAAAGAGACTTCAACTCCCACACAATAATAGTAGGAGACTTTAACACCCCACTGTCAATATTAGACAGATCAATGAGACAGAAAATTAACAAGGATATTCAGGACTTCAACTCAGCTCTGGATCAAATGGACCTAATAGATATCTACAGAACTCTCCACCCCAAAACAACAGAATATACATTCTTCTCAGTGCCACATGGCACTTACTCTAAAATTGACCACATAATTGGAAGTACAACACTCCTCAGCAAATGCAAAAGAACTGAAATCATAACAGACAATCTCTCAGACCACAATGCAATCAAATCAGAACTCAGGATTAAGAAACTCATTCAAAACCACACAACTACATGGAAATTGAACAACCTGCTCCTGAATGACTCCTGGGTAAATAATGAAATTAAAGCAGAAATCAAGAAGTTCTTTGAAACCAATAAGAA
Organism: Homo sapiens; assembly: GCF_000001405.40. Lineage (NCBI taxonomy): Eukaryota > Metazoa > Chordata > Mammalia > Primates > Hominidae > Homo > Homo sapiens. The sequence goes on from NC_000003.12 coordinate 109,237,290, forward strand.
CAAAGAAACAATATATCAGAATCTCTGGAACACAGCTAAAGCAGTGTTAAGAGGGAAATTTATAGCACTAAATGCCCACATCAGAAAGCTAGAAAGATCTCAAATCAACACCCTAGCATCACAATTAAAAGAACTTGAGGAGCAAGAGCAAAAAAAAAAAAAAAAAGAAAAAAATCCAAAAGCTAGGAAAAGACAAGAAATAACTAAGATCAGAGCAGAACTGAAAGAGATAGAGACAAAAAAAAAATCTTCCAAAAAAATCAATGAATCCAGCAGCTGGATTTTTGAAAAAATTAATAAAATAGACCACTAGCTAGACTAATAGAGAAAAGAGAGAAGAATCAAACAGACCCAATAAGAAATGATATGGGCATGTCACCACTGACCCCACAGAAACACAAACTACCATCAGAGAATGCTGTAAACACCTCTACACAAATAGAAATAGAAACTAGAAAATCTAGAACAAATGGATACACTCCTGGACATGTACATCCTCCCAAAACTAAACCAGGAAGAAGTTGAATTCCTGAATAGACCAATAATAAGTTCTGAAATTGAGGCAGTAATAGCCTACCAACCAAAAAAGCCTAGGACCAGACGGATTCACAGCCGAATTCTACCAGAGGTACAAAGAGGAACTGGTACCATTCCTTCAGAAACTATTCCAAACAATTGAAAAGAAGGGACTCCTCTCTAACTCATTTTATGAGGCCAACACTATCCTGATACCAAAATCTGGCAGAACACAACAAAAAAAGAAAACTTCAGGCCAATATCCCTGAGGAACATCAATGCAAAAATCCTCAAAATACTGGCAAACCGAATCCAGCAGCACAGGATACAAAGCTGGTTCAACATACACAAATCAATAAGTGTAATCCATCACATAAACATAACCAATGACAAAAACCACATGATTATCTCAACAGATGCAGAAAAGTCCTTTGATACAATTCAACATCCCTGGCCAGGCACAGTGGCTCATGCCTGTAACCCCAGCACTTTGGGAGGCTGAGGCAGGTGGATCACAGGGTCAGGAGTTCAAGACCAGCCTGGCCAAGATGGTGAAACCCCTTGTTTAATTTAGTTTAGAAACTACTAAAAATACAAAAATTAGCCAGGCACGGTGGCAGGTGCCTGTAATCCCAGCTACTCTGGAGGCTGGGGTCGCTTGAATTTGGGAGGCAGAGGTTGCAGTGAGCAGAGATCATGCCACTGCACTCTAGCCTGGGCAACAGAGCAAGACTCCATCTCAAAAAAAAAAAAAAAATTCAACAGCACTTCATGTTAAAAATTCTCAATATACTAGGTATTGATGGAACATATTTCAAAATAATAAGAGCTATTTATGACAAAACCACAGACAATATCATACTGAATGGGCAAAAGCTGGATGCATTCCCTTTGAAAACCAGCACAAAACAAGGATGCCCTCTCTCACCACTCCTATTCAACATAGTATTGGAAGTCCTGGCCAGGGCAATCAGGCAAGAGAAAGAAATAAAGGGTATTCAAATAAAAAGACAGGAAGTCAAATTGTCTCTGTTTGCAGATGACATGATTGTATATTTAGAAAACCCCATTGTCTCAGCCCAAAAACTCCTTAAGCTGATAAGCAACTTCAGCAGAGTTTCAGGATACAAAACCAATGTGCAAAATTCACAAGCATTCCTATACACCAACAATAGACAAGCAAGCAGAGAGCCAAATCATAAATGAATTCCCATTCACAATTGCTACAAAGATAATAAAATACCTAGGAATACAACTAACAAGGAATGTGAAGGACCTCTTCAAGGAGAACTACAAACCACCGCTCAAGGAAATAAGAGAGGACACAAACAAATGGAAAAAGATTCCATACTCATAGATAGGAGGAATCAATATTGTGAAAATGGCCATAATGACCAAAGTAATCTATAGATTCAATGCTATTCCCATCAAACTACCATTGACATTCTTCACAGAATTAGAAAAAAAACTGCTTTAAAATTCATATGGAAACAAAAAAGAGCCCACATAGCCAAGACAATACTAAGCAAAAAGAACAAAGCTGGCATCACACTACCTGACTTCAAACTATGCTACAAGGCTACAGTAACCAAAACAGCATAGTACTGGTACAAAAACAGACATATAGACCAATGAAACAGAACAGAGACCTCAGGAATATGATCACACATCTAGAACCACCTGATCTTCAACAAACCTGACAAGAACAAGCAATGGGGAAAGGAGTCCCTGTTTAATAAACGGTGCTGGGAAAACTGGCTAGTCATATGCAGAAAACTGAAACTGGACCCCTTCCTTACACCTTAAATAAAAATTAACTCAAGGTGGATTAAAGACTTAAATGTAAAACACAAAACCATAACAACCCTAGAAGAAAATCTAGGCAATACTGTTCAAGACATGGGCATGGCCATAGATTTTATGATGAAATTGCCAAAAGCAGGCCGGGTGTGGTGGCTCATGCCTATAAACCCAGCACTTTGGGAGACAGAAGTGGGTGGATCATGAGGTCAGGAGATTGAGACCATCCTGGCTAACACAGTGAAACCCCATCTCTACTAAAAATACAAAAAATTAGCTGGGCATGGTGGCGGGCGCCTGTAGTCCCAGCTACTCGGGAGGCTGAGGCAGGAGAATGGCGTGAACCCGGGAGGCGGAGCTTGCAGTGAGCCGAGATCGCGCCACTGCACTCAAGCCTGGGGACAGAGCAAGACTCCATCTCAAAAAAAAAAAAAAAAAAATTGCCAAAAGCAATTGCAACAAAAGCTAAAATTGATGAATGGGATCTAATTAAACTGAAGAGCTTCTGCACAGCAAAAGAAACTATCATCAGAGTGAACAGGCAACCTACAGAATGGGAGAAAATTTTTGCAATCTACCCATCTGACAAAAGCCTAATATCCAGAATTTACAAGGAACTTAAACAAATTTACAGAAAAAAAAAAACCATCAAAAAGTAGGCAAAGGATATGAACAGACACTTCTCAAAAGAAGACATTTATGCAGCCAACAAACACATGAAAAAAGCTCAACATCACTAATCATTACAGAAATTCAAATCAAAACCACAATGAGATACCATCTCATACCACTCAGAATGGCAATTATTAAACAGCCAAGAAACAACAGATGCTCGTGAGGCTGCAGAAATAGGTACACTTTTACGTTGTTGGCGGGAATGTAAATTAGTTCAACCATTGTGGAAGACAGTGTGGCAATTTCTTAAGGATCTAGAACCAGAAATACCATTTGACCCAGCAATTCCATTACTGGATATATACCCCAAGAAATATAAATCATTCTATTATAAAGATACATGCACACATATTTATTGCAGCACTGTTCACAATAGCAAAGACATGGAACCAACCCATCAATGATAAAATGCCCATCAATGATAGATTGGATAAGGACAATGTGGTACATATACACCATAGAATACTATGCAGCCACAAAAAGGAATGAGATCATGTCCTTTGCAGAGACGTGGATAAAGCTGGAAGCCATCATCCTCAACAAACTAACACAGGAACAGAAAACCAAACACTGCAAGTTCTCACTTACAAGTGGGAGTTGAACAATGAGAACACATGGACACAGGGAGGGGAAAAACACACACCAGGGCCTGTCAGCGGTGGGAGGGGAGGGAGCATATCAGGACAAATCCTAAGGCATGCAGAGCTTAAAACCTAGGTGATGGGTTGTTAGGTGCAGCAAACCACCATGGCACACATATACCTATGTAACAAACCTGCACGTTTTGCACATGTATCCCAGTACTTAAAGTAAAAAATAAACTAAAAAAAAGAAAAAGAAAAAAGAAGGCCGGGCATGGTGGCTTAAGCCTGTAATCCCAGCACTTTGGGAGGCCGAGGCAGATGGATCACCTGAGGTCAGGAGTTCAAGACCAGCCTGACCAACATGGCGAAACCCCATCTCTACTAAAAATACAAAAAAATTAGCTGAGCATGGCAGCGGTCACCTGTAATCCCAGCTACTCGGGAGGCTGAAGCAAGAGAATTGCTTGAACCCGGGAGTTGGAGGTTGCAGTGAGCTGAGACTGCGCCTTCGCACTTCAGCCTGGTCGACAGAGCGGGACTCCATCTCAAAAAACAAAAAAGAAAAAGAAAAGAAAAGAAATGCTTCAAAGTCAAATTAAATTTATCTATTTAATTAAAAAATTGCAAATATACTGGTGAATGAAAAAGAAAAAAGAAAAAAACAAGTTCCAGGGGAAGAAGAAGGGTGGGGGAGGAGTGGAGAGAAGTACAGGGGCATAAAAAGAAAGGAAAACAAGCGTGTGTGCATAACGAGCCTGGAGAGACCTTTTGTGTCAGGCTCCTGTGAGACTTGATGCTCCTGAGAAACCTCTTGGGAGCTCCTCCGCAGAGAAATGAGAACAGAACCCTTTCTAGAAGCTTTGAATTAACAGATGAGTACATTGCAAAGAAAGGACCCTATTTTCTGTTTATTTCTGTTCGTTTCCTGTGACTGATTTTATTGTTCCTAATTACACCATAATTATTAAATACCCTCTGGACTTTAGTACCAAACAAGAGACGATCAAGAAGAATGACTTACAGAGGAACTAAAGGATAACTTCAAATTAATGTGTACTAAATGTTTGGTTTACAACAAATCAGAGAACATTTATTATAAAGCTGCAAGATGCTATTGCAAACAGAGATAAAAGCTCTTAGCCAAAGAATATAGAGCCTGAAGCAGAGGGTAGACTTCATGGCAAACTTGCAAAGAACTCAAAAGCAGAAACATAAAAGAACACTCAGCAGACCAGGGAGGATACAAGATGATAAAGATACTGATGTCAATACCTTTAAAAATTGTAGTAAGGAAAACAAACTAAGCAAATTTAATTTAATTTAATTTAATGTAAAATGACAAAGATATTCTTGAAGATAAATTTAGAAGCAATAATTTAGAAAAATAATAGGAGCAGATTGAACACATCGTTAAGGAATTTGGAGGAAAACCGGCCAGAAAACTTAAGAGTTGGAAGGAAAAGAACCAGATGGGACTTTTCTGTTCTGTTAATCTTGTAGTGGGAGAATGAGGCTACTGCTCTGTGAAGACAGGAAATGAAAACTGAAGGATTTCAGTCTGGAGTGAATAACGTGCAAGAAGATAGCAGGAAAAAAAGTGATAATCTAGTGATATTCTGTTTTTATAAAGCACATACTGATGCCATCTTTGCAAATCTTAACAAGAGTAATTTTGACATAGTCTTCTGGATTTATGAGGGAAAACATTCTTTCAAGTGCTCTTAGTATCCATGATATTTGACCACATGCCAAGATTACCCATATGCTGTATAAATAATTTAGTGAATGTTCTAAGCAAAAGGCATTCTAGAATTTTCCAAGAGTTGGAGAACATCACTTAAAGATGAAGGCCAGAATAGGACACGTGACATAGCAAAAGACATGGAGGTTATCAAAATTGATCCAGGTTGTTTAGACTCTGAATAATCAAGACAGGTTCATGGCACAGAGTGCAGTGGAATAATAGCACTCCAGGTGAAAGTTTTGACTAAACATGCTCAAGTATTCAGCTGAAGGAAACTTGATGAAACCACCAAATTAGTCAGTGAGCTCCAGGAGACTCAGAGCATCTGAGCATCAGGCCTGCTCTCAACATTATCTGTCTCCGATGGCCTCTTACAGAGCCATGTATCTTGCTGAACAAGTGACCAACAGTCTGAAAAATTGTACAATTCCAAATTATAAGCATGTATGGAGTTGAAAAAGCAATGGGGATTTCCATTCTTTCCTCCAACACTGAATACAACTTTGTAGCTTTAACAGAAGTACTGAAACAATTAAAAAGATTAATTTTGCTAACTAGAAATGTAATCATATTTGAAACTAATTGCATTTTATTATATACTATGTACATTTTTTTCCTTTCTTAATTTAGAAAATCCTTACAGGAGACAGTAAATATTTTTAAACTGTATTTTTAGTTAGAGTATAGAACAATTGATTTGAGTGTTCCAAAGATTGGGCAGGTATTAAGTAATCATGCTGAATGTTGGATTGTGGAGAAAAAAACACACGCACATGAAAAAGTTAGGAAGCAATGACATCCTAGTAACAACTAAAGCAACTAATGCCCAAATATTGGTTTCTACCTGTTACTCCTCATTAAAAAGAACCTGGTCTTCTTCAAGATTAATGGATTTCAAGTCTGGAGCAGGAAGCATATAAAATCAGTCTTGGATATTTTATGCCAGAGACAAAGGAGGCTTTAAATATCAATGAGTTCATTTCAAAAGAATACAGCTTGAGAAGGGCTTATATACCAAATTTGGGAAATTTTGAGCCTGTAATTTCACCTGTAAGTAAGCATAGGTGAAATTAATTACAGGAAAAAAAAGAGAGAGTAAGGTCGGGTGTGGTTGCTCATGCCTGTAAACCCAGCATTCTGGGAGGCCAAGGAAGGAGGATTGATTGAGCCCAGGAGTTCAAAATCAGCCTGGGCGACATAGTGAGACCCTTTCTCTATATAAAAATTTTAAAAAAAGAAAGAAAAAGAGAGAGGAAGAAGAGAGAAGTTCAATTATAACCACTGGTGGTGATTATTATACCAACTATTTTTTTCTTTTTCTTTTATTTTGTATATTTTTTATTTCAATAGTTTTTGGGGTAGAAGTGGTTTTTTGTTATATGCATGAATTGTACAGAGGTGTACTCTGAGATTTTACTGTACGTATCACCCAAGTAGTGTACATTGTACACATGTGTACTTTTTTATCCCTCACTCCCTTCCACCTCTCCCTTCTGAGTCCCTAAAATTTATTACATCACTCTGTGTGCCTTTGCTTACCCATAGTTTAGCTTCCACTTATAAGTGAACACATGTGGTATTTGGTTTTCCAATCCTGAGTTACCTCACTTAGAATAATGGCGTCCAGCTCTATCCAAGTTGCTGCAAAAGACATTATTTCATTCTTTTTTATGGCTGGGTAGTATACCATAGTATATATATACCGCATTTTCTTTATCCACTCATCAGGTGATGGGCACTTAGTTTGGTTGCATATCTTTGCAATTGTGAATTGTGCTGTGATAAGCATACACATGTAAGGGTCTTTTTGATATAATGACTATTTTTCGTTTGGGTAGATGTCAAGTAGTGGGATTGCTGAATTGAATGGCAGATCTACTTTAGTTCTTTGCCAACTCGTTCTTTCTGAAAGTCCAAAGTTAAACCAAAATAATTAGATATTCATCCTGCCTTTTTTTTTTTTTTTGAGATGGAGTCTCTCTCTGTCGCCCAGTCTAGGGTGCAATGATGTGGTCTTGGCTCACTGCAACCTCCACCTCCCAGGTTCAAGCGATTCTCCTGCCTCAGCCTCCTGAGTAGCTGGGACTACATGCACATGCCACCATGCCTGGCTAATTTTTGTATTTTTAGTAGAGACAAGTTTCACTATCTATGTTGGCCACACTGGTCTCAAACTCCTGACCTTGTGATGCCCCCACCTTGGCCTCCCAAAGTACTGGGATTACAGGTCTGAGCCACCGTGCCTGGCCCACACTCTGACTTTTTAAGTGTAAGGAAAACGCTTTTTTACAGAAGACTACTAACTAAGTAGTGTAGAATAATTATAAAAGTAGAAAAATCCTTGTCTGGGCATGGTGGCTCACACCTGTAATCCCAGCACTTTGGTAGGCCAAGGTTACCTGAGGTTAGGAGTTCAAGATCAGCCTGGCCAACATGGTAAAACACCATTTCTACAAAAATACAAAAATTAGCCAGGTGTGATGGTGGGTGCCTGTAATCCCAGCTACTTGGGAGGCGGAGGTGGGAGAATCACTTGAACCCGGGAGGTGGAGGTTGTAGTGAGCCGAGATCACATCACTGCACTCCGGCGTGGGCGACAAAGCAAGACACCATCTCAAAAAAAAAAAAAAGTAAAAAATCCTCAATCTGTAACTCACCATAAAATAATTGATACATGCAATAATCATTAATAACTGCCAAAATCTTTAGGGAAAATGGTTTTGGGTAACAGTATACTTATACAGCACCCTGCAGATTATTTGCTTATTAAAATGAAAAAATTCACCTTTATAATGAAGAGATCACTACCGTAATCAAGTGATTAAATTTAGCATCATCTAATAATATGTATTTCTGAGGGGTTGAAATATAAAATATTCAGTGTATTAGTCCCCTCTTCATGCTGCTGATTATCAGACATACCCAAGACTGGGAAGAAAAAGAGGTTTAATTGGACTTACAGTTCCACATGGCTGGGGAGGCCTCAGAATCATGGCAGGAGGTGAAAAGCACTTCTTACATTGCAGTAGCAAAAGAAAATGAGAAAGAAGCAAAAGCGGAAACTCCTGATAAACCCATCAGATCATGAGACACTTATTCACTATCATGAGACTGGCACAGGAAAGACTGGCCCCCATGATTCAATCACCCCCGCCCTGGATCCCTCTCACAACACATGGGAATTCTGGGAGATACAGTTCAGGTTGAGATTGGAATGGGGACACAGCCAAACCATATCATTCCACCCCTGGCACTTCCAAATCTCATGTCTTCACATTTCAAAACCAATCATGCCGTCCCAACAGTCCCCCAAAGTCTTAACTCATTTCAGCATTAACCCAAAAGTCCACAGTCCAAAGTCTCATCTGAGACAAGGCAAGTCCCTTCTGCCTATGAGCCTGTAAAATCAAAAGCAAGCTAGTTACTTCATGGATACAATGGGGGTATAGGCATTGGGTAAATACAGCTGTTCCAGATGGGAGAAATTGGCCAAAATAAAGGGGTTGCAGGACCCATGCAAGTCTGAAATCCAGTGGGGCTGTCAAATTTTAAAGCTCCAAAATGACCTCCTTTGACTCCAGGTCTTACATCCAGGTCACGCTAATGCAAGAGGTGGGTTCCCATGATCTTGGGCAGCTCTGCCCCTATGGCTTTGCAGGGTACAGCCTCCCTCCCAGCTGCTTTCACAGGCTGGTGTTAAGTGTGTGTGGCTTTTCCAGGCTCACGGTGCAAGCTGTCAGTGGATCTACCATTCTGGGGTCTGGAGGAAGGTGGCTAGGCAGTGCCCCAGTATGGACTCTGTGTGGGGGCTCCAACCCCACATTTCCCTTCCACACTACCCTGGCAGAGGTTCTCCATGAGGGCCCCACCCCTGCCATGAACTTTTGCCTGGGTATCCAGGCATTTCCATACATCTTCTGAAATCTAGGCAGAGGTTCCTAAACCTCAATTCTTGACTTCTGTGCACCCACATGTTCAACACCACATGGAAGATGCCAAGGCTTGGGGCTTCCACCCTCTGAAGCCGCAGCCTAAGCTGTACATTGGCTCCTTTCAGCCATGGCTGGAGTGGCTGAGACACAGGGCACTAAGTCCCTAGCTGCACACAGCATGGGGACCCTGGGTCCAGCCCACGAAACCACTTTATCCTCCTGGGCCTCTGGGTCTGTGATGGGAGGGGCTGCTGTGAAGGTCTTCTGACCCTCTGAATGCCTGGAGACATTTTCCCCATGGTTTTGGGGATTAACATTAGGCTTTTTGCTACTTATGCAAATTTCTGCAGCCAGCTTGAATTTTTCCTCAAAAAAATTGGGTTTTCTTTTCTACTGCATCATCAGGCTGCAAATTTTCTGAACTTTTATACTGTTTCCCTTTTATAATGGAACACTTTTAACAGTACCCAAATCACCTCTTGAATGCTTTTCTGCTTAGAAATTTCTTCAGCCAGATTCCCTAAATCATCTCTTTCAAGTTCTAAGTTCCACAAATCTCTGAGGCAAGGGCAAAATGCCACCAGTCTCTTTGCTAAAACATAACAAGAGTCACCTTTGCTCCAGTTCCCAACAAGTTCTTCATCTCCATCTGCGATCACCTCAGCCTGGCCCTTATTGTTCATATCACTATCAGTATTTTGGTCAAAGCCACTCAACAAATCTCTAGGAGGTTCCAAACTTTCCCACATTTTCTTGTGTTCTTCTAAGCCCTCCAACTGTTCCAACCACTGCCTGTTATCCAGTTCCAAAGTTGCTTCCACATTTTTGGGTATCTTTTCAGAAACACCCTACGCCTGGTACAAATTTACTGTATTAGTCCATGTTTATGCTGCTGATAAAGATACACCCAAGGCTGGGCATGGTGGCTTACACCTGTAGTTCCAGCACTTTGGGAGGCCAAGGCAGGCAGATCACCTGAGGTCAGGACTTTAAGACCAGCCTGGCCAACATGGTGAAATCTTGTCTCTACTAAAAATACAAAAATTAGCTGGGTGTGGTGGCACACACCTGTAATCTGAACTACTAAGGAGGCTGAGGCAGGAGAATCATTTGAACCTGGGCAGTGGAGGTTGCAGTGAGCCAAGGTCACACCACTGCACTCCAGCCTGGGTGACAGAGCAAGACTCCGTCTCAAAAAAAAAAAAAAAAAAAATACCCAAGACTGGGAAGAAAAAGAGGTTTAATTGGACTTACAGTTCCACACGGCTGGGGAGGCCTCAGAATCATGGCAGGAGGCGAAAGGCACTTCTTACATTGCGCAGCAAGAGGAAATGAGAAACAAGCAAAAGTGGAAACTCCTGATAAACCCATCAGATATCGTGAGACTTATTCACTATCATGAGAACAGCACAAGAAAGACAGGCCCCAAGATTCAATTACATCCCCCTGGGTCCCTCCCACAACATGTGGGAATTCTGGGAGATACAATTCAAGTCAAGATGTGAGTGGGGACACAGCCAAACCATATTACACAGCAATCACTTATGAACTCTTCTTGCTCAGAATGTTTATCCAAAATTTAATAAAGCCTTTAGAACTAACTTCAAATTCACAGCAAAATCAAGAAATAGAGGATGATGTTAAATGACACAAGAAAAGAATTGGCCAAATCCAGACTGTGGGGCATTTTAGAAGACAACTGGTCTAGTCTTTTTGAAAAACTAATATCAAGAAAAATGACAAGGGACTATTCTTGGATTAAAAGAGATTAAATAGATATAAACACCAAGTGCAATGTCTGAAACTTGATTGAGTTCTGGTTCAGAATAAAATCATTTTGGAAATAATTGTGCAATATAAATATAGATTGAACTTTATATTCAATTTTTATGTTTGATCATTATATTAAAGTTATGTAAGAAAACATCTTGGCTGGGCATGGTGGCTCATGCCTGTAATCCCAGCACTTTGGGAGGCCGAGGTGGGTGGATCACCTGAGGTTGGGAGTTCAAGACCAGCCTGATCGACATGGAGAAACCCCTTCTCTACTAAAAATACAAAATTAGCTGGGGTGGTGGCACATGCCTGTAATCCCAGCTACTCGGTACTCGGGAGGCTGAAGCAGGAGAATCACTTGAACCGGAGAGACAGAGATTGCAGTGAGCCAAGATCGCGCCATTGCACTTCAGCCTGGGCAACAAGAGCAAAACTCCATCTCAAAAAAAATAAACAAATAAAAAAGAAAACATCTTATTTTGGCCGGGTGCGGTGGCTCATGCCTGTAATCCCAGCACTTTGGGAGGCTGAGGTGGGCAGATCACAAGGTCAAGGTCAGGAGTTTGACATCAGCCTGGCCAATATGGTGAAACTCTGTCTCTACTAAAAATTGAAAAAATTAGCTGGGCACGGTGGTGCGCACCTGTAGTCCCAACTACTTGGGAGGCTGAGGCAGAAGAATCATTTGAACCCTGGAGGTGGAGTTTGCAGTGAGCCAAGATCGCACCACTGCACTCCAGCCTGGGCAACAGAGTGAGACTCCATCAAAAAAAAAAAAATCTTTTTTTTAGGAGAATCACACTGAAATCTGCAGCAATGAGGTGTCATAATGTCCACATTTCACTTTCAAATAGACAAGAAGTAAAAGCAAATGGCAAATGTCAAGCATTGTGGAACCTAGGTGGTGGGTATGTGGATGTTTATTGTAATATTTTTTCAACTTTTTGGGAATGTTTGGCATTTTTTCATAATAAAACTGAGGAGAAATAGAAGAAAATATGTGTAACTCATATCCCTGATAAAGGACTTGTATTCAGTGTATATAAAGAACTCTTACAACTCAATAAGAAGAAGACAATCTGATTTCAAAGTAGGCAAAGGATCTGAATAGACAGTCCTCTAAAGAAGGCAGATGAATGGCCAACAACCATGTGAAATGATGCTCAACATTAGTAGTCATTACGGAAATGCAAATCAAAACTATTTCACATCCACTAGGATGGCTACAATAAATGAATAAATACATATATATTGATACATATATAATGACAAGTACTGGTGAGGATGTAAATAAATGAAAATTTTAATGCATTGCTAATAAAATTGTAATTGTTAATGAAATTGTAATTGCTTATGGAATTTACACACAGACTGATAGTTCTTCAAAATGTTAAACATAGGCTGGGCGCGGTGGCTCACGCCTATAATCCCAGCACTTTGGGAGGCCAGGGTGGGTGGATCACGAGGTCAGGAGTTCCAGACCAGCCTGGCCAACATGGTGAAACCCCATCTCTACTAAAAACACACAAATTAGCTGGGTGTGGTGGTGTGTGCTTGTAATCCCAGCTACTCGGGAGGCTGAGGCATGAGAATCGCTCGAACCCAGGAGGTGGAGGTTGCAGTGAGCCAAAATCGCACCACTGCACTCCAGCCTGGCAACAGAGCAAGACTCCATCTCAAAAAAAAAAAAAAGTTAAACACAAAGTTACCATATGACCCAGCAATTCCACATTAAGAAGTATATCCAACAAAAGTGAAAATATATGTCCACACAAAAACTTGCACACAAATGTTCATAGCCCTGTTATTCATAAGAACCCAAAAGTGGAAACAATCCGAATGTCCATCAGTGAGTGAATGAATAAACACTGTGGCAAATCCATACAATGAAATATTATTCAGCAATACAAAGGAATGTTCTGATACATGCCTTAGATATAGATAAAACTTGAAACCTTGAAAACATTATGCTAAGTGAAAGAAGCCAGACACAAAAAGACAAATACTGGATGATTCCATCTATATGAAATGTCTAGAATAGGCAAATCCATAGACAGAAAGAAAGTAGAGGAGTGGCTGCCTGGAGCTGTGAGAGGGGATAATGAGGAATGGCTGCTAACACATATGGAGTTTATTTTGGGGGAAGATGAGAATGTTCTGGAATTAAATGGGAGTGATGCACAACTCTTTGAACATAAAAAACATTGAATTATATACCTAAAACGATACGTTTTATGGTATGTTACATACAAAAATACTTAAAAGACGAAAACAAAAACTACTCATCCCAGAAATTCATACGGTTAGCCTTGAAGCTTTGAGAGTATTAATCAGTAATGAAAACTTTTCTGTTTTCTTTACTGCTGTTTCTTTCCTAACCCTGCTTCAGCACCCTCCACCTGGGGTCTAAAACCCCAGTTATGTAGCTGAGTGATGGAAGAGTAGAGATATTACATAAGAAAAGATAAAATTAGACAACAATGTATCTCTTTCCGACATTAGCCTTCCTGCCTACAACAAACTAGCTAGAGAGAGGAGAACCCTCATTTTAAACGAAGTTCGGAATGAGTACTGTTAAATAGAAATAGACATTTAATTTCTGAACTGGATTACCTGCAAGTGGCCAGAAATATCGTAATGCAACCAAAATTTCATTCATGGAAAGGGATCTAATGGGACAATTGAAGGTAAATTAATAAATTAATTGAAGATAAATTAGGATTACATCCTGTAAGTTGGTTCAGTTCAATATACCAATTACAACTAAAAGATGTAACTGACAACTCGGGTGTCAAGTAGCGCAAAATACTAAGCCTTTTTATCAGGCCTGCACAGAAACTCTCCTCTGCTCTTGTTGGCTATGGTCCTACTTCCTGGACTAGCTCCAGATAGTCTTTCTAATTCTATAGCAATAAAACATAAATATGGTGTAATAATGATGTATATTAAGATATATTTTAACAAGAGTGATCAGATGTTAAAGAATGCACCTTTGGGTTTCCATATAGATACTAACATTTAAAATTTCCTCAATCCAACTCCAAAGGGAAGAAAGGGTTAAAAAAAAAAGTAATAATTACAACAGCATGTGTTACATGCTATATCAAGATAGTGTGGTATAGTCAAAAGAACATCTACTGCAGAGCAAGGCAGACCTGGGGTTAAATTCTGGCTCTACAGATTCCTAGGAAATTGGCCTTGGGTCAGTTCCCAATCTCTTTGACTCAGTTATATCTCCTGTAAGCACAATATTTAGTTCTGTTGCATATAGTGCTGGTTTGTTATAGGCTGTTTGTTTCAAAAGTAATGTTTTTGAGAGAAGAATCTATTTATTACTCCACTGAGCAGGAAAATTTGTATATATTTTTCTCGTGACCCATCAACCAGCACATAGAGTAAGTGACATCATATGTTCCCAGCCAATTTATTTGCTTACTCTGTCATGATCATTCTTTTTGCCATTATTATTATTATTCCATGTCTTTTTGAGCAGTTTGAACTTTTAATGGATGGTGAGCAGCAAGCAAATTGATATGTTGGAGATGCTGCAGGACACTATGGCAGAGTTGCACAATGAGTGTTAAAATGTACGTTTTATGGTAAGTGAGCACCTTCCAACTACTGGTAGAGATAACTAATGGTAAAGTTCAGCAGTCAATCAGGGGTTAGGGGAGGTCTTTTGAAATATAAAGATCAACTAAAAACAGCCTTGTAGGGAGTGACCAACAATTGTTTGTATAGTAGCCTGCAGAAATTATGCCTGCAGGAATGTCACAACTTTTGATTTGAAAAGTAAATGGTGGTTGCCTGTGTATGGTATCAGGAAAAACATTCCCATGGCCTTTTGCTGTAGGGATCTCTTACAGTCCAGTTAGCCTTTTTGTGTCAAATGCAATCATCCCATGCTACATACAATTTGTCTGTAAAATTCTTACAGTGCAATGTGATGTAGATTAAATGAGATAGCCTATAAAAGTCTCCTCTCAAGTCAGAGGTTGCATGGAATCTAATTAGACTAATTAGATCTAATTTAATATCTGAAACATAGTAAATTGTCAACAAAACACTTTTTTTTTTTTTTTGAGATGGAGTTTCACTCTTGTTGCCCAGGCTGGAGTAAAATGGCGCAATCTCGGCTTACTGCAACCTCCGCCTCCCGGGTTCAAGCGATTCTCCTGCCTCAGCCTCCTGAGTAGCTGGGATTACAGGTGCCCACCACAATGCTCAGCTAATTTTTTGTATTTTTAGTAGAGATGGGGTTTCATTATGTTGGCCAGGCTGGTCTCAAACTCCTGACCTCAGGTGATCCACACGCCTCAGCCTCCCAAAATGCTGGGATTACAGGGGTGAGCCACTGTGCCCGGCCAACAAAACTCTTTTTTAATAAAGGATTTTGCTAAGAGTTATGGTTGGAAATAGGGAAGCAAGGCATAAAGAGGCCTAACCCAATCTAAAGCATTAGATGACACATGACATAAATCTTGAATAAATAGGAGTTTATCATAAACTACATTCAGTGTAGAGAGAGAGCAGCATGAGCTAGGGTGGAGTGTGAGAACACCTGTGACATCAGGGCAACTGCTAGTAGATTAGTATGACTGAATAAACGGTGATGGAGAAAGAGATGAGACAGTGTAAGATCATAAGTATTGGGCCTTCTCTGAGAGATCCTGAGGAATGGTCGAAAGAAGGTAAGTGGGGATGATCACTATGTTGTATCACTGGCTGCAGTGTGGAGGTTATATTGAAGAGGAAAACAGTGCAAACAGGGAAGCTTATAATGCAAACAAGATATAAGCCTCTTTTTTTTTTTTTTTTTTTTTTTTTGAGATGGAGTCTTGCTCTGTAGCCCAGGCTGGAGTGCAGTGGCATGATCTCGGCACACTGCAAGCTCCGCCTCACAGGTTCACACAATTCTCCTGCCTCAGCCTCCCAAGTAGCTGGGACTACAGGCACCCGCCACCATGCCTGGCTAATTTTTTCTATTTTTAGTAGGGACGGGGTTTCACCACGTTAGCCGGGATGGTCTCGACCTCCTGACCTTGTGATCTGCCCACTTCGGCCTTCCAGAGTGCTGGGATTACAGGTGTGAGCCACCGCATCCGGCCATAAGCCTCTTTTTTTAAGGTAGGTACTCAGCTAGGTGCAATGGCTCATGCCTATAATCCCAGCATTTTGGGAGGCCAAGGTGGGAGAACTGCTTGAGCCTAGGAGTTCGAGACCAACCTGGGCAACATAGTGAGACCCCCACCTCTACAGAAGATTTTTTAAATTAGCTGGGTATGGTGCCATGTGCCTGTGATCCCAGCTACTCAGGACATTGAGGTGAAAGGATGTCCTGAGACCCGAAAGTTGAGGCTGCAGTAGGCTGCGATTGCATGACTACACTCAGCCTGGGTGACATTGCAGGACCCCTTCTAAAAAAATAACAAAAAGAGAGAGAGAGAGAAGGTAGGTACTGACTGGATGTGGGAGATGAAGGAGCAGTCAAGGATAACCACAGAATTCTGGTTTACTCTACTGCGTGGAAAGATGCAGCATTCACTGAGAATACAGAATACCATATCCAAATGTTCAGAAGGCACAGGGACATTTGAGGCTTGACCGGATCCTCTAGCAGTAGCCTAGTTTAATTATTTAAGACAAAATGAAAGTCTTATTTGCTCCATGTTGTCTTCCATGTGATTCCACAATATTCTGTTTGCCTTTGTGTTTCCTATGCTGCTGATACGGTTTGGATTTGGGTCCCCACCCAAATCTCCTGCCGAATTGTAATCTCCAGTGTTGGAGCAGGGGCCTGATGGGAGGTGACTGGATCATGGGACGGATTTCGCCCTTGCTGTTCTCATGATACTGAGTGAGTTCCCATGAGATCTGGTCGTTTAAAAGTGTGTAGCAACTCCCGCTTCTCTTGCTTCCTCCTGCTCTGGCCATGTAAGACGTGCCTCCTTCCTTTTCGCCTTTTGCCGTGATTGTAAGTTTCCAGAGGCCTCCCCAGCCATGCCTCCTATACAGCCTGCAGAACTGTGAGCCAATTAAACCCTTTTCTTTATAAATTACCCAGCCTCAGGTAGTTCTTTACAGCAATGCAAGAATAGACTAATACAGCTGCCTAAAGATTATTCCCCATTTTATCAATTGAATATCTACTTCAGTGTAATTTCTGTGTATAGTTCCCTAATTGTTCCAGGCTCTGTGACAGAAAGGTCATTTGCCCACATGACAGCTGTTGCCCTCCTTACCTGCAGAACACCAGTTTTATTAGGGATGATGATGATTTCAGACACACCTAATCAATCCTTACTGCTAATAAGCCAATCATGTCAATTCCACTGCATTTTTCCATTTACTTTCCCAATTTTCAGTGAAGCTAGCCATGGCCATGGGACCCTTTTCTTGCAATTAAATTTAAAACAGAATTTACCGGAAGTTTTCTAGGAAAACTTTTCCTCCCAAGTAAGAAAGAAACTCCTTTTTCCTCCAACTTGTCCCCTTATTCCTCCTTGGAATGCCAAGGTTGGGGATATGATGCTTAAAGCTACAGGAGCTGTGTTGCAGAATAATTAAACTTGCCAAAGCCAAAAGAGAGAACATCCTGTATCTTGTTGTTGAGTTCATTCAGCCTTTGCCCATAACCGGGAACTACCTGCCTCCTGACTGCTGATTAAACAAGATAACAAAGATCGTTATTGCTTAAACCACCGTTAGCTGTGTGTTCTGATGTTTGCAGCTGAATGATATGGGTGTCTAAATCTTTTGTCTCCAAATTTGAAGGCAAGAATCAAGTACTTGGTTTCCGTTTTTTTTTTTTTTTTTTTTTGAGAGGGAGTCTCGCTCTATTGCCCAGTCTGGAGGGCAATAACGCAATCTTGGCTCACTACACTCTCCGCCCCCCAGGTTCAAGTGATTCTCCTGCCTCAGCCTCTTGAGTAGCTGGGATTACAGACACCTGCCACCATGCCCAGTTAATTTTTGTAATTTTAGTAGAGATGGGGTTTTGCCATGTTGGCCAGGCTGGTCTCAAATCCTGACCTCAGGTGATCCACCCGCCTTGGCCTCCCAAAGTGCTAGGATTACAGGTGTAAGCCACCGTGCCTCGACGTGTTTGGTTTTCTTTAACATTTGACTTTAATTAATTTGTCAAAGTGATTACTACTTCCCTTTTCCCGTGTACATTTTCTCAGCTTTCCCTTCAGAGGGCTGCATAGGAAACTACATTCTAAAGAAGACTGAGCATACACTGAGGCAGAAACTGGCAGCTTACAGCATGTTTGCAAGTTGAAGCATGGGAGGTAGCTTTTGCTTCCCCCCAACAGCTGAGACTAAGAGAGTCAACGATGTCTACAAATCAACCCCACTTTCCAATAATAATGACTACATTTATAAAGCTAAAATTCATATGATTCTTACAATGTGCCAGCTGCGGTTCCAATTTTTATCCTCATAACAGCATAATGACATTAGTACTTTTAATCCCTCCATTTTACAATGATAAAACTGAGTCACAGAGAGGTTAAGAAATTTACCTGAGGTCACAGAGTTTACAAGTATTAGAGATGGGATTTGAACCCAGGCATTTTGAAACTGGGTACTAAGTCACATGCTGCTCAGACAGCTACAGATACAGCTTTTTATCTGCAGGCTCTGCTTTAGGGAACTAGTACAACAAATACCTCATTATACTGAAAAATATACATTGAGTAGTATCTTATAAGAAAATCTACAGCTCATCCAAAATCTCTCCCCAACCCCAGCCAAAAGAAAAGAAAGAAAGAAAACAAAATCCACAGCTCATATTTTAAAACAGAATCAGGGAGCAATTGTTAAATGGTGTGGTGTATTAATCAGGTTCTCTAGAGGGAGAGGACTAATGGGATAGATGTGTACATGAAAGGAGTTTATTAAGGAGTACTGACCAGCCTGGCCAACATGGTGAAACCCCATCTCTACTAAAAATACCAAAAAAACTAGCCGGGCGTGGTGGTGCATGCCTGTAGTCCCAGCTATTCAGGAGGCTGAGGCAGGAGAATTGCTTGAACCCAGGAAGCGGAGGTTGCAGTGAGCTGAGATTGTGCCACCGCACTCCAGCCTGGGCAATAGAGGGAGACTCCGTCTCAAAAAAAAGGGAGTACTGACTCACACATCCACAAGGTGAAGTCCCACAATAGGCTGTCTGCAAGTTGAGGAGCAAGGAAGCCAGTCCAAGTCCCAAAACCTCAAAAGTAGGGAAGCCGACAGTGCAGCCTTCAGTCTGTGGCCGAAGGCCCAAGAGCCCCTGATAAACCACTGGTGTAGGTCCAAGATTCCAAAAGCTGAAGAACTTGGAGTCTAATTTCAAAGACAGGAAGCATCCAGCACAGGAGAAAGATGGAGGCCAGAAGACTCAGCCAGTCTAGTCCTTCCATGTTCCTCTGCCTACGTTTATCCTAGCTGCACTGGCAGCTGACTAGATGCTGCCCACCCAGAATGAGGGTGGGTCTGCCTCTCCTAGTCCACTGACTAAAATGATAATCTCCTTTGGCAACACCCTCACACACACACCCAGGAACAATACTTTGCATCCTCACTCCAATCAGGTTGACACTCAATATTAACCATTACATATGGTCAATGTTGTTCAAAACATTATTTAAAATTACATTTTACAATCATTTTGATAAGCTTTTGTGATGCTGGAGCAGCATCCTGATAAGTGTATCACTTGTGAAAGCAATACATTACAACCTGTTTTTATACTACTCTATTCTTGCTGTAAACAAATTTCTACTTTAGAAGAGTTCAAAGGACCATAAATGTTGTCTAGAAACATGGAAAATACTTAAAGAATAATGGAGTCCAAGGGCAAGAATCTACATCTGTGAAGTAAAATATGTACAAAAATTATTTGTAACATTTTTCAGTGTTATTTTTAGAATTATCTTAGGATTTGCCCAGAATCTGTTAATAAAATAATTTACAGTGTCACAGACAAAAGTTTTTGTCTTAAAGAGTTTCACATTTTCTGAATTTAGAAAAAGTACTAAAAATAGACCAAGAAGCCAGAGAAACCAGCTTTACCCAAGACTAACAATGTCACATTTAGAAAATTAGATGTTTTATTACTCATTCTGAAGGTTAGGATAATGACCCAGCTTCCTGAATTATACCAGAAGTCTAGTTGTGGTCAGGAAATATCAACGGTTGCATAGCGACCCATGCTCTGGACTGGAGAAAACATAGTGTTCATGGAATTTTGTCCTTTCCTCTAGTGCTGGTTTGTGTGCTGTTTCTTGTTCAGGAGCATAGGAGCTTAGAAAGTAATTTCCTTAAAAGATAATAGGCAGCCAGTTAGGTCTGCCTGTGGTCCCATCCTCACCTTCTAAGAAGCAATTCTGAGATTACATCAATTGACAGAGGATTATTTTTATGAAGTTGAATTAAATACAAAGCCCTCAACTTCTTCACCAATCCTTTTTAAAACTCTCCCACATTGAAACAAGAGTTTTGGCACCACACTCAGAAATGAATGTTGAAAACTGAATTGTTTAATCATGTTGTTTTATCTCTCTTCTGCCTAATTTTATTCTTTTTAACATATATTTTAATGCAAAATATTTCTACATGGTTTATTCTGAAAAGCAGTAATCAATTGATCCCTCCCCTTTTCTTTCTCTTCCATAGGGGCAACCATTTCCAACTATTCTGGCTTTTAATTTTAGCATTTAACTCCTTATCTGCAATTAATATATTTATAATGCTAATTGATAATTTTTAATTTTAGTCATTTATTAAATTTCCTCTGCAGAACATGAGAACTTAGCTTCCTTTCATGCTTATCCCTCCCCAAAGTACAGATTTTTCTCTTTCTTTCATCCTTCTTATAAAGATAAAACTTAATTTTAATAAAATATTCAGTATTGCATCATAATGACTATGTTAAATACTTTCGAACCTAAGCCATGATGCTTTTTTTCTTTTTGTATAACTTTTTAGTTTACTTAATATGTACCTACATTACCTGGGTTTCTGGGTATCTAGCAGACTTAATGTCACTGGTAGAAGTGCATTATACTAATTTCATTTCTTTGTGGTGCTCTGACCTTCCCATCAAAACTGGACTACTCAACTCTAGGCCTGCTGCCTAGCCATCATCACAGCATCCCTCTATCATTCTTCCATGATATTCCCTTTTCTCTCACTTGTGTTGGGTATCCTGAAGTTCATTTTTCTCTCTCTCAGTTTTCTCCTTCTGGAATAGTACATTCTCCCATAGCTTCCTAAGAAATGGTAAGCTGTAAGTTAATTTTCTAAGAATATTCATTTCTGGAATGCCTTATTTGTTCACCAAACAAATCTTTTTTTTTTTTTTTTTTTAGAGACAGGGTCTGACTCTGTCACCCAGGCTGGGGTACAATGGCATAATCACGGCTCACAATTCCTGGGCCCAAGCGATCCTACTGCCTCAACCTCCTTAGTAGCTAGGACTATGGATGGGCACCACCATGCCTGGGTAATTTTTTTTTTATTTTTATTTTTTCTGAGAGAGAGTCTCGCTCTGTCACACCAGGCTAGAGTGCAGTGAGTGGCGCAATCTCGGTTCACTGCAACCTCCACCTCCCAGGTTCAAGCGATTCTCCTGCCTCAACCTCCCGAGTAGCTGGGACTACAGGCGTGTGTCACCACGCCCAGCTAATTTTTTGTATTTTTAGTAGAGACGGGGTTTCACTATGTTAGCCGGGATGGTCTCAATCTCCTGACCTCGTAATCTGCCCACCTCGGCCTCCCAAAGTGCTGGGATTACAGGCGTGAGCCACAGCACTTGGTTATGCCTGGGGAATTTTTTAAAATTTTTTCTACAGAAGGAATCTCACTATGTTGCCCCAGCAGGTCTTGAACTCCTGGTCTCAAACATTCCTCCCCCTCAGGCCTCCCAAAGTGCTGGGGTTATAAATCTGAGCCTCTAGGCCTAGCCACCAGACAAATCTTGACTCATGTCTCAAGATAGGTCAGTTCTTACCTTCTCAAGGAAAACTTTTCTGATTGCTGTTGGCAAAGTTAAGCTTTATCGCCTATGTGCTTCTATATAATTTCATTCATTCACAAATTTACTTATTCATCTACCCATTCATTCATTCATACATCCAGCAAATATTTATTGAATACTCTCAAAGGCCAGGCACTGGCTAGGGACAAAGTTGAAGAAATCACACTAGATTTGAGTTTGTTCATGCAAGAGAAGCCAGTAAAAGAGACTGAGAAAGGGGCCAATGACAAAGGGCCAATCAGACAAGTGTGATGTTACAAAAAAGGGAGTGTTTTGTGAAGAAAAAGATAATCGACTTTGTTAGATGATATTGAGAGGTATAGTAAGATAAAAACCAGAAGTATGCACTTAAGGTAACAACACAGACATCATTGATGACTTTGGTAAAAGCAATTTCTTTGGCGTATTGGGCAGGAAACTTCACTGAAGCAAGCTGAAAGAAGAAATCAGGGAAGCAGAGATAGAAAACATAGGTAGCTCTCTGGAGAATTGTCTGGCAAAGGGAGCAGAGAAGTGACGTCGTATTTGATGAAGAATGTGTGGTTAAATCACACACACAAAAAAGTGCAGCATGGAAAATGCTGCTAGGACTCATCTGATAGAATCGGAGAGGCTGAGATGTAAGAAAGAGGGGCCCCCAAAGAATCTTCTAGCTCTCGCTCTTTGTCACTCTCTGTTCAACCCTATATATCTGTCTTCTAGGTGATGATTTTTTCCCTTATTTTGTTCATTGTTGTAAATTAATTATGAGTGGAACATTCAATAGATTTCTCAAAATCAAAATTAGGTTCATTTTTTCCTAATTCAACTTCTCAGTCCACTGAAATATTATTTATCCCTGGGATAAAGTTCTGGCCCTACTTAAAAATGATCTGAGCTTGGGCAGGTGACATAACTAAGTTTGCTACAGTTTCATTAAAATAGGCTTAATAGTAACACTTAACCATAAACTGTTTTAAGACTTAAATGACACACTAGTAGGCCGGGCATGGTGGCTCATATCTGTAATCCTAGCACTTTGGGAGATGGAGGCAAAGTGGATCACTTAAGCTCAGGAGTTTGAGACCAGCCTGGGCAACATGGTGAAACGCTGTCTCTACAAAAAAAAATACAAAAATTAGCCAGGCGTAGAGACTCATGCCTGTAGTCCCAGCTACTTTTGGGGCCGAGGTTGGGGGAGCGCTTGAGTCCAGGAGACAGAGATTGCAGTGAGCCGAGATTGCACCACTGCACTCCAGCCTCACTAGTAAAGCACGTAGAACAATGCCTGATACACATTAAAGACTCAATAAATATTAGCTGTTGTGTGGCTATTGTTGTCATCATCAATCAACTCTCTCTTCTTAATTGTCATCATTGTCATTTGAGGCTGAGAAGGGAGGAGAACGGGTGGCTGCAAATAAATAACATTTTGCCTAAAACCTGTCCCCTTAGGTGGAGGTAGGGGCACATTTTCACTTTTGTTTGACCTATCACACACACACACAAATGGAATGCTCATGTGTGGCACCAATTCTGATGTTATAATGTTCAAATTTTTCCATGTTGGAGTTTTAAAGGATTAAGCCAAATATAATTTTCTGTGAAAAATATAAAGTCTGAAGTCTCTATAAATTTTGTATATGAAATAAAATTACTTTTGAGTTTATTGCCTTCAACTGTAGCTCAAGAAAACAGCAAAATAGCAAAACCAGGCAGTTGTGTGGTCTTTTGCTAACTCTTTGAAAAAACTACTTGTCATATCTGTCCACTTTACCTGCCTTATAAGTTTATTTCAGGATGCTCTCTCAGGCTTCCAACCCTGTTTACTGAAATTCTGTCTCCTGCCAAATCACTTTATTTTTTCATAATACAATGAAAAATGTCAATTAACAAATAGTAACTAACAATAGAAGATTTAATGTTTTAAAATGTGAGAATGAGCCAGGCACGGTGGCTCACGCCTGTAATCCCAGCACTTTGGGATGCCAGGGTGGGTGGATCACCTGAGGCCGGGAGTTCAAGATTGAGACCATCCTTGCCAATGTGGTGAAACCTCGTCTCTACCAAAAACACAAAAATTGGGCCAGGCGCGGTTGCTCACGCCTGTAATCCCAGCACTTTGGGAGGCCAAGGCGGGCAGATCACGAGGTCAGATCGAGACCATCCTGGCCAACATAGTGAAACTCCATCTCTACTAAAATACAAAAAACATTAGCCGGGCATGGTGGCTCGTGCCTGTAATCCCAGCTCTGTAATCCCAGCTACTCAGGAGGCTGAGGCAAGAGAATCCCTTGAACCAGGGAGTCAGATGTTGTAGTGAGCCAAGATCGCGCCATAGCACTCCAGCCTGGCGACAGAGTAAGACTCCATCTCAAAAAAATATATATACAAAAATTAGCCCAGTGTGGTGGTGCGTGCCTGTAACCCCAGCTACTCAGGAGGCTGAGGCACAAGAATCGCTTGAATCCAGGAGACGGAGATTGCACCACTGCACTCCAGCCTGGGCCACAGAGCGAGACTCTGTCTCAAAAATAAAATAAAATAAGATAAGATAAAATGTGAAAATGGAAAAGTTTCAACAAAAGATACGATACATATATACATTTCAGTCACTTATATATAATCACAACTTAAAGAAATGCAGAGGATGGGATTTTATAACGCTGCGATACACACAAAAAACTATAACAAAAACATGAGCTGAGGGATAAGCACCTAACTCCCAGTTAAATCAGTGTGCTAACAGATTTGTTTCCCAAATGGCCAATAGATTATATTAGCAGTACCAGCAAATTAAAATAAATTTTGTTTCCCCATTTGTAAAAGGTGGTTTTAAATAATCTTGACTATAATCAGACTATTGTGGAGTGTTTAGTCAAAGATCTTTTAAGGAGGTCAAGTACAAAAATGGTTGAGTTCTTCTGCAACAATGATGAAAATGACAGAGCCAGTTAGAATATCAAAGATTAAACATGAAAAGAACCTGAGAAATCATCTCACCTTAATCTCTTAAATTATGTAGAGAAAAATTGAATGTCAAGAATTTTGAAGGGTCTGAGATTTTACCCTGCCTGCAAGCTAATGCATTACCCTGTCTACAGTTTTGTATGCGCTGGTAGAAGACATGAGACCACGGGGTCAGAAACAAAAGACTTTACTATCCAGGCCACAGCAGGCAACATGAGCTTCATGTTCATACTGATATCCTGTTTCCAAGTACCATATGGTGATGAGGATGTGGGCCTACATAGATACTGCACATGCAGTAGAATTGTGTTACAGTAGTTGAGATACCCTCAGCTTAGGAAACCCTCAATCTTATAGGGAGAATGCTAGCAAACCTGCCTAATATTTCTCAGGAAGGAAAAAATTATATTTATCATCCTGGTTAGGAAACAAATCTGTCACCTGACCTGGAAGGAGATATTAGGCATATAAACAGAACAAAGATGTGAAAGCCTCTTGCCCAGATGCCCAAAAATATGAGAGACACATAGAGAATTGTCTCCCAACACTGAGATCTAGTGAGGAGAAAGAGATTATTTAAGATCACCAACTAAAGTGCTGAATTCTTAACTAGTACAAAAAAAATGGTACAAATACATAATTTAATATTTGGTAGATAGGTGGACAAAGCCCAAGGTGACATCTTAATAAGTTAATCTCCTTTCCTTGAGGGCAGGCAGAATCTGTGACTTAGTTTTCATTAATAGAATATGCTAAAGGTGATGCAATGACACTCCCATGATTAGGTTACTCTATGTGTCTATCTAGATCTATCTATAGCTTAGCATACCTGAAGTATATAAAAGGTCATATATGTATGACTGCTAGCAGACCAAAGTTGAGACCTTCTAACCTTGAAGAAACAAACTCCCATGTTGCAACTGCCTATGTAAAGGTTCATGTAGCGGGAAATTATGAGTGGCCTCTAGGGTCTGACAGCCAATAAAACCTGGGGCCTCAGTCATACAGCCACAAAGATCAGAATTCTGCCAACAACCTAAATGAGCTCAGAAGCAGATTCTTTCCTAGTTGAGCCTCCAGATAAGACAGTGGTTTAGCCAACGTGTTGACTGCAGCTTTTTGAAACACTCAGCAGAGGACCCAGTTAAGCTGGGCCCAGGCTCCTGACCCAGAGAAACTGTGGAATATATGTTGTCTTATGGTGCCAAATTTGCAGTAATCTGTTACATAGCAATAGAAAACTAATACACGACGGGCGCGGTGGCTCAAGCCTGTAATCCCAGCACTTAGGGAGGCCGAGGCGGGCGGATCACGAGGTCAGGAGATCAAGACCATCCTGGTTAACGCGGTGAAATCCTGTCTCTACTAAAAATACAAAAAAATTAGCCGGGCGTAGTGGCGGGCGCCTGTAGTCCCAGCTACTCGGGAGGCTGAGGCAGGAGAATGGCGTGAACCCAGGAGACGGAGTTTGCAGTGAGCCGAGATCACGCCACTGCACTCCAGCCTGGGGGACAGAGTGAGACTCCGTCTCAAAAAAAAAAAGAAAGAAAACTAATACAATAGCTCAGCGTAGACCAGAATTTAACCTGTTGGACACCTTCTTTTTTTGTCACAATAAAATAGAAATGAGATCTTCTTGAAATTTATCCTGTAACTATATTGGTCTTGGCCTGGAAGGCTTAAGCTGACCCTACTTAGATCATTCCTTAGATTGTCTAAATTATTTCTACCAATAAATCTGGTTGGTTGGTTGTTTGTCTTGCTTCATAGTCACCCCATCCAGAATAGAACCAAAGTTAAAAAGCCCTTCAGTTGATTCCCCATTCCCACTGGTGAAACCCCATCAATTATCCCAATCCACAGTCTTTATTGAAACTCTACAATTTGCATATTACTATAAAATTTAGCACTTAGTTGTTCTTACCAGTTGTAATTTTTTCCAGCATAATTGTATGTCCTCTCTTTTTCTTACAGATATTTTTATATTTCTATGACATTTGACACAGAGTTAGGCAAAAGGAGATGCTCTTAAGTATGTGTTGTTTGACAAACATGATCTGAGTTTTCAGAAGTTCCTGCTAACAACTGATCTGCCCTGGATACTGTAGAATTTATTTAGTACAAAATTGTCACCTCCTTTACCCAGTCAGTTTTGGTTTATCCCAAAATCCTCAGGACTGAGTTATTACAAAAAAGAAGAAGAAGGAGGAGGAGGAGAGGAGGAAGGAAGGGAAGGAAGGGAAGGAAGGGAAGGAAGGGAAGGAAGGAGAAGAAGGAGGAGAAGGAGAAGAAGGAGAAGAAGGAGGAGAAGGAGGAGAAGAAGGAGAAGAAGGAGGAGAAGGAGGAGAAGAAGGAGAAGGAGGAGAAGAAGGAGAAGGAGGAGAAGAAGGAGGAGAATGAGGAGAAGAAGAAGGAGGAGGAGGAGGAGAAGGAGAAGGAGAAGAAACAACCACCTCTGGAAAAAAATAAGATCTTAGGTCACTTTTGGAGTTAGTTCTATTTTTAGTCACCATGTAATATAACTTATACATAGGTCAGAGGGCACATCCATTTGAATACTCGGGATCATCTAAAAATTAAATTAGAGTTTCAACATATTTGCTCCAAAAAGAAGAATAAAATAAATAATTCAAAGATCATAAAAATGAGGAGAAAAAAATATTCAAGATAACAGTGGCTCACGCCTGTAATCCCAGCACTCTAGGAGGCTGAGGCAGGTGGATCACTTGAGGTCAGGAGTTCGATAATAGCCTGGCCAACATGGTGAAACCTCATTTCCACTAAAAATACAAAAATTAGCCAGGTGTGGTGGCAGGCATCTGTAATCCCAGCTGCTTGAAAGGCTGAGGCATGAGAATTGCTTGAACCCAGGAGGCAGAGTTTGCAATGAGGTGACAGTGCCACTGCACTCCAGCCTGGGCTACGGAGTGAGATTCTGTCTCAAAAAAAAAAAAAAAAGAAATGTCAAAGATACAAGATACTTCTAAAATTGCAGACTGTTATAAACAAACAAACAAATATGTGTCTATCATTATCGGATGCTGATAAATCTAGGCTATAATTTCATTAGCCATAATTTTAGACCAGTCACTCCTCATAACTAGAATTCTCTATAGTGGCAAGCAGCCAGCTTGCTTCGGATGATGTGTCATAAAACTACATCATAAACCTTTTGCATTTCACCCCAAACTGGAATATATCTGTCAAGATAAAGTAGTAAATAGTGTCAGGTTTGGCTTTCTGCCTTAAAAAAAGAACTAATCAGGCCAAAAAGATTGATAGTGATTGCTATGACTCTTACATCCTTGCACATTTTCTACAGTGACTATTAGGGAACAAAAGCCAAACATTTGTAAAAATCTAGTCATTAAAAAAAAACCTTCTTAACCTAGAAACAAAGTGCTAACAGGGTGCTATTGGGATATTTTTTGACCTATCCATATTTGAGAAATAGTCTCTCTTTCTTCCTCTTTCTGTCTCAAACATACACATATGCATACACACAATTTGAAGTTTCTTCTTATCTCTTATTTACATGAAACTGTTTGAGGAATTTCAAAATTATAAAAACATTGAACCAATCCTACTGCCATTTTAGCCGTAAACCAACAGCTATTTACTGATTCCTTTTGAAAATCACTGTGTTGGCCAGGCACAGTCACTCACGCCTGTGATCCAAGCACTTCAGGCGACTGAGGTAGGAGAATCACTCGAGCCCAGGAGTTTGAGACCTGCCTTGGCAGAGTGAGGCCACATCTCAACAAATGATAAAAAAATTAGCTAGGCATGGTGGCTTGTGCCTGTGATCCCAGCTACTTATGAAGCTGAAGGAGGAGGCTCTCTTGACCCTAGGAGTTTAAGGTTGCTGTGAGCTAGAACTGTGCCACTGTAATTCAGCCTGGGCCACAGAGTGAGACCCCTGTTTCAAAAAAGAAAAAAAAAAAAACTGGCATAATTTTAAATCACAAAGTCTAAGTAGATTTAGGGCTCAGTATGTATTTGGAGAATTCACAATAGCAAAACAAGCAAAGAAAACAGCATCAAAACTGAGAGAATTCATCACAAGCATATCTGCCCTACAAGAAACACTAATGGAAGTTTGTCAGACTGAAGGGCAATGACACCAGATGGAAACTTAGTTTCATAATAAAAAGAGTACTGTAAATGCTGTTTTTTAAAAATATATTGTTAATGTACTTATAAGAATACTATATTTTAGGGATTATAATGTATGTATATTTATAATATATGACAAAGGTCAAGGCAGGTAGATCACTTGAGGTCAGGCGTTTGAGACCAGCCTGGCCAACATGGCGAAACCCCATCTCTACTAAAAATACAAAAAAATTAGCTGGCTGTGGTGGTGCGTGCCTGTAGTCCCAGCTACTAGGGAGGCTGAGGCAGGAGACTTGCTTGAACCGGGGAGGTGAAGGAGGCTGCAATGAGTCAAGATCACACCACTGCACTCCAGCTTGGGCAGCAGAGCGAGACTCCATCTCAAAATATATATATATATATATATATATAGACACACACACATATATACGTGTGTGTATATATATATACATACATATATATGACAGTAATACTACGAAGAATGAATGGGGTAAGTGAAAATATAGTGCTATGTAGTTTTTATATTATATGTAACTTAGTATAAGTTATGTATTAGTTACAGAAAGACTGTGATGTTATGTATGCATGACTAAGTAACTACTGAAAATAAAAGTATTTTAAAAGCAATCAGAGGAATTATATTTAAAATGATGTTAAAAATAGTATATACATCGATATATAAAGTAAACTTCATGACAAAGACTATTTCCAGAGTTAAAAGTTACATTTCGTAATGATAATAGGGGCAATTCATCAGGAAGCATAATTCACATAAATATATATGCATTTAAATTTACATAGCTTCAAAATACAAGAAACAAAATTAACAAATGAGAGAAACAAATCTATAGTAATAGCTAGAGATTTTAACTCATATCCCAGTAATTTATGGAATAATTTAAATAAAAGTCCAGTAAGAATTCAGAGATTTGGATTTCAATCTCAGTCACTTTGACCTAATGGATCAAGGTGGTTTTATAGAACATTATATATAATATAGAACATTATTTATAATAACCTCAGGATACACATTATTTTAAAGAATACATGAGATTTTCACAAAAATAGACCATATGATGGATTCTGCATATAGTAAATGTTAACACATTTTTAAAGATTGAAATATTACACAGTAGTTTCTCTGAACACAACGTAATTAAATTGTACATAAATTACAATAGATTAACTAAGAAAGCTCCCCAAATTTTGAAATTAAACACCAAATTTATAAATAAACAAATAAATGACAAAAAAACACAAAGGAAATTTGAAAATGTTATGTTCTAGGCAGACAGAATGAAAATACAACAAAATTTATAGGATACAGCTAAGCAGTGTTTAGAGGAAAACTTAAAGTTTTAAATCTTGTATTAGAAAAGAAGCTTTTAAAATGACCACGTTTCTATGTTAAGAAGCTATGGAAAGAAGAGCAAATTAAACCCAAAATAGACGGTCATAAGAGCAGAAACAAGTAAAATATTAAATAGACAATAAGGAAAATTAACTCAATAAAAGTTGAATCTTTAGAAAGAGTAATACAATAGAAAAATCCCTAAAGACAGACTTAAAATAAGAAAAAAATACATATTGGCAATATTATGAATAAAAAGAGGGGCTATAAATATCAAACAAATAATGAGAGAATGTAATGATCAGCTTTGTACCAATACATTTAACAACATATATAAAAGGTACAAATTTACTGAAAAATACAACTTAATAAAAGTGAAATAGAAATAAAATTTGAATGATCCTTTGTCTATTAAATAAATTGAATTTGGACTAAAAAATATTCTACCAAAACAAACCAAAAAATCCCTCTAAGCCAAGTTGGTTTCACTTATGATTTCTAGTAAATGGGTTTCAGCGGGCTAAAATCAAGGTGTCTGCAGTACTGAGTTCCTTCCTTGAGGCTCAAGAGAGGATTCCAATTTACTCATCTATTCCAGATTCTAGAGGCTGCCCACATTCCTTGGCTTGTGGCTTTCTTCCATCTTCAAAGGCAGCAAAAGCCAGTGAAGTCATTCTCACATTGCATCACTGTGATTCTGACTCTTCCACCCTTTTCCACATATAAGGACTTTGGTGATTACATTGTGCCCACTTGGATAATCTAGGATAATCTCATAATTTTAAGGTCAGGTGATTAGCACCCTTAATTCCATCTGCTACTTTAATTTCTGGGGATTAGGGCATGCACATCTCTGGGGAGCCACTATTCTGCCTACCACAATCTGTATCTCCACATACTAATAACACACTCCTTGTTACTTGAGAATGAATTGCACACATCTTACTTCAGAACAAATCGCTGACATCATATCATCTCATTCAGACCTATTTCAGTATGTATTTTTTTTTAAATAAGGATTCTACTAGCCAGGCATGGGGCAAGCACCTGCAGTCCCAAATACTTGGAGTTAAGTGGGAGGGTTGCTTGAGCTCAGAAGTTCAAGGGTCCAGTGAGCTTTGATAGTGCCCCTGCACTCCAGCTCGAGCAACAGAGGGAGACCCCATCTTGAAAAAAAAAAAAAGATAAAAATTATTTTAAAAAGACAACAATCACACCTAAAAAAATCAGTAATAATTTCTTGGCAGGTGCAGTGGCTACACCTGTAATCTCTAGCAGTTTGGGAGGCCAAGGCGAGTGGATCACTTGACCTCAGGAGTTCAAGACCAGCCTGGGCAACTTGGTGAGACCCCCATCTCTATAAAAAATACAAAACTTAGCCAGGTGTGATGATGCATGCCTGTAGGCCCAGCTACTTGGAGGGCTGAGGCGAGAGGATCCCTTGAGCCCAGGAGGTGGAGGTTGCAGTGAGCCGAGATCGCACCACTTCACTTCAGTCTGGGTGACAGCGTGAGACCTTGTCTCAAAATAATAATAATAATTTCTTTAAATTATCAATTATTGTCTTAAGAGTAACTATTCAGTAATTAAATTACTCTTATTCAAATATAATTTTTAAACTATTTTTCAATTTGTTTGAAACAGAATTCAAACAGAATTCATATGCCATTGAATAATTTTCTATTAAAAGGACAATATTTCTGAGGATTCCCTAATATTAAATTATTTTAATTATATTGTTGACTAAATACATACAAACATGAAACCAGAGATAAATTCCTCAAATGTGAATCTCATACATTTATAAAATCAAAAATATTCTTGAAAGAAACCTATGACCCCAGTTTGAGAAACATTGTTCCTGCGTCATTGTCTGCAGAGTTCATTTTAAAATTAGTTTTTTATGTCTTGTGAGTGCTCATTATTGCCTAAACTATTGCTTACTTTCTTGTTTCATAGTCATTTTTACAAACACATTTTGGTCACCTACTATATGCCAGTCACTTCTCCTAGCTACCAGAAACAAAAAGGGGAAGAAGACTTGCTTAATGGCTCATAGTGAACTTTTCAAAAAATTTTGTATTCTCAGAACAACTGTAATACGAGCTCTGTGAAGGTGGGAACCAGCTCTTAGGCATCTTTGATTCCCCAGAAGGCCAAACAGAGTGCATTTACAAAGTCATTACTCAATCAATGTTCAATAATTAATTAGAGTTAGAAGCCTATATTTTAATCAGTCTGTTAAATGTGACAGGCAGACCTGGACAGGAAGTACCATGTTACTACACAGTATTCTCTTTTCTGCTGAAAAGAAGAAGAGGTGAGTCCGTGTGCGTTGGCAGTTATGGTGAAGACACAGTTGCTTGGTGAAAGCGACAGGTGTAACAGCCACTGTGGTAACTTGGAGCCAAGCAAGCTATAAAGCTGACCTCCTCAGTGCAGATCCTTACCAGTCAGTATAATAGATGGATAGCTATTATGGGTCAACAGTGATGAATACGATTTGCTCAAAATAACCCAACATATTCAGCTCTTTGGGGACAGTGAACATTTATCACTGATTGTTAATCCTTTCAGGAGTCCATTTCAAGGCTAGCAAGGTTCTTTTCTGGATTTATTTTTCCTTTGTGTATCAGGCCCAGAGTCCTACTCATTCAGAAAAATGTTTACTTTCAGGGGCTATGCTAGGTATGTATCTCCTGGGTATTTAATCATGGAACTGCATGGTAGATGAGTCCCAGATCCTAAGGCTAACTTGCTACCCTCTTTCCAGCACGTACAAAAAAGAGAGACTCTTTGGCTTGCATTGTTAAATGACATCTGGTACAAATTTCAGTATAACACCTGAAATGGATTAGACATTGATAGACAGTAATACGTTTTAAAACAATAGATTAATCTATTAATTCTCAAAGAGCAAAGGCCTCAGGAAAAGTATGCTCAGGGAGTACAAAGGAGTTTTGAAACACATAGCACATGTTGCAACTGTCCAAGTGGGTAGGTAAAATTTTGTGGCCTTGAGGAGAATGGGAGCATAGAGACACTAAAAAAGGAGAGCTATATCCCAATTTCATAAATCTGGGGTTCTTACTTATGTTCATGCTCATCCCTGAGTATAGGATAAATCCTTTATGTGCAGAGGCCAGATTGTGCATGTCTTTGCGCCCCAACTGTGCAACTCAAAGCATCTTTATAGGCCAACATCATCATCATCATCACCATCATCATCATCATCATCATCACCATCATCATCATCATCATCATCATCATCTAGGAGCTTATGAGAAATGCAGCATCACAGGCCCCACCCCTGCCATACTGAATCAGGATCTGCATTAAAAAATATCTTCAGGCTGGGCGCGGTGGCACACGTCTGTAATCTCAGCACTTTGGGAGACCGAGGCGGACGGATCATGAGGTCAGGAGATCGAGACCATCCTGGCTAACACGGTGAAACCCCGTCTCTACTAAAAATACAAAAAATTAGCTGGGCGTGGTGGCGGGCACCCGTAGTCCCAGCTACTCCGGAGGCTGAGGCAGGAGAATGGCATGAACCCAGGAGGCGGAGCTTGCAGTGAGCTGAGATCATGCTACTGCACTCCAGCCTGGGGACAGAGCAAGACTCCATTTCAAAAAAAAAATCTTCAGGCCAGGCTCAGTGTCTCACACCTGTAATCCCAGCACTTTGGGAGGCCAAGGTGGGCCGATCACTTGGGGTCAGGAGTTCAAGACCAGCCTGGTCAACATGGTGAAATCCCGTCTCTATCAAAATACAAAAATTAGCTGGGCGTGGTGGTGGGCACCTGTAGTCTCAGCTACATGGGAGGCTGGAGGCAGGAGAATCCCTTGAACCTGGGAGGTGGAGGTTGCAGTGAGCTGAGATCACGGCACTGCACTCCAGCCTGGGTGACAGAGTGAGATTCTGGCTCAAAACAAAACAAAACAAAATCCTCAAGTGATTTGAATATATGTGAAAGTTTAAGAAACATGCCTCTATAGTACTAGCATAGTGCCTTATGCACCATAAGACTCACTACATGTATTTAATTACCCTAGAAAAACAAAGGCATAATAAACTATAAATTGGTTAGGTCTGTAGATCTGAGAGATATAACAGTCTGAGAGAAAAAGATAAAATGCAGGCGCACTATAACAACATGTACCTATCAAAGATATTGTGGGTTTTTTTTAATCCATCATAACAACATGCCAAAAGAATAGATGTTCTAGAGCATCTACTCTTTTTTTTCTTTTTTTTCTTTTCCTTTTCTTTTTTTTTTTTTTGAGACTAGGTCTCATTCTGTTGCCCAGGATGGAGTGCAGTGGCACAGTCCTGTCTCACAGCAGCCTCAACCTCCTAGGCTCAAGCAATCCTCCTCCTTCAGCCTCCCAAGTAGCTGGGACTACAGGTATGTGCCACCACACCCAGCTAATTTTTTTTTTTTTTTAGAAATGGAGTCTCTAAGTGTTGCCCAGGCTGCTCTTGAACTCCTGACCCCAAGCAACTCTCCTAAAGTGGTTCCTAAAGTGGAGAGATTAAAGGCATGAGCCACTGTGCCCGGCCAAGTATCTGCTTTCAAAGTGAGATGTTTGCCCCTAGAGGTATAAAAAACAATTCAATGGTACATAAGGTGAACATATTAAAATTTTTCTTTACATTTTTATTTTTTAAAGGAGCTATACTAATAGTTTAGCATTCAGATTGACATTGGTACCTATACTCAATCCATATGTAAAATAGTTCATGAGATTAATAGCAGCACTCTCAGATTATTGAAATTTTCTCTAGTTTATGTGTGTCTTGTTAAATGAATGCAACTAAGTGGACAAATGACTTCGGAAGATTCCTTCAAGGGAAATGCAGATTTAAAATAATTCAAATAGGCCAGCCATGGTGGTTCACGCCTGTAATCCCAGCACTTTGGGAGGCCAAGGCTGGCAGATCACCTGAGGTCAAGAGTTCAAGACCAGCCTGGCCAACATGGTGAAGCCCCGTCTCTACAAAAATTAGCCAGGCATGATGGTGGGTGCCTATAATCCCAGCTACTCAGGTGGCTGAGGCAGGAGAATCACTTGAGGCTGGGAAGCAGAGGTTGCAATGAGCAGAGATTGTGCCATTGCACTTTAGCCTGAGCAACAGAGCAAGTCTCCATCTCAAAAAAAAAAAAAAAAAAAAAAAAAAAAAGATAATTTAAATATAAGGAGAGGAGACCAGTAACACAAAAGGCAAAGTGGGCAGTTATAATCTTTTTTTTTTTGTTTTTTTCGAGACAGGGTCTCGCTCTGTCGCCCAGGCTGGAGTGCAGTGGCGAAGTCTCAGCTCACTGTAACCTCCTCCTCCTGGGCTCAAGTGATCCTCCCACATCAGCGCCTTAAGTAGCTGAGACCACCACACCCAGCTATTTTTTGTATTTTTTGAAGAAATGAAGTTTCACTATTTTGCCCAGGCTGGTCTTGAACTCCTGAGTTCAAGCGATCCTCCTGACTCAGCCTCCCAAGGTGCTGGGATACAGGAATGAGCCACCACACCTGGCCAGTCATAGTCCTTAAGCAGGCTCTTTATTGGTCACATTCCAGATAAAAACAATGACAATCAAATCAAGCCTAACCTGATGTCAGCCAAAAATCCTAAAATGACCAAAAAGTTTATTTGAAATATGTACTTATACCCACATGAAGATCTTTATCATTTTTTTACTAAATATATGTTTAATTACTTTATTATTTAAAGTTTTTTTAAAAACACCATAATTTATGATGAGCTTGTCCTACACATGCATTGCCATTTCTGCATATTGTGCTTCGTGAGGCAGATCTTCCAGGAGGCCAGCTGATAAGCTAAGATCTGAAGATAACTTAGAAAAAAAAAAGCAAGAAGCAGAACGCTGCATAAAACGAGTTATAATTTTTGGAAGAAAGAAACCCACAATGCATTTTAAATGTAAATACACATCATCATAAAATTTTATTATTCCAGCCTGGGTGACATAACAAAACCATATCTCTACAAAAAAAATACAAAAATTAGCTGGGCGTGGTGGTGCATTCGTGTAGTCCCAACTACTAGGGAGGCTGAGGTGGGAGGATCACCTGAGTCTAGGAGGTCAAGGCTACAGTGAGCCATGATTGCACCACTGTACTCCAGCCTGGGTGACAGAGTGACCCTGTCTCAAAAAAAGAAAGAGAGAGAGAGAAGTAAGTAAGGAAGAAGGAAGGAAAGGGAAGTGAAGGGGAGGGGAGGGGAAGGGAGGGGAGGGGGAGGGAAGGGAAGGAGAGAGGGAAAGAAGGAAAGAAAGGAGAAAGAAAAAGAAAGAAGGAAAGGAAGAAAGAAAGAAATTTTAGAATATTGAGGTCAAAGAGAGGAAGTCATAGTTAAGGATCAGTAATTAGAACACCTTTAGACCTCTCCACAGCAATATAGAAGCAAGAACACAATGAAAGAATGCCTTCATTATTCTGAAGACAAATTATTTTTATTTCAGAATTCAATATCCAACCAAATTATTAATCAGTGTGAGGATAGAATACAGATATTTTAGACATGCAATTTCTCAAAAAAAAATTACTTCTCAGAAAGCTCTTTTCCAAAAAGCTATAGATATGCTTGATTAAAATACAGTTATGAACCAAGAAAGAGGAAGACATGTAGTACCAAAAGTCAGGGGATCAAAACCAGGAGCAAGGGAAGATAAAGATAAAGAGAAATCCTGGATAAGAGGAGAGGGCAAGGCCGGGCACAGTGGTTCACGCCTGTAATCCCAGCTCTTTGGGAGGCCAAGGCAGGAGGATCACTTGAGGCCAGGAGTTCAAGACCAGCCTAGGCAATGTGGCAAAACCCCATCTGCACAAAAAAACAAAAACAAAAAATGTTAGCTGGGCATGGTGGCGCTTGCCTGTAGTCCCAGCGACTTGGGAGCCTGAGGCAGGGGTACTACTTGAGCCCGGGTGATCGAGGCTGCAGGGAACCATGATCTTACCACTCTACTCCCAGCTGGGCAACAGAGCAAGACCCTATCTCAAAAAAAAAAAAAAAAAAGAAAGAAAGAAAAGATAGGAAAAGAAAAAGAAAGGAGAGGACAAACACTCCTGTGTGGGGCACGTTGGAAGACTCTGGGAGATACTTCTGCAAAGATCATATTGACAGACTCCCTCAGTTGAGTGAGCATATTTAGAGGCTCAGGCAAACTGACAGAAGGCTTGAGGTTGACATTTATGGTGTGCTATTATGTAGGCAGATACTCTTCTAAGACACTTTGCATAGGAAACTTATGCAATAGATGTATTTATTGTACCTATTTTACAGAAAAGGAAAGAAAAGCACAGCAGATTAACTAGATAGCCCAAGATCACACAGCTAGTAAGAAGCATCACAGGGCTCAAAGCCAGGCAATCTGACTGCAGAAACTTTTTATTTTTATTTTCATATTTTTCTCTCCATTTCCACAGGTATCAACAGAGACTTTCCTGAAACCATCATTTTATACTGACTCCCCACGGGCATAGAAATGTTGCCAATTAAGAAAAAGAAGAAAAATTTAACTTCAGGAAAAGCAGAAAATTGTGTAAGAAAGGAAAAATAGCTACAATTGTCTACATGGTGGTGTTGTAAATGGCATTTTCATAGTCATAGTAACATAAACATTAAATAATAACCTAATATGCAGTGATGTTTAAAATATTGAGGCTGGGTGTGGTGGCTCATGCCTGTAATTCCAGCACTTTGCGAGGCCAAGGTGGGCTGATCACTTGGGGACAGGAGTCCGAGACCAGCCTGGCCAACATGGTGAAACCCTGTCTCTACTAAAAATACAAAAATTAGCCGAGCATGGTGGTGCACGCCTGTAGTCCCAGCTACTCGGGGGACTGAGGCAGGAGAATCCCTTGAACCCGGGAGGCGGAGGTTGCAGTGAGTTGAGATTTCACCGCTATGAGTTGAGATTTCACCGCTGCACTCCAGCCTGAGCAACAGAGTGAGACTCTGTCTCAAAAGAAAAAAAAAAAGAAAAAGAAAAAAAAAAGAAAAGGAAAGGAAACAAAAAAGAAAAGAAGAGAGGAGAAAAGAAAAAAGAAAAGAAGAGAAAAGAAAAGAAAACGCAAGCACATAACAACAGCAGGGGGAGCTGTCAGACTGCCACGCGGAACTGACAAACTCCCCAGCACGGTGCGGAGTTCTGGAGCAAAGATTAAAGGAATTTCACACTGGAAGGGACTGGGCAGGCCATTGTTCCACCACCTAGCTCAGACTTTTGGAAAAGAGAAGGACCTTTGTTTGAATATCTCGCTGGAGGCTATCAACTCACCACTTCTGGGAGCTGGGCAGCCAGTCCTTTCTTCCTTCCTTTTAAAAAATTGATATATAATAATTGTACATATTTATGTGGTACATGTGATATTTTGATGTATGTATGAACTACGGAATGATCAAATTAAGGTGGTAATTAAGATATCCACCACCTTAAACGTGTATCACTCCTTTGTGTCGGAAACATTCCAAATCTTCCAGCTATTTCACAATATACAATAAATTATTGTTAACTATTGTCACCCTTCCATGCTATCAAACCTATAACTTATTCCTTCTAACTGTATTTTTATACGCATTGACCTACCTCTCCTCATCCCCCACACCTGACATTTCTCAAAAGAAGACATACAAATGGCCAACAGGTAGATTAAAAATACTCAACATCACTAATCAGGAAAATGCAAATCAAAACCACAATTAGATATCATCTCACCCCAGTTGAAATGGCTATCATCAAACAGACAAAAAAATAACATATGCTGGGGAGGATGTGGAGGAAGGGGATGCTGGTACACTGTTGGTGGAAATAAAAACTAGTGAATCTTTTCTTGAAGGGAGACTTGAAGTGTGTCTCTTAGTATTAGCCAAGATATTTTTTTTCTGTTAAATTTACAGCCACAGTGCACATGTATTCATGTACTGTTTGCTGTTTATTTTCCATTTACCTACTTCAACATTTATGGTCATATTATTTTAAAATTAATAAAATAATTATTACATTAAAATTATTTTAGTATTAAATTCAATACAACGTGTGTGCTCATTTCAAATATAAAGGGATACGATGAAAACCAAGTTCCTAGGCCAGACTTCAGTTGCCCAAGATTTCCTTTCCAAAGGAACCACAATGATCATTTCTTGCATATCCTTGCAGAGATAGCTATTAATTAATAAGCATGAAGTGTTTAGAACATCCCCTAACTCAAGGCAAAGGCCATACAAGTGTCTGCTGTTAGTAACAATAATAGTATTGGAGGCGGAGGTGTTAGCAGCAGCAAGGTAATGGTAACAGTTGTAGCAATAGCACTCGTAGTTAGTTGTCTATATCTACTTTAATCTTTTTAAATGGCTGCATGGTATTATAACAGTGTAATATAATTCTTAAAACACTCCCCTACAGAAGGGACAAATGAATTACAAAAAGCTACTATAGTTACCATAGTCTTCTAAACTAATATAAAAGACAAATACATAAATTAGATGTGTCAAAAACAAATTATCAAGAAAAGTCTGCATGCCCTGAATTAGAGCACTAAAGGGAGAAGTGGGAAGACTTGGGCTAATTTGATGTCGAGTGTGGAGGAGCGGTAGGAGTCATATAATTATTCAGCTTCATCTAGTTAAATGTAAGTACTGGAAACTTACACCTAACACAGTGTAAGATGGCATTTCAACTGGCATATGCAAATGTGTTTATTGGCAGAGATTTCACAGACAGGGCCATTAACAAAACAGATTTCTAATTAAATCAGTTTCACGGGTAACTACTGAAAGTCTCTCCTCAAAAGATGGGGCCGTGCCCATAGCCTCAATGTTACCTTTGTATAGTACACACGTAAGTTGCAGAGGTATCTTAATTTCAGCAACTTCTCTCACACACAGATATTCTCACTTTATAGTAGCATAGCGTTTAAGAGAAATAACTCCGGGTCCACGTTGCCTGGGTGTTTGAATTGTGGGTCTGCCATTTATAGCTGGGTGACCTGGGGTAAATTACTTAACTTTTCTGAGCTTCCTCTTCCTTTTCAGTAAAATAGAAGTTATAATAATACCTGTCTCATAGAGTGGTTGTGACTATCAAATGAGTTAATGTATATGAAGGACTATGAGTGTTTGTTGCTATTAACAACGGTGTATCTTTTTTATTATATGTATCTCATTTTCAAACTTAATCCAGTTCTTGTCATGGAACATTTTAATGTTCAGTTGTGATTTAAATAATTTCACTTGAAAGGAAACCTTATCCAGATATTAAGTCTCTAGTGATTTATGAAGCCACAAGACTGAACCTAAAACCCAAAGTCATTCCATCAACAAGAAAGTTTTAGCCTTGGCATATTTGACAACAGAGCTGAAGAATATGGCCCTAGGAAAGGCTTTTGTAGTAGACCAGATATGAGAAACACTCGAAAGCAGTACACAGCATTTCCCAGAGGAAATCAGACCACTAGTACTTTAGAAATGATTAATAATGTTAATGAGTATTTAGCATCCTTGGAAGCATAGCTTAATTGACTACACAGTCCTAGGGGACTAAGAGAATGAAGTGTAAGAATGGAATCTTGGCTTTACTTGAGCCAATTTTTCAAGCCAAAAAAATTAAACAAGGATAGGAATACATGTGTCTGAATAGTTCTACTTAAAAAGTCAAGAGACATCAGGTCGTAGGATTAGGAAGGGAAAAAAACACGATTAATTTACATTGGGGTTGTACCATTGCTTTAAGCAACCTGTCCTTGCTTGTAGATGGAAATTTGGAATATAAAAAGTATGCTATCCCTAAATTTCAGGTAGCTTACATAACCTGAAAGCCACTTGCTCTACTTTCAGAGGGTGTTCCTAAAATAGAATTATTTATGGTGGAGAAAATTGTACTTTAAGGTGGAAATAGCTGAGGGAACCACAGACCCATGTGGTTTTTGGAAAAGAAAGCCCTAATTCTTTAGATGCATTATTAAAATTATCAGTGAAGGGGTAATTGGACCCACAGATTCCTTTTGTAGAATTCACTAAGGAACATGAATTAAAGATACTAGCATCTTGGTTGGATGCCAAGAAATATAACAGTACAAATACAGCCTTGAGGAAACACTCTTTTTTTTTTTTTTTTTTTTTTTTGAGACAGAATCTCACTCTTGTTGTTCAGGCTAGAATGCAATGGTACGATCTCGGCTCACTGCAACAGTACGATCTCAGCTCACTGCAACCTCCGCCCCCCAAGTTCAAGTGATTCTCCTGCCTCAGCCTCCCCAGTAACTGGGATTACAGGTGCCCACCACCATGCCCAGCTAATTCTTGTACTTTTAGTAGAGACAGGGTTTCACCATGTTGGCAGGCTGGTCTTGAACTCCTGACGTCAGGTGATCCACCCGCCTTGGCCTCCCAAAGTGCTAGGATTACAGGAGTGACCACTGTGCCCGGCCGAAACACTCTTATTGAAAAGACAAATGATACTTCTAATGTAAAGTTAAATTGCAACAAAAGGCATATACGATAATTCAGAAAACAAGAAGTGTAGCTCTCAACTCTTCTGTGGGAGGGCTTTGCCATTTGATCCTTTTATGGGATATGGGGCAGGGAAAGGTGAGTGAGAGGACAGGGCAAGGTGGGAAGAACAGCTGTAAGTAAAGCCTAGATGTGAATGAGAACAAGTTCACCAGTGTCAGCGGGAGCAGAGATTTTGCATTGGGAAATCTGAAAAAAAGAATAGCATCACATTAAGAACAGACATGAACTTCCTATTAAGACATTGTCAGAAAGAGGTAAAGAGGTTTCAAGTAGGAGAGTTAAATGAGGTAAATGCTAAAGATTATTTATTTGACAGTCAGGACATTTTGGAGGAAATTACTACTGGAGAGATGAGACAAAGTACTGTCTCAGTTCCTGCCATCAGCGCTTCCTAACTTTTCAAGGTTCCTGCCTTACATTGGTGTAGTTTGTCTTTCCTTTTCTACACGTTTTACTGAGAACTACTGAGAATCACAATAATAGCTGCCATTTATTAAGGATCTGTTTTCTGCAAGTTTTATAGACATTCTCTCACAAAACAACGGCCCAATCTGATAAGAAACACCCCTGTTGAGGAAACAGGCTGAGGGAGCGTGAGGAGCGCCCCTGCTTTCTCAAAGCTGGTAAGTGATAAAGCCAGGACTTGACGATGGCTCTGTTTAACTGCAACATCAGTATTCTCTTCACTATACCTTTAAAATAAGGGAGGCTGAGGCCGGGGTCAGTGGCTCACGCCTGTAATCCCAGCACTTTGGGAGGCTGAGGCAGGTGAATCACCTGACGTCAGGAGTTTGAGACCAGCCTGGCCAACACGGTGAAACCCCGTCTCTACTAAAAATACAAAAAATTAGCCCGGTGTGGTTGTGGACAC
Organism: Homo sapiens; assembly: GCF_000001405.40. NCBI lineage: Eukaryota > Metazoa > Chordata > Mammalia > Primates > Hominidae > Homo > Homo sapiens. The sequence continues at coordinate 109,280,160 of NC_000003.12, forward strand.
CTGTAATCCCAGCTACTCAGGAGGCTGAGGCAGGAGAATCGCTTGAACCCCGGAGGTGGTGGTTGCAGTGAGCCGAGATCGCGCCATTGCACTCCAGCCTCATCAACAAGAGTGAAACTCCGTCCCCAAAAACATAAATACATAAATAAATAACATTCAAAAATAAAATAAGAGAGGCTGAAGAAAAAAAGGAATAAGAGTTTTGTCTTTTTGAAATTTAGTAAGCTGTGGGAATTCTATGAACCACTACATTTCATTGCTCAGCTTCATGATACCTCCTTCTTTCACTGTTAGTCATATCTGTGGGGAAAAAAATAAGACTGAGAAATCTAGCCCCTCTTAAACACCACTCATGCTTTTTATGTGTAAGCTATTTATTCATTCATTGAAGAAATGTTGACTGAATAACTACTATCTGCTAAGCATGCTCAATCTTAATCCAATAGCAAAGCTGGAAAAGGCTCTTGAGATGTCCCAATAAAACACATTTAAATGCAGTGATAAAAATGAATAAATAGATATAATGCAGCAAGTAGACAACCGTGTGTTGTTTTTTTACCTCATCTACCATTGTTTCACTTGAAAGACAAGTCCAACTTTAAAATATAGGAATAAACCTTAACTTTATGGAATAGTGGTTATAGTTACAGATTCAGAAAATACATTTCACTAACATAAAAGTGTCTGAGGATTTTTTAGAAAGCCTCCTTTAAAAAAATATCTAAAATCACTTTCAAGAAATGTTATACAATTTATAGCCAGGTGTGGTGGCTCATGCCTGTAATCCCAGCACTTTGGGAGGCCAAGATGGGAGGATCACTTGGGGCCAGGAGTTTCAGACCAGCCTGGTCAACATAGCAAGATCCCATCTCTTAAAAAAAAAAAAAAAAAGAAATGTTCTACAATTTATAGTATTGGCCATATAGTCACTAATCTGCCTCCATACAATAGACAATAAATAGCAGAAGGTCAGTATATTTCCAAGTTGTTAATCTCCTTCTCTGATTAGTGCATGCTTAGTATTTATTTATTTATTTCTTTTTTTGAGATGGAGTCTTGCTCTGCAGCCCAGCCTGGAGTGCAGTGGCACGGTCTCAGCTCACCGCGACCTCTGCCACCTGCGTTCAAGTGATTCTCCTGCCTCAGCCTCCTGAGTAGCTGGGATTACAGGCATGAGCCACCACCCAGTTAATTTTTCTATTTTTAGTAGAGACAGGGTTTCACCATGTTGGCCAGGCTTGTCTCAGACTCCTGACCTCAGGTGATCCTCCCGCCTCAGCCTCCCAAAGTGCTAGGATTACAGGCATGAGCCACTGTGTCCAGCCACTTAGTATTACAGATTAATAATATCACAACTCTGATACCATACTTATCTGTGGGTCAATAAAATTTTTTTTAATTACCTGTTAGTTCATTTGTAACACTTCAAAAAACAGACCACATGGCACTTTGCCGTCTTTCTCCTGATTTCCAGGAGATCCTGAGTTGAAACTACACTGGGAAGGGATCTAAGTCATATTTGAAAGGGGATGCATAAACATATTTGCATGCATATGCATAAAACATCTCTAGAAGGCCATGTGGGAGACTCTTAACATTGATTCTCTTGGAGGAAGAGACCAGGTGGATAAGATACAGGTGGGAGGTTTTTCACCCTTTGGTAACTTAAGTTTTGATCTGTGTGAATGAATCATTTACTCAAAAAATAAAAATAAAGATAAATCATATTTGTTGTACCTATTCTCAGTTCCACATTAGTCTTCTGGTAAACAGTGTATTAGTTCATTTTGCATTGCTATAAAGGAATATCTGAGACTGGATAATTTCTAAAGAAATGAGGTTAGGTCGGGTGCGGTGACTCATGCCTATAATCCCAGCACTTTGGGAGGCCGAGGCGGGTGGGTTACCTGAGGTCAGGAGTTCACAACCAGCCTGACCAACATGGAGAAACCCCGCCTCTACTAAAAGTACAAAAAAATTAGCTGGGCATGGTGGTGCTTGCCTGTAATTCCAGCTACTCGGGAGGCTGAGGCAGGAGAATCGCTTGAACCTGGGAGGCAGAGGTTGCGGTGAGCCAAGAGCACACCATTGCACTCCAGCCTGGGCAATAAGAGCAAAACTCCATCTCCAAGAAAAAAAAAATTGAGGTTTATTTAGTTTACAGTTCTGCAGGCTGTACAAGCGTGACACCAGCATCTGCTCAGCTTCTGGTGTGGCCTCACCAGGGGAAGCTTACAATCATGGTGGAAGGCAAATGGTGAGCCAGAGTATCCCATGGTGAGAGGCAGCAAGAGAGAGAGGGAGGAGGTTCCAGCCTGTTTTAAACAATTAGATCTTGTGTGGACTCATAGAGTGAGAACTCACTCATTACTTCAAGGACAGCACCAATCCCTTTGTGGGGGCTACGCCCCCATGACTCAAATACCTCCCACTAGGACCACCTCCAACACTGGAGTTCACATTTCAACATGAGATCTGGAGGGAGGAAAAAAACGTCTAAACCATATCAAACAGCCTTTGACTTTGGATAATAGTAGCATGGGCCAGATGCGGTGGCTCACGCCTGTAATCCTAGCACTTTGGGAGGCTGAGGCGGGAGGATCACAAAGTCAGGAGCTCAAGACCAGCCTGGCCAACATGGAGAAACCCTGTCTCTATTAAAAATACAAAACTTAGCTGGGTGTGGTAGCGGGTGCCTGTAATCTCAGCTACTCATGAGGCTGAGGCAGGAAAATCACTTGAACCCGGGAGGCGGAGGTTGCAGTGAGCCAAGATCGTGCCAATGCACTCCAGCCTGGGAGACAAGAGCAAGACTCCGTATCAAAAAAAAAAAAAAAAAGAAAAGTAGCACGAAGATTCCTTTGTCTAGACTCAGCAGTCTCATTTTGATTACACAAAATAATTGTAGTTTATATAAATAAATAAACATCCAGAGTTTAACCAATGAAAGCAAAGAAAAGGACATTTTCAACATTGTACTGGATATTAGTGCACATGAGTTCTGTGTGGTAGATTATAATGATAATGTCAATTTGTTCACATCTCTCTAACTCCCTCCCTTGGGTAGCCACCTCCCTCTCTGACTCTGTGCTTGGCTGTGTGACTAGCTTTGGTCAGTTGGACAATATACATTGTGACTTAAGTAGAGGGTTGAAAAGTGCACGTGCATTGAGACTTGCCTTATCTTGCTTCAGGGAACTCTGGCCACCATGGGAAAGAGCTTGGGCTAGTCTGCTGGGTCATGAAACTTATGTGGCCATTGCCTAGCTGACATGGAACCAACCTTTGTATTTACAAATGAGGTTCCCCCTTGACCACCTAGCCTGTCATCTCCAGCATATGAGTGAGGCCATCCTGGATGACCCAACCCCATCCTAAACAGCCAAGACTAAGAGAACTATTCAGAGACTGTTTTAAATAGCTCTGTTTTGGGGTGGTTCATTGGGTAGCAAAAGCAAACTAATAAAGTCTGCAATGTGCATAAAGATTCATTTAGAAAATACAGCTAAGTAAATCTTATAAATATTTTAAAAGTTTCTCTTTCACTTAATATGTGCCAGATAGCTTTCATATCTGTAGAATTATCTCAGTTTTTTAAATGGTCTCATTATATTCCGTGGTAACGTGATTTAACATTCACTACTTGATGTATTTTGGTTTTATAATTTAAGAGGAATAATACTGCGTTAAATTTCCCTTAAACCACAAGCATCTTCTATTAAGTTCCTTTCCAGGATAATAAGGAGCACTAACAATGATTAGCTCATTGCCAGCTCCCCAGTAGGCTCAGCTATGTCTGAATTTCTGGATCACATTTACAAGCAACATATTCTCCATACTTCATCAAACCCCTAGCTCTTAAGTTGACTTATTCAAGTTTGTTTCCTCTTAGAGCCTTCCATTGTACCAGGCCCTTTTTCACTCCAAAATTGCTCCCATCATTTCCAAAATAGACATACATTCAAGATTCAACTTCAGTATTGAGGATTCAATCAAATAGCCAAATTTTGGGCACTGAGCCTTATGATAGCTATAGAACCTAAAAAAGCTATTTCCACATGAAACACCCACCCACACCAACATCATCAATTTATTTCCTTGTTTGTTAAACAAGAAAGAACAAGAACAAATGATTCATCTACATGTCATTATTTCTTCAACTGAGGATGTAAGTTTATCAGTTCTGAACAGAATTTATAGGTTAAAGGAAAGAGAAATTTTCCTTAATTCCAGTCTTGCCTTATGTTAAGGAGACATATATCCTGTTTATTTGTATGACAGTTAAGCATTATGTCTTATATCTTACATAAAATTAAATAAAGTGTAGCTGCCCAACTTAAAGGGGCCTGTTTCGTGGCCACTGAGAAGTAGCTTAAACTTTGTTTGATCAGATGGTGCCAGAGAATGTGTAAATATAAATTTTTAGAATTTTTTTTCTCTTCTAACATGTTTCTCTACTTCTAGAAATTCAGCTTCATAGTCATGAGGCTATGTGTCACTTTGCAGGAGATAGCTCCTAAATTCATCTCTCTTCTAAGAAAAAAGGAAATGAAGCAGCATAGAAGAAAACTTCTGTTTGCCCCCTCATGTAACACTATGTGCAAGAAAATTTTAATTTGAGGGACTGCTGATTTATTTTTACTTCAGAGCCAAAAAGCATAGGAGTTACATCTTTTTAAAATGACATGTGGAGAAAATCAAGTATTCTGAATCATTTTCTTTTAAAGTCTCTTCTGGAGACTTTAAACCAACTCTCAAAGTAGCAACATTTTCTGGTGGATCCTGAAGTTCAGAATCCTATACAGATCATTTACTTTTCTCCTTTGGTCTCTGCACAATGGAAGACTGTGAAGAGGAGTATGTGAGGACAAAGACATAGCCGTCACTGGGGACCCAATTGTGGTCAAACAGACCTAGAGTTTATTTAGTGGAAGTTTACCTATCAGGGAATGCTCTTGGCTGTTTATACCAATTCTGTTTTTTGCTTATCTGCTTGATTGGAGGTTTTTCATCAACCTCAGGGGCCTATGAGACAATTTTGCTAAAAATTTTGCTAAGGAAGAGTAGAGTTGGCCGGGCACAGTGGCTCACGCCTGTAATCCCAGCAATTTGGGAGGCTGAGGCAGGCAGATCACCTGAGGTCGGGAGTTCGAGACCAGCCTGACCAACATGGAGAAACCCCCGTCTCTACTAAAGGTACAAAATTAGCCGGGCATGGTGGCGCATGCCTGTAATCCCAGCTACTCCAGAGGCTGAGGCAGGAGAATCGCTTGAACCCAGTAGGGGGAGGTTGTGGTGAGCTAAGATCATACCATTGCACTCCAGCCTGGGCAACAACAGTGAAAGTCTCCAAAAAAAAAAAATTATTATCTTTTTAACTCTTCCATTACCATTACATATCAGGTTCTAGTCTTATTAAAGTTGCTGAAATGAACTTAAATAAACACATTTCTCTCTCTCTCTCTTTTTTTTTTTTTTTTGAGATGGAGTCTCGCTCTGTCCCCCAGGCTGGAGTGCAGTGGCCGATCTCGGCTCAATGCAACCTCCACCTCCCAGGTTCAAGCAATTCTCCTGCCTCAGCCTAGGAGCAGCTGGGACTACAGGCACCTGCCACAACACCTGGCTAAATTTTGTATTTTTAGTAAAGACGTGGTTTCTGCACGTTGGCCAGGCTGATCTTGAACTCCTGACCTCAGATGATCCGCCCGCCTCTGCCTCCCAAAGTGCCGGGATTAGAGGCGTGAGCCACCGCGCCTGGCCAAACACATCTCTCTCATTTTTATGCTTTGCGTGCACCGTTCCCTATAACAAAATACCCTCAATTTCTCATCCAAAACACTACTTGGTTCCAGGATGTCCCATCTGCGGTATTTCCGTTCTTACTTTGGTACCCGAAAAACACCCTGTTACCTTCAGCGGATTCTCATATCACCTATGGCTGTCATATTATACAAGTTGAATATCCCTTACTTGAAATACTTAGGACCATTAGTGTTTCTGATTTCGGATTTTTTTTTTCTGATTTTGGAATATTCGCATTATATACTTACTGGTTGAGCATCCTGAATCCAAAAATATTAATCCAAAATGCTCCAATGAACATTTCTTTTCTTTTCTTTTTGAGACCGAGTTTCGCTCTTGTTGCCCAGGCTGGAGTGCAATGGCACGATTTTGGCTCACCGCAACCTCCACCTCCTGGGTTCAAGCCATTCTCCTGCCTCAGCCTCCCAATTAGCTGAGATTACTAGTATGTGCCACCATGCCTGGCTAATTTTTTTGTATTTTTAGTAGAGACGGGGTTTCTCCATGTTGGTCAGGCTGGTCTCAAACTCCCGACCTCAGGTGATCCGCCCGCCTCGGCTTCCCAAATTGCTGGGATTACAGGCGTGAGCCACCGCGTGCGGCTGAATATTTCTTTTCAATATTATTGTTGGTGCCCCAAAAGTTTCATATTTTGGAAGAATTTCAGATTTCATGTTTTTGGAATAGGAAGGCTCAACTGTATAAATCCTCCCAGACTTTGAGTTGTCTGAAGACAAGGATTTTATCTTGGTGTGAAAGACAAAATAATAGCCTCCCAAAGATGTCTCATGTCTTAATCTCTGGACCTGTGCATATGTTGCCTTGCATGGCAAAATAAACCTTGCCAATGTGACTAACAGCAGTTGGAGTGAGGCAAGGAAGGGGTCATAAGCCAAGGAATTAAGGCAGTTTCTAGAAGCTTGAAAAGGCACGAGAACACGTGCTCCCTTAGAGCCTCAAGAAGCCTGTTGATGCCTTAAATTTAGAACTTTTGTCCTCCTCCTGTAATCCCAGCACTTTGGAAGGCTGAGGCAGGTGGATCACGAGGTCATGAGTTCAAGACCAGCCTGGCCAACATGGTGAAACCCCGTCTCTACTAAAAATAAAAATAAAAATAAATTAACCAGACATGGTGGTGAGCGCCTGTAATCGCAGCTACTCGGGAGGCTGAGGCCGAGAACTGCTTGAACCTGGGTGGCAGAGGTTGCAGTGAGCCCAGATCATGCCACTGCACTCCAACCTGGGTGACAGGGCAAGACTCTGTCTAAAAAAAAAAAAAACTAACTTTTGTCCTCTAGAACTGTAAAATAAATCTGTTTTAAGTTGCTACGTTTGTGGCATCAGTAGTAAAAGAAATTAATATGCTTAATAATCTTTTTCTTCTAGAACCAACTAGAGTACTACGTTTAGAATAAGTAAACAATCTTGGTCTGGGAGAATTTTTCTCTGAAGCTAAATGTGGCTAAACTTTTGACCCACGTCAGTTATTTACTTTAAGCCTAAACTTAGAGAAGTGTGGTAGCTCATGCCTGTAATCCCAGCACTTTGGAAGGCCAAGGTGGGTGGATCACCTGAGGTCAGGAGTTCGAGACCAGCCTGGCCAACATGCTGAAACACTGTCTCTACTAAAAATACAAAAATTAGCTAGGTGTGGTGGTGCACACCTGTAATCCCAGCTACTCAGGAGGCTGAGGCACGAAAATTGCTTGAACTCCGGAGGTCAAGGTTGAAGTGAGCCGAGATCCTGGCATTGCACTCCAGCCTGGGCAACAGAGGGAGACTCTGTCTCAAAAAAAACAAAACAAACAAACAAAAAAAAGTCTAAACTCAGTAGCCACTTAAGTGATTAATAATTTAATCAAACAGTCATCTACTTTTTTCTAATTAATAACAATCTATTATTCACCCTCTTGAGGGAGGCAGGAGAGCACTAAGGATGGATTAAGAAAATTGGTGGACTGTGATCCTTTCATTGAGAAATTGATGTTTAAGATCTATAAACTATGAGTAACTTTTAACTAAGCAAAAAGGTTAGGAAGATTCCTTTCCTAACCCTTTTCCTAATATAAAGATTCCTTTATATTAACTCAGCCATTGGAAGTAAAGAGAAGGCTGGTTAATACAAAGGAATAAAAAGAAAGCCAGTTTAGCTGAAGGCTAGAGAGCAAAGAAGAGACAGGATGGATACTGGAGATACAGGAGATGAAGACCAGGCCCTTAAGGGCCTTGTAAGAGGGGGTTCCCATTGGCTGAGAAAAATGGGAAAGCTTTGAAGGATTTTAGCAAGGGGTGGATTGGGATGGAGAATGACAAGACCAGATTCTGCTTTTGAGAAGAGCCCTCTAGCTTTACTTTAAAATGTGAGTGTTGAATTGGGGCAGATGTGCACTCAAGTGAGGGGATCTGAGGAGTTGCTTCTTTGTTTTCAGATTTTTTAATTGAATAAAATAAATGAGCTCATGTTAAAAAAAAAAATTCTACCTCACCACACCTATGACTGACATTTCAATCAGTAGCCTAAGTAAAAAGACGCATGGATATCACCCAATCTTATGAAGGCCCAAATAGAACACAAAGGTGGAAAGAGGGCAAATTCTTTCTCTTCTTGAGCTGGGACATCAATTTTTTTCTTGCCCTCTCGCCTTCCCACAACCTTCTCTAGACTGGGAGTTACACCATCCGTTCCCTTGGCTCTCAGGCCTGAGATTGCAGATTGAGTCACGCCAGATATCCTGGCTCTCCAGCTGGCAGACAGCACACTGTGGGACTCCTTGGTCACCATTATTGTGTGAGCCAATTCCCATAATAAATCTCTTTTTGCATATTTACACATATCCTATTGTTTCTCTGGGGAACCCCGACTAACACACATAGTATACATCAATTCAATTCTGGGAGCAAGTGGAGATGGTGATGATGGTAGTGTGCCTAAGAAGTGACAAAATTATAAAACACCTAGGAATAAATTTAACCAAAGAAGTTAAAGATATCTATGAGAAAAACTATAAAACACTGATGAAATAAATTGAAGAGAAGTGACAAAATTAATGTTGGAAGAGGAGGGTAAATCACTATGCATTACAATAAACTTGGTGTTTACACTCTTCATCACCATTTTTTGTTTGTTTTTTGTTTTGAGACGGAGTTTCTCTCTTTGTTGCCTGCCTAGGCTGGAGGGCAATAGCGTGATCTCGGCTCACCGCAAACTCCGCCTCCCGGGTTCAAGTGATTCTCCTGCCTCAGCCTCCCAAGTAGCTGGGATTACAGGCATGCACCACCACAACTAGCTAATTTTGTATTTTTAATGGAGACAGGGTTTCTCTATGTTGGTCAGGCTGGTCTTGAACTCCCAACCTCAGGTGATCCACCCGCCTCGGCCTCTCAAAGTGCTGGGATTACAGGCGTGAGCCACCGCACCTGGCCTTCATCACCATTTTTAAAAACATTATTTAAGGCCGGGTACGGTGGCTCATGCCTGTAATCCCAGCACTTTCGGAAGCTGAGGCAGGCGGACTACCTGGGTAGGGAGTTCAAGACCAGCCTGGCCAACATGGTGAAACCATGTCTCTACTAAAATACAAAAATTAGCCGGACATGGTGGTGGGCACCTGTAATCCCAGCCACTCAGGCTGAGGCAGGAGAATTGCTTGAACCTAGGAGGCAGAGGTTGCAGTGAGCCGAGATCATGCCACTGCACTCCAACCTGGGCAACAGAGTGAGACTTCGTCTCAAAAGAAAAAAAACAACAAAAAACAAAAAAAACCCCACTATATTATCTATATTCTGGCTTATTTTACTCTCTTACTCCATTTATCCTAATCAATGTATTTACCAATTGATATGTCATTTTTCTGATTTTGATTAAATTAGTTGCTACAATACTCCCATGAAAAATTTTAAAATACGTTCTCATTATAAATCTATTAACCATTATTTAGTTTCAAATGTATTTTATTTAAAAATATAATTAAAAAAACAGCCAGGTATGGTGGCTCACACCTGTATTCCTAACACTGTGGGAAGCCAAGGAGGGAAGATAATTTGAGGCAAGGAGTCTGAGACCAGCCTTGGAAACACAAGTGAGAACCCGTCAGTATAAGAAAAATACAAAAATTAGCTGGGTGTAGTGGTGTATTCCTGTAGTCCTAGCTACTTGGGAGGCTGGGACAGGAGGATTGTTTGAGCCCAGGAGTTCAGGCTACAGTGAGCTATGATTGTACCATTGCACTCCAGCGGGGGTGACAGAGCCAGACCCCATCTCTAAAAAATGAAACAGGCCTGGCGCGGTGGCTCACGCCTGTAATCCCAGCACTTTGGGAGGCCGAGGCAGGCAGATCATCTGAGGTCGGGAGTTCAAGACCAGCCTGACCAACATGGTGAAACCCCATCACTACTAAAAGTACAAAAATTAGCCAGGCATGGTGGTGCATGCCTGTAATCCCAGCTACTCAGGAGGCTGAGTCAGGAGAATTGCTTGAACCCAGTAGGCAGAGGTTGCAGTGAGCCGAGATTGCGCCACTGCACTCCAGCCTGAGTGACAGAGCGAGACTCCATCTCAAAAAGAAAAAAAAAAAAAAAAAATAACCAGTTATAAAAGAAAAAATAAATATCTATGTATATGTGTGCATATATATTTACATACATGCATATACATATCTACATACTGCAAAAAATTTTTAATATAACAATTTACATAAATACATTCATAGAATAATTCTAAAAATCATAAATGACAATTGGAAAAACATGGGAAGGTATAACATATTCTTGGAAGGAAGACTCCAAGACCTAAAAATGTCAAATCTCTCCAAGTTTATCTATTAATTTGATGTTGATCCAGTAAGAACTCCCAAAGAATTTTTTTTCTCCTGGGAGGGTAAACAATTTGATTTTAAAGTTTATATGTAAAAATGGACTAAGTAATAGCTGGGGAAGATTTTTTTTTTTTTTTGAGACCGAGTCTTGCTGTCCCCCAGGCTAGAGTGCAGTGGCGTGATCTCGGCTCACTGCAGGCTCCGCCCCCCGGGGTTCATGCCATTCTCCTGCCTCAGCCTCCCAAGTAGCTGGGACTACAGGCGCCCGCCATCTCGCCCGGCTAATTTTTTGTATTTTTAGTTGAGACGGGGTTTCACCTTGTTAGCCAGGATGGTCTCGATCCCCTGACCTCGTGATCCGCCCGCCTAGGCCTCCCAAAGTGCTGGGATTACAGGCGTGAGCCACCGTGCCTGGCCAGATATTTTTTTTAATGGAGCAGTAAAGCAAAAATAGTCCTATTAGATACTAAAATTAATTATTGTTATTATTATTATTTTGAGACAGAGTTTCGCTTTTGTTGCCCAGGCTGGAGTGCAATGGCGCGTTCTCGGCTCACCGCAACCTCCGCGTCCTGGTTTCAAGCGATTCTCCTGCCTCAGCCTCCTGAGTAGCTGGGATTACAGGTGTGCACCACCACGCCTGGCTAATTTTTGTATTTTTAGTAGAGACGGGGTTTTACGACGTTGGTCGGGCTGCTCTTGAACTCCTGACCTGAAGTGATCCACCCACCTCAGCCTCCCAAAGTGCTGGGATTACAGGCATGAGCCACAGTACCCGGCTAGAAACAGGCCTTCTTAATCATCATGGGATGCATAGGAATACACACTGAACTAATCTCTATGGAGGGCAATTTGGCAAAAATTTTTCTCTCTGTTGCTCAGGTTGGAGTGCAGTGGTGCGATCATGGCTCACTGCAGCATTGATCTGGGCACAAGTGATCTTCCTGCCTCAGTCCCCCAAGTAGCTGGGACTACGCGCACACACTACCATGCCCAGCTAATTTTTTTTATTTTTTTGTAGAGATTGGGGTCTTGCTACATTGCCTAGGCTGGTATTGAACCCTTGGCCTCAAGCAATCCTCCAACCTCAGCCTCTCAAAATGTTGGGATTACAGGCGTGAGCCACCACACCTAGCCATAAAAAGTTTCAATGACTAATATCCATATTTTGCTTAGCAATTTCATTTCTAGGAATTTATAATAAGAATAGACTCGGCCGGGCATGGTGGCTCATGCCTGTAATCCCAGCACTTTAGGAGGCCGAGGCAGGCGGATCACCTGAGGTCAGGTGTTCGAGACCAGCCTGACTAACATGGAGAAACCCCGTCTCTACTAAAAATACGAAAATTAGCTGGGCATAGTGATGCATGCTTATAATCCCAGCTACTCAGGAGGGTGAGGCAGGAGAATCACTTGAACCTGGGAGGCAGAGGTTACGGTGAGCCAAGATCACGCCATCACACCCCAACTTGGGGAACAAGAGAGAAACTCCGTCTCAAAAAAAAATAGACTCATGGTAGTGCAAAAATACAATATTATTTACTGCATCATTTTCATAAGAATGAAAGATTGAAATAAATTTTCCTAAACATGCATATACTTTGATGGGATACACACAAAAAAGCCTTAAATCCTCATATCGTGAAGGAAGGAGACAAGGAGAAACAGTATACCCTTTCTACAACCCATGAATTTTGAATTACATTATTTTATTATGCACATATACACACTCCCAATCTTCAAAAAAAACATGAAAAACGTTCTCATATTTTGATTTTCTTTCAATGTTTTAGTTATTTTATGTAATATATTATCTCCAACATAACCCTAATGATGTAAAATTTATCTCTAATTCTCTTACCTGTACCCTCATTCGTTTTCTTCCTAACCCAAATTGTCTAGTATGTTCATCAAAGATTTGAAAGCAGATCTCTTCTAGAACATAATTGTTATATAGCCTTTAATGTTCTACTTTTTAATCTATAAAAAGCTAAATATTTCAAATACATCAATTCAATAATAATTGATTAAATGTCTTACTATGTGTTAGATTTAAGATAGAGTGATAAAAATATAGCCTCTGGCCTGGACGTGGTGGCTCACACCTGTAATCCCAACATTTTGGGAGGCCAAGGCAGGTGGATCACTTGAGGTCAGGAGTTTGAGACCAGCCTGACCAACAAGGTGAAATCCCATTTCTACTAAAAATACAAAAATTAGCTGGGCGTGGTGGTGGGCACCCGTAGTCCCAGCTACTCGGGAGGCTGAGACAGGAGATTGCTTTAACCCAGGAGACGGAAGTTGCAGTGAGCCGAGACTGCGTCACTGCACTCCAGCCTGGGCAACGGAGCAAGATCCATGTCTCTCTCTCTCTCTCTCTCTCTATATATATATAGCCTCTGGCTTCAAGAAATTTGCTTTCTAGGAACTATTGAACAATTAAAGACAAATTATGATTTTTTGGAATCAGGACAACTTGATTTAAATTCTGGATTCTGAAAGTATTAGTTCTCTTTGCTTAGGCAAATTGTTAGTCTCACCGAATCTGTTTTCTGAATGGCTCCTTTTTCGAGTTCAGATGTGACTTTATTTTAAAAAGCCTTTCCCTTACCACACAATGATAGAAGCACCCATCTAGTACTGCTTCTTGTTGGCTCCTTGTCTCTTTGTAAATGTTGGATCTCCATAGTTACATCTTACAGTATCAGTCTTCCTTACCATCCTTTACATTATATAAGGGTGGGGGCCATGTCTATTTTTTTTTCACCAACTTCTAACCCAGCCCCTGGCACATAGAAATCATTAACAGATGAAGACCATTTTTCTTCTCACCCTGGTCTCTAGGGTTATGTCTAGACAGACCCATTTACTCTTGTCCCTTCCTTGCTCGAGTCAGGCACCTCTCCCTTATCTGTCCTGTCTGCAGTGCTTCCCATTTGTCTGTGTCCCCAACCACAGTCAGTTTGTAACATCAGAGATTTCCTGATGGATCTTTAACACACACTGAATGAATACAAGGCCAATTGCAGTGACTTTATTTTAATGGGTTTTCAGACATACAGAAAGGGATTCTTTAGATGGGGCTGTGTCACTAGTCAACCATCTTCACTGTGGAGTCCTAGTCACTATGATTTTGTTTTGTAGATCATGAGGATTCATTCAAATTGTCTCCTCTTCCACTCCTTCGTAATAGGTTACATGATCTGAAAGTACATCCCTCCTTTAGTACCTAGAAGCAAATTTGAAATGGTATATTTAAGAGCCGCTTTGAGCTATACGCAGAGTTTGGGGTCAAGAGAGTTAGGGTGTTTTGTGCACTGCAAGAGGAAAAGAAATGGAACAAACGTAACTTTTAATAGAGAAAGAATGGCAGATGGAAATACTAGACAATAGTGTATAGTCAGAATTGGTTTCCTTTGGGTTACTGAATTGGACCCCTTCTTAGTTATTTCAAAGACTAATGATACCATGTTTTCCAATCCTGTGTTGGTCTTCAGGCCAGTCTTTAGGCAAGACATGTTTATACTAGAAGACCATTGATTAATGATACTTTCAGAAGGCAGATGCTATAGCATTTTGAGAGCCTGACTAAGCACTCAACTGGGATGGCTTCCATGTGATGTACAATGTGGAAATTTTTCTGTTCTATTCTCCGTGTAAGTTTGGGCTCATTCTAAAACAGTCTGCCTACTGGACAACTGTGCCATTAGCCATCAATAGGCTGAGTTCAGGAGAGCCTTGTTTTAATTCCACAGAATATACTGCAAGTCACAAGCACACATATTCTCAAGCTCGCAGAGTTCTAAATGTAAGCAGTTAAGTGTAAAGGGTGAGGTGAAGTGCTTACTTGGACCATAACATCTTCCTTAACTGCCCTTCTTCCCTTTCTGCACAGAGCTGAGAACTAAGAGGATAAATTACTAAATTAGCCTTCATTCAGAAGGTTCTGTAGAAAAACTGTTTATTAGCTGGGCGCGGCGGCTCATGCCTGTAATCTCAGCACTTTGGGAAACCGAGGTGGGTGGATCACGAGGTCAGGAGTTCAAGAGCAGCCTGGCCAATACAGTGAAACCCTGTCTCTACTAAAAATACAAAATTAGTCGGGCATGGTGGCCAGTGCCTGTAATCCCAGCTACTTAAGAGGCTGAGGCTGGAGAATCGCTTAAAGCCAGGAGGTGGAGGTTGCTGTGAGCCAAGATTGCACCACTGTACTCCAGCCTGGACAACAAGAGCGAAACTCCATCTCAAAACAAACAAAAAACCAAAAAACTGTTTATTAGTTTTTGATACAAATGTCAGGTTTTGAAAGCTATTGCCAAATTCAATTCAAATTGAGAACTCCATTATTTGATCTGTTGTAATAATTAAATAATTGTTCACATTAATATTTTAAGTAACAAAATTAAGATTGTTTCTATTTGGTATTTGTATAATTTTCTTTTTGGAATAAGAACAAATTATTGGCCAGGTGTGGTGGCTCACACCTGTAATCCCAGCACTTTGGGAGGCTGAGGCAGGCAGATCGCCTGAGGTCAGGAGTTCGAGACCAGCCTGGCCAACATGGAGAAACCTCGTCTCTACTGAAAGTACAATCGTCTCTACTAAAAATACAGGTGACTGCCACCATGCCCGGCTAATTTTTGTATTTTTAGTAGAGGTGGGGTTTTACCATGTTGGCCAGGCTGGTCTCAAACTCCTGACCTCAAATGATCCACCCACCTCGGCCTCTCAAAGTGCTGGGATTACAGATGCAAGCCATCATGCCAGGCCCCTGGTTTTCTTTTATACAATACAAGTCTGATTTATAAATATATACTTATACGTATATATCTATATACACAGATATAATATCTATATTTACATATAGATAGAGAGACAAATAGCATATATATATACAGAAAGAGACAAAAAGCATGATTTGTAGACAAAGGAAGCATCAGATCAAGACTAAGATATGGCAGAGATGTTGAAATTACCAGACCAGGAATTTAAAACAGTGTTGATTAATATGCTAAGGGCTCTAACAGAAAAAGTGGACAAGATACAAAACAGATGAGTAATGCAAGTGGGAAGATGGAAATTCCAAGAATCAAAATAAAATGATAGAAATTAGAAGAAAATACTAACAGAAATGAAAACTGCCTTCATGGACTCATCTATAGCTGGACTGCCAACAAAAGAATCAGAGGGCTTAAACAAATGTCAATAGAAACCTCCAAAACTGAAAAGCAAAATGAAAAATCTTTTTAAAAAGAACTGAATATCCAAGAATTGCGAGGCAATTACAAAAAGGTTTCAACATGTAATGAAAATACCAGAAGAGAGAAAGGAATAGAAAGTTGTGAAGCAATGACTGAAAATATCCCAAAATTAATGACATACAAAACCAGAGATCCAGGAAGCTCAGAGATAGGAAGTAGGATAAACACCAAAAATTCAACACCTAGGCATATCATACTCAAACTGCAGAAAAACAAAGACAAATAGAAAATCGTAAAAGTAAGAGAAAAAAACACCTTAACTGTAAAGGAACAAAGGTAAGAATTACATTGGACTTCTCTCCGTAAGCCTTACAAACAAGAAGAGAGTAAAGTGATATTTAAAAAGAAGGAAACAAAGCTGGGCGTGGTGGCTCACGCCTGTAATCCCAAAACTTTGGGAGGCTAAGGCAGATGGATCACCTGAGGTCAGAAGTTTGAGACCAGCCTGACCAACATGGAGAAACACTGTCTCTACTAAAAATACAAAAATTAGCTGGGTGTCGTGGCACATGCCTGTAATCCCAGCTGCTTGGGAGGCTGAGACAGGAGAATTGTTTGAACCCAGGAGGTGGAGGTTGCAGAGAGCCAAGATCGCGCCATTGCGCTCCAGCTGGGAAAACAAGAGCAAAAACTCTGTCTCAAAAAAAATAATAAAAAAAAAAGGAAGGAAAGAAATGAGAAAATTATCTGCAAAAGATATATCTGATAGAGGACTGTTATTCAAAATATACAAAGACCTCTTAAAACTCAATAATAAAACAACCCAATTAAAAAATGTGCAAAAAGGCCAGGCAAAATCCTAGCACTTTGAGAGGCTGAGGCTGATGGATCACTTGAGCCAGGAGTTCGAGACCAGCCTGGGCAACATGGCAAAACCCCATCTCTACAAAAAAAAATAGAAAAATTAGCCAGGCATGGTAATGTGCACCTGTAGTCCCAGTAGGATACTGAGGTGGGAGAATCTTGCTTGAGCCCAGAAGGTCAAGGCTGCAGTGCGCCATGATCACACCACTGCACTCCAGCCTGGGTGAAAGAGCAAGACATTCTCTCAATAAAAAATAAATAGTAAGTTAAAAAATAAAAATTGTGCAGAAGACCTGAAAAGACACCACACCAAAGAAGATACACAGATGAGAAATAAACATATAAAAAGATGCTCTACTTCATATCATTAAGGAATTCCAAATTTAAAAAAATGTGATACTGGCTGGGCACAGTGGCTCATGCCTGTAATCCCAGCACTTTCAGAGGCCAAGGTGGGCAGATCACCTGAGGTCAGGAGTTTTAGATCAGTCTGGCCAACATGGCGAGACCCCATCTCTACTGAAAATACAAAAATTAACCAGTCATGGTAGCGTGTGCCTGTGGTCCCAGCTACTTGGGAGGCAGAGGCAGGATAATCACTTGAACCCAGGAGGCAAAGGTTGCAGTGAACTGAGATCACGCCACTGCACTCCAGCCTGGGTGACTGCACTCTCTGAGAGAGTCTGTCTCAAAAAAAAAAAAAGCACTGAAATACTGTGGCACGCCTATTAGAATGGCTAAAATCCAAACAATACGAAATACTAAGAAAGATATGGTGCAACAAGAACTCTCATTCATTGCTGGTAGGAATGCAAAATGCTACAGCCACTTTTAAAGACAGTTTGGCAGAAATGAGCTATCAGGCCATGACAACACATGGAGGAATCTTCACTACATATTGCTATCTGAAAGCCAATATGAAAAGGCTACACACTGTATAATTCTAAGTATACACAACATTCTGGAAATGGCAAAGCTATGATAGGCCAGGCACACTGGCTTATGCCTGTAATCCCAGCACTTTGGGAGGCTAAGGCAGAAGGACAGCTTGAGGCCAGAAGTTTGAGACCAATCTCGCCAACACAGTGAGACCCATCTCTACTAAAAATTAAAAAATAAAACTAGCTGGGTACGGTGGCACACACCTGTAGTCCCAGTGTCTCAGAAGGCTGGGCCAGGAGAATCCCTTGAGCCTAGGAGTTCAAGGCTGCAATGAGCTATGACTGCACCATTGCACTCCAGCCTGGGTGACTGAGCAAAAAGATCTATGGTTTCCAGTGTATGGGCTTGCGGGGAGGGATGAATTGGTGCAACACAAGGGATTTCTAAGGTAGTGAAACTATTCTGTATGACACTATGTTGGATAAATGTCATTTTACATTTGTCAAAACCATAGAATGTACAACACGAATAATAAAACCTAATATGAACTATAGAGTTTAGTTAATAATAAGGTATCTGCTCGGTGTAGAGGCTCACACCTGTAATCCCTGAACTCAGGGAGCCTGAGGTGGGAGGACTGCTGGAGCCCAGAAGTTTGACTAGCCTGAGAAACATGGTGAGACCCCATCTCTATAAAAAAATAATAAAATAGCCGGGCACGGTGGCTCACGCCTGTAATCCCAGCCCTTTGGGAGCCCAAGGCGGGTGAATCACGAGGTCAGGAGCTCAAGACCAGCCTGGCCAACATGGTGAAACCCCATCTCTACTAAAAAAATACAAAAAATTAGCTGGGCATAGTGGCGGGTGCCTGTAATCCCAGCTACTCGGAAGGCTGAGGCAGGAGAATCGCTTGAACCTGGGAGGCGGAGGTTCCAGTGAGCTGAGATCGGCGTCACTGCACTCCAGCCTGGTGATAAAGTATGATTCTGTCTAAAAATAATAATAATAATAATAATAATAAAATAGCCAGGCACAGTGGCTCACGCCTGTAATCCCTGCACTTTGGAAGATTAAGCGAGTGGATTGCTTGAGCTCAGGAGTTCAATGGTCTTGAACCAGGCTGTTCACCTGAGCAACACGGTGAAACCCGTCCTCTACCAAAAATTAAAAAAAATTAGCTGGGCATTATGGTGTGTGTCTGTAGTCCCAGCTACTTGGGAGGCTGAGGTGAGAGGATGGCTTGAACACGGAAGGCAGAGGTTGCAGTGAGCTGAGATCGTGCCACTGCACTCCAGCCTGGGTGACAGAGCCAGACCCTGTCTCAAAAATAAACAAATTTTTAAGAAAGAAAAAGAGGCCGGGCACGGTGGCTCACGCCTGTAATCCTAGCACTGGGAGGCTGAGGCAGGTGGATCACCTGAGGTCAGGAGTTCCAGATCAGCCTGGCCAAAATGGTGAAACCCCGACTCTACTAAACATACCAAAAAAAAAAAAAAAAATTGACTGGGGGCTGGGTGCGGTGGCTCCCGCCTGTAATCCCAGCACTTTGGGAAACCGAAGCGGGTGGATCCCAAGATTAGGAGTTCGAGACAAGCCTGGCCAATATGGCAAAACCCCGTTTCTACTAATACAAAAAAATTAGCCGGGTGTGGTGGCACATGCCTGTAATCCCAGCTACTCGGGAGGCTGAAGCAGGAGAGTTGCTTGAACCCGGGAGGTGGGAGGCGGAGGTTGCAGTGAGCTGAGATCACGCCACTGCACTCCAGCCTGGGCAACAGAGTGAGACTCTGTCTCAAAAAAAATAAAATAAAAATTTAGCTGGGCGTGGTGGTGTGCACCTGTAATCCCAGCTACTTGGGAGGCGGAGGCAGGCGAATTGCTTGAACCTGGGAGGCAGGGGTTGCAGTGAGCTGAGATCTCATCATTGTACTCCAGCCTGGGCGACAAGAATGAGACCCCGTCTCAAAAAAAAAAAAAAGAAAAAGAAAAAGAAAAAGAAAAAAGAATAATGTATCAATATTGACTCATTAGTTTTTTTTTTTTTTTAGAGACTATGTTGCCCAGGCTGGAGTGCAGTGGCAATTCACAGGTGTGATCACAGAGAACTACAACCTTGAACTCCTCCTGGGTGCAAGTGATCCTCCTGACTTAGCCTTCCCGGTAGCTGGGACTACAGGTGACTACCACCATGCCCAGCCCTGCCTCATCAATTGTAAAAAATGTAGCACACTAATGCAAGTTACTAACAGAGGAAAATGGAGGGGGTGTGAAGCACCGTGTACATGGGAATACATGGGAACCCTATACTTTTCACTCAAGTTTTCATTTTCAAAAAAGAGTCCATTAATTAAAACAAAACCAAATTGTATTCTGTGCAGCTAACTATTTAGTAAGTCAGTACTCAAGGCATCAGGAGATACCAAAGATGGTCAGGACACAGCACAGCAATGATTGGGATGCAAGTTATCTACAGACGCGCCACCATTTGTACTTCCTGGTAGACAGCAGACAAGAGACTTTGATACATTTATGTCCTGTTTTTTAGTGAATAGGGGGAAGGCAGAGAGTTTCTCTTGTATGTGACTCTTTTCAATTGCCTTCAAATCAAAATAATACTTATTTTGAGGTGGCATATTCTCATCTCTTACATTGTATTCAAACAGGTTGCTGCTACTTCTCTACTGTCATTAATCTTTTCATCATCTTCTTATTCCTGTAAGGCAAGTAGAAAAGAACTGTGAAATATTGCTACAGCAAGGTAAACCATCCCTTACCAATCCCTTTAAAATGACCAATAAAATAAAGCATGCACTTCTGGGCCGGGTGTGGTGGCTCACGCCTGTAATCCTAGCACTGTGGGAGGCTGAGGAGGGCAGATCACCTGAGGTCAGGAGTTTGAGACCAGCCTGACCAATATGGTGAAACCCTGTGTCTGCTAAAATTACAAAAATTAGCCGGTCATGGTGGCACAGGCCTGTAGTCCCAGCTACTCAGGAGGCTGAGACCGGATAATTGTTTGAGTATGGGAGGCAGAGGTTGCAGTGAGCCGAGACCAAGCCACTGAACTTCAGCCTAGGTGACAGAGCGAGACTCAGTCTCAAAAAAAAAAAAAAAAAAAAAGAATGCACTTCTGGAGTTCCTGAGTCATTTGCCCTAAAACCTAGGAATGGTGCACAAAAAGACTTTATGTACTAAATAAAGGAAAAGGGTTGTTCACTTACTCTCAGGGCTTACATTCCACATACTGCAATGGATCTCACATCTTTTTTTTTTTTTTTTAAGACAGGTTCTCACTCTGCTGCCCAGGCTGGAGTGCAGTGGCACTATCACAGTTCACTGCAGCCTTGACTTCCAGGGCTGAGGTGATCCTCCCACCTCAGCCTCCCCAGTAGTTGGGACCACAGGTGCATGCCACCACACCTGGCTAATTTTTTTATATAGAGACAGGGTTTCACTATGTTTCTCAGGCCAGTCTCAAACTCCTAAGCTCAAGTCATCTGCCCACCTTGGCCTCCCAAAGTGCTAGGATTGCAGTTGTGAGCCACCATGCCCGGCTTCCTTCATCTTTATACTCTCCATTCCCCTCTCTTCATGCAGCTCCTCCCCATTCATAAATGCTTATGGTTTTTTCATTTAAAAAAATTTAAGGCTGGGTGCGGTGGCTTACTCCTGTAATCCTAGCACTTTGGGAGGCTGAGGCGAGTGGATCACTTGAGGTCAGGCGTTCCAGACCAGCCTGGCCAACATGGTGAAACCCCATCTCCACTAAAAATACAAAAATTAGCTGGGTGTGGTGGTGCATGCCTGTAATCCCAGCTACTCCGGAGGCTGAGGCAGGAGAATCGCTTGAACCTGGGAGGCAGAGGTTGCAGTGAGCAGAGATCATGCCACTATACTCCAGCCTGGTTGACAGAGCCAGACTCCATCTCAAATAAAAAAAAAATTTAAAAAGGAAAAGAGAGAAAGAAAGAAGAAAAATGGGAAGAAGGGAAGAATGACGAGAGTCAGTGAGGGAGGGAAAAAAGAGAAAGAAAAAGACAGAGAGAGACGAAAAGAAAGGAACCTCCCTTGAGGTTACTGCCTCAACTAACTGCTCTCTCTTCCTGCCAGGCTCAGCTAATGACGGTGATCAACATGTCCTGCTTCTAGTTCTGCACATGTTCTACTCTAAGTTACTGAAATCATATTTTGGCTTCTACTGATCCTCTCAATCTACTTTCAAAAAGGCCATCAGCAGTGTCCTAAACAGCCAGTCCCAAGAGCACCACATTCATCATTACCTTACATGGCCATCTTGCTGCCAACCATTATTTCCTTCTAAGACTCTGTCCATTGCTCCCTTTACTCACTCATCTGCTAACCTCTAACTGTGTTCTGTCTTCGCTGTCCACCTTCCACTGATACGCTGATTATCTTTAGGGTTCCTCCCTCAGTTCCTTCCTACATACTCTTATCCACAATGTATGTGCTGATGACTCCCAAAGATGTTTAGCTCTAACTCATACTTCTCTCAGAACTCTAGAACTTGTCCCAAACACCATAGATTCTTCTCCACTGAATTGGACTTCTATGTTTCCTCCACTTCTAAGACAGCATCTTGCTCTCATTACTCCTACATCTTACATTCGTCTCATTCCTCCTTAAATGCTTTGTCAGTGTAATGAATTATCTCTTTCTGAATTACTAATCTCTTATTTATACTCCCATCTAAGATTTAGCCCACTTTCTTTTCTTTTTCTTTTGTTTTTGAGACGGAGTTTCGCTCCTGTTGCCCAAGCTGGAGAGCAGTGGTGCGATCTTGCCTCACTGCAACCTCCGCCTCCCGTATTCAAACGATTCTCCTGCCTCAGCCTCCCAAGTAGCTGGGATTACAGGCACATGCCACTACGCCCAGCTAATTTTTGTGTTTTTAGTAGAGACGGGGTTTCATCATATTGGTCAGGCTGGTCTCAAACTCCTGACCTCGTGATCCGCCCGCCTCGGTCTCCCAAAGTGCTGGGATTACAGGTGTGAGCCGATTTAGCCCACTTACAAAAAAAAAAAAAAAAAGCCCTTAATTTATCTCCACACCTCTCTCATCTCACTTCCACCCAATTTTATCACCAAAAGCTGAAATTTTTACTCATGGATGGACATCGGGAATTCTATAGTCTAAAGCAGTGTTTATGTGCATGTATATTTTCCTGGAGAGCACATAGTTATCATTATATTCTCAAACAAGTCCATGTCCCAAAAGTTACTGGGAGATGATGACTTACAGGATAATGTAGACATAAAATCTTTCATGGTCTGCTCCTCCACTCCCCAAACTCATTTCTCAATATAAGCTTCAATCACATTGACTAACTGGCAGTTTCTAAATATATTATATTCTTTATTTATTTTTAGTAGAAACAGGGTTTCACCATGTTGGCCAGGCTGGTCTTGAAGTCCTAACCTCAGATGATCTGCCCACCTTGGCCTCCCCAGGTGCTGGGAATACAGGCATGAGCCACTGCAACTGGCCATCATATTTTTTATTTCCCTGTGTTTGTACTGACGACTTCCACAACTGGTAAGCTCTTCCTCAGAACGTGTAATCTTCTCTTAAGTTTCCCTAAGCTATTCCAATATAGATTCTTCCCATATATTTTCATAGCTTTTCTTACTCTTTTTTTTTTTTTTTGAGACGGAGTTTCACTCTTGTTGCCCAGGCTGGAGTGCAATGGCACAATCTCAGCTCACCGCAACCTCTGCCTCCCGGGTTCAGCGATTCTTCTGCCTCAGTCTCCCGAGTAGCTGGGATTACAGGCATGTGCCACCACGCCCAGCTAATTTTGTATTTTTAGTAGAGACGGGGTTTCTCCATATTGGTCAGGCTGGTCTCGAACTCCCGACCTCAGGTGATCCGCCCGCCTCGGCCTCCCAAACTGCTGGGATTACAGGCATGAGCCACCGCGCCTGGCCTTCTTACTCATTTTTAGTTGAGTAGGCTAGATGGATTTTGTTTTTGCATTCCAAGGTGAGTATCTGACATGTATTAAAAACTCAAATGTGTGTTTTTTTCCTTTAGAACAAGTCTCTAAAATTGAGGCAGAAATCAGGTCCTGACTTGTCAGATGCTTTGTTAAGGCTAAGAACTAGCCACATTTAGGCACAGCACGGTGGCTCATGCCCTTAATACCAGTACTTTGGGAGGCCGAGTTGGGTGGATGTCCTGAGGTCAGGAGCTTGAGACCAGCCTGGCCAACATACTGAAACCCTGTCTCTACTAAAAATACAGAAATTAGCCGGGCACGGTGGCTCACACCTGTTATCCCAGCACTTTGGGAGGCCGAGGCGGGCGGATCATGAGGTCAGGAGTTTGAAACCAGCCTGACCAACATGGTGAAACCCTTTCTCTACTAAAAATACAAAAATTAGCTGGGCGTGGTGGTGCATGCCTGTAATCCCAGCTGAGACTCGGGAGGCTGAGGCAGGAGAATCGCTTGAACCCAGGAGGCAGAGGTTGCAGTGAGCTGAGATCATGCCACTGCACTGCAGCCTGGGCGAGAAGAGCAAAACTCCATCTCAAAAAAAAAAAAGAACTAGCCACATTTATTGAGTTGTAATTCACTAGTGAGTTCTTCTTGCATCCTATTTTTGCCTGATCTATGTGGCAAATTAAGAAGACAGCATGTTCGCCCTCTGCTTTCTACTGTTAAATTATTTAGAAATCCATCTATACACCTACTTTTCTGTGTGCCATGCTTAACAAGATACATAAGGGTTACCTCTTAGCACAGTCGGGGCATAACATATTATCTTCTATGCCTGGGGATGGGAAAATGCAGGCAGGTAACAAGAAGAGAGAAATCATCCTCCTGTGAGTGGTAGGCACCCAGGCCTGACCTGCATGAAACTGCAGGCGTACCCAACCCTTTGTGTCTGCCGAGAGAAGTCTGCCATGGACCACACACCACCTGACGCCTGGAAAGGAAAAACAAATATAGACAGCAAAAATCAAGATAGCACCCCAACACAACCTCTCAGCAAGTCACTCTTGAATTTGCTCTTGTATTCTGCTCACAAATCAATTGAATGAGATGCATGAAAACCTAGACCACATGACACTATGATCTAATTTCACAAGTTACATAACACAAAGAATAGTAATTGTTGCTGGCTAGGCGCGGTGGCTCACGCCTGTAATCCCAGCACTTTGGGAGGTTGAGGCGGGAGGATCATCTAAGGTGGGGAGTTTGAGACCAGCCTGACCAATGTGGAGAAACCTCATCTCTACTAAAAATGCAAAATTAGCTGGGCATGGTGGCACATGCCTGTAATCCCAGCTACTCGGGAGGCTGAGGCAAGAGAATAGCTTGAACCCGGAAGGCAGAGGTTGTGGTGAGCTGAGATCACACCACTGCACTCCAGCCTGGGTGACAAGAGCAAAACTCCATCTCAAAAAATAATAATACTAATAATAATAAAATAAAATAAAATAAAAAATAATGGTTGCCATTTTGAAATGCTTGTTTTGTGTCCAATATTTTGCTAGGTGATTTATGTGTATTAATACATTTACTCTTAAGTACACTATTAATATTTACCTTCTATTTGCTTTTCTTATTATTTCTTATTCACAGGTGAGATAAACGAAGCTTATGGTGTTAAATATCATAAGTTACTCAGAGCCAAGTCATGGATCCAGGTATTCTGACTGACTTACAGTCCATTTACCTAACCACTACATTGTACTGCCTCAGCTATAGGAAACAGACAAGCGTCTGTTTAAAAGTGTAAGGAACAGGCTGGGCGTGGTGGCTTACGCCTGTAATCCCAGCACTTTGGGAGGCATAGGTGGGTGGATCACCTGAGGTCAGGAGTTCGAGACCAGCCTGACCAACATGGCGAAACCCCATCTCTACTAAAAATACAAAATTAGCTGGGTGTGGTGGCACGCGCCTGTAATCCCAGCTACTCAGGAGGCTGAGGCAGGAGAATCGCCTGAACCTGGGAGGCAGAGGTTGCAGTGAGCTGAGATCACGCCATTGCACTCCAGCCTGGACAACAAGAGTGAAACTCCATCTCAAAAAAAAAAAAAAAAAACGCGTAAGGAACAATTTAAGTAGGGAGATGTGATATTTGCAAGAAAACAAGCAGTACTCTTATGGAACGTCTGAAATTGAGAGAAAGTCAGTATTCTGAAAGACCTACAGCCCATTTACCTAACCACTACATTGTACTGCCTCAGCTACAGGAAACAGACAAGTGTCTGTTTAAAAGTGTAAGGAACAATTTAATTAAGGAGACGGGATATTTGCAAGAAAATAAGTGGTACACTCATGGAACGTCTGAAATTGAGGGAAAGGAGCAGTCACAGTGAATTTACATATCTGTAAATAAGCAGTACATGTAGTGTGATAGCTCCCCGATTAGACTGTGAAACAAGAGAAGATGTGTGTGTTTAGCACAGTATATACCCAGCAGCTAGACATACCTCTGGACCACAGCAGATGCTTAACAATTGCAGAATGAAGAGAAATATAAAATGATAAGTCACTGTGGGATAATAGTAACTCATACAGCATATTATTAAAAATTAGAAAGAGGTGTCCTCTTTGGGAAGGCAGTGCCCCCAGGCACACAGCTTTATGGCTGGACAATGCCTTTGCACAAATTATTAAAAGGTGCCCACTGTCCCCACATAAACGAATGTAGCTTGAAGAGCAGAGGATATGCCAATTTCAACTTCAAGTCTTCCTTCTGGCTGGTTTCCTTGTATGATGAATAATGTGTCCTACCA
This sequence comes from Homo sapiens, assembly GCF_000001405.40. Lineage (NCBI taxonomy): Eukaryota > Metazoa > Chordata > Mammalia > Primates > Hominidae > Homo > Homo sapiens. The sequence continues at coordinate 109,306,490 of NC_000003.12, forward strand.
TACTAGTTAGCTGGAATAAAATAGGATCTAGAATACTTCTGGAAATGGGAAAATGGGGGAGTAAAAAAAGGATTCAAGCCAAAAAGGAAGGTGACTTGAGATAGCAGACCCTGGAAATAAAAGCAATAGCAAGAAAAGAAGAGCAGGAGTTGGAGAAAAGTGGAGTTAAGTTATCCTCAAGATTTCTTAGAGGGCCCCAGGCGCGGTAGCTCACGCCTGTAATCCCAGCACTTTAGGAGGCCAAGGCAGGTGGATCACCTGAGGTTGGGAGTTCGAGACCAGCCTGACCAACATGGAGAAATCTCGCCTCTACTGAAAAAAAAAAAATACAAAATTAGCCAGGCATGGTGGCGCATGACTGTAATCCCAGCTACTCGGGAGGCTGAGGCAAGAAAATTGCTTGAACCTGTGACCTCAGGTGATTCACGTGCCTTGGCCTCTCAAAGTGCTGGGATTAAAAGCGTGAGCCACTGTGCCCGGCCAAGATTTTTTTTTTAAAGACAGAGTCTGGATCTGTCTGTCAGGCCAGAGTGCCATGGCACAATCTCAGCTCACTGCAACCTCTACCTTCTGGGCTCAAGCCACTCTCCCACCCCAGCCTCCTGAGTAGCTGGGACTACAGGCACACACCACCATGCCCGGCTTTTTTTCGTATTTTTTGTAGACAGGGTATTTCACCATGTTACCCAGGCTGGTCTCTAACTCAGGAGCTCTAGCAATCCTCCCACCTCGGCCTCCCAAAGTTATAGGCATACAGGCATGAGCCACCAAGCTCAGCCACTACTATTCTATGAAACATGTAAATCTTCATTTTATATAACAGGATACTTGGCCGGGAGCAGTGGCTCACACCTGTAATCCCAACACTTTGGGAGGCCGAGGTGGGTGGATGGTCTGAGGTCAGGGGTTCGAGACCAGCCTGGCCAACATAGTGAAACCCCCTCTCTACTAAAAATACAAAAAATTAGCTGGGCGTGGTGGTGGGTGCCTGTAATTCCAGCTACTCAGGAGGCTGAGGCAGGAGAATTGCTTGAAACTGGGAGGCAGAGGTTGCAGTGAGCCAAGATCGCGCCATTGCACTCCAGCCTGGGCAACAAGAGCGAAACTCCATCTCAAAAAAAAAAAAAAAAAAAAAAGAACAGGATACTAAGGCTTAAAGTAAGTAACTTGCCAATGTCACATATCCAGGAAATGGTAAAGCAAGAATTTGAACCAACACATTCCTCTTATTCACTATGTCATAAATGCCTTAAGGAAGAGAGAAAGAAAAGGGGAAGACCTCAGACTGTGGTCCAAGATTATCAGGTTATGCTTAGTGATGGAAAAGGGCCACTACTCAGTCACCTGATTTAGAGACCCATCCAGACACAACATGACTATCCATCAATATGACAGATAGAAGAAAGATGTCCCATGTGAATCCAATTTCTAATCTTCAGATATTTTAGCAAATGCCTTCCCTTTGACCACGTTTCAGTCTTGGACTAATAAAAGTTAACCTTGTCCTCTGGAGTGGGACTCACACTTTAAGGTTGATCTTACCAGAGGCTTGCATCAAAAAGGCCTCAACAGAAACAGGAATGGAACATGAATTCAAAGCCTTAGGCTGAACAGCTCTTGCAGCAATTCTTGCCCATGATGCCAACATGGCTCCCGGTGCTGAAGTTATCACTTCAACTGTATTGGTCTCTTCTGCTCTCTCATTCATCTCATAACTTCTCTGAAGCCTTGCTCTCTTGGTCACTGCCTTGCGTTTCCTCGAACATCGCTGTAATCTGGTCTCTTGTGACATTTCAGGCATATCCTGCAAATGAAATTCACGATGAGTATTCAGTAAACCGCTAGGGCTGTAAGGACTTTTGGGTCAATTTTATTATTCTTTTTTTTTTTGAGACGGAGTCTCGCTCTTGTTGCCCAGGCTGGAGTGCAATGGCACGATCTCGGCTCACCGCAACCTCCGCCTCCCAGGTTCAAGCTATTCTCCTGCCTCAGCCTCCCTAGTAGCTGGGATTATAGGCATGTGCCACCATGTCCGGCTAATTTTGCATTTTTAGTAAAGACGGGGTTTCTCCATGTTGGTCAGGCCGGTCTCGAACTCCTGACCTCAGGTAATCCACCCGCCTCGGCCTCCCAAAGTGCTGGGATTACAGGCATGAGCCACCACACCCGGCCAATTTTATTATTCTTTGTACTGACCTGAACATGTATGTCAATGTGGGAAGGGTTTCGGAATATTAGTTCCCATAAACTGTAAATTCTCCACTGGGAGAAATTTTGGGTTGTTGAAACTGTGCAGGGGGAGGAAAGGTTGCAACTGACATCCAGCTGGTAGAGGCTGGGGATGCTGCAAAACATACTACAATGTACAGGGCAGCCCCCAAAACAAACAAAAAATTATTTGTTCCGAAATATCAATAATGCCACAGTGAAGAAACCCTGCCTTAGAGGTACAACACATAGATATGGTGCGACGGTAGGGACCGGACGAATCATGATCAGAACCCACCTTCACACCATCAACACACTCATTACTCACTTGCCGTTGTTCAGGGTAAGCATGCCTATGAAGCCTCAGATAAACTTCGATTTTCTTAGGAAATGAAGAGAGAGATTAAGTTAAAAGTTGACAAAGACTCCCATAATTATTCCCAGCAGCAGATATTCACCCAAGTGTACTAACCTTGCCATTAGTACTCAAACCGAGTTGTTGACACCAGTCCCGCAAAGTGTCCCGACACACCTTATTAATGGGAGGCAAAATGGTCGGCAAGGGAAGGGCTGGTATTTTGCATCTAGCTTTTTGTGGAGCTGTAAATTGCTCATTTGTTTGAAGTAGATGACCTAAGACAAGAATGGAACCAAAGTAGTAATAATTTAAAGTTGGCAAGATTATTTTAAAATTTTACAAAGATCTAGGGTCGGGCACGGTGGCTCACGCCTGTAATCCCAGCACTTTGGGAGGCCGAGGTAGGCAGATCACGAGGTCAGGAGATCGAGACCATCCTGGCTAACATGGTGAAACCCCGTCTCTACTAAAAAAATACAAAAAACTTAGCCGGGCGTGCTGGCGGGCGCCTGTAGTCCCAGCTACTTGGGAGGCTGAGGCAGGAGAATGGCATGAACCCGGGAGGTAGGGTTTGCAGTGAGCCAAGATCATGCCACTGCACTCCAGCCTGGGCGACAGAACAAGACTCCGTCTCGTCTCAAAAAAAAAATTTTACAAAGATCTTTTCACATTTCTCACAACCCAATTTGCATATACACATATCAATTTTTATTTCTCATATTAAAAATGAGGTAACAAGGCCGGGCACGGTGGCTCACACCTATAATCCCAGAACTTTGGGAGGCTGAGGCAAATTCGCCCAAATTACTTGAGGTCAGGAGATCGAGACCAGCCCGGCCAACATGGTAAAACCCCGTCTCTACTAAAAATAGAAAAATTACCTGGGCATATGGCCAGGCATGGTGGCTCATGCCTGTAATCCCAGCACTTTGGGAGGCCGAGGTGGGTGGATCACCTGGGAGTTTGAGACCAGCCTGACCAATATGGAGGAACCCTGTCTCTACTAAAAAAAAAAATTCAAAATTAGCCAGGTGTGGTGGCACATGCCTGTAATCCCAGCTACTAGGGAGGCTGAGGCAGGAGAATCGCTTGAACCTGGGAGGCGGAGGTTGTGGTGAGCCAAGATCGCGCCATTGCACTCCAGCCTGGGCAACAAGAGTAAAACTCCGTCTCAAAAAAAAAAAAAAAAAAGAAAAATTACCTGGGCATGGGGGTGCACACCTGCAATCCCAGCTCCAGCTACTCAGGAGGCTGAGGCAGGAGAATTGCTTGAACCCAGGAGGCAGAGGCGGCAGCGAGCTGAGATCACACCACAGCACTCCAGCCTGGGCAATACAGTGAGACTCTGTCTCAAAAAAAAAAAAAAAAAAAAAAGGGAGGTAAGAGATTCAGGTATTTAAAGACTTGCCCATTATAATAGCAGACCTGGGACTCAAACCTATGTAGGTTTTTTTTGTTGTTTTTTTTTGAGACGGAGTTTCGCTCTATTGCCCAGGCTGGAGTGCAGTGGCGCGATCTCAGCTCACTGCAACCTCCGCCTCCTAGGTTCAAGCAATTCTCCTGCCTCAGCCTCCCGAGTAGGTGGGACTACAGGCACGCGCCACCATGCCCAGCTAATTTTTGTATTTTTAGTAGAGACGGTGTTTCACTATGTTGGCCAGGCTGGTCTCGAACGCCTGACCTTGTGATCTGCCCTCCTTGGCCGCCCAAAGTGCTGGGATTACAGGCATGAGCCACCGCACCCAGCTTGCTTTGTTTTGTTTTGAGACAGGGTCTTGCTCTGTCACCTAGGCTGGAGTGCAGTGGTGCGATCTCGGCTCACTGCAACCTCCACCTTCCAGGTTCAAGTGATTATCATGCCTCAGCCTCCTCAGTAGCTGGGACTACAGGCTTGTGCCACCATGCCTGGATAATGTTTGTATTTTTTGTAGAGACAGGGTTTCTCCATGTTGGCCAGGTTGGTCTTGAACCCCTGGCCTCAAGTGATCAGCCCTCCTTGGCCTCCCAAAGCACTGGGATTATAGGTGTAAGCCATCATGTCCGGCCTCAAACCTATGTTTGGATTCTAAAATCCACGTTTCTTTTATGCTACATATAGCAGCCTGTTATTTTCTGTTGCCCTCAACAACCAACTGAATAGAACATTATGTTGGATTTATCCTCCAAAATGTCTAGATTTTGGACCACAAAATATCAGCTCTTCCTATAGAAATCAAAGAAACCATCACATTGTCTATCCCCAATCAACAATGGTCCACATCATTCTGTCAGCCTGAATCATTTTTCTCTACAGCTCCCCATTTCACCTCACTCTGCTTAGCTCTAACCCATCATTATTTACTTCATCTTGAAATCCTCATTATTGGCCTAGAAGATAAAATCCTTCTGAAAATACTTATTTGGGCCGGTCGCAGTGGCTCACGCCTGTAATCCCAGCACTTTGGGAGGCCAAGGTGGGTGGATCACCTGAGGTCAGAAGTTTGAGACCAGCCTGGACAACGTGGCAAAACTCCATCTCTATTAAAAATACAAACATTAGCTGGGCGTGGTGGTGGGCGCCTGTAATTACAGGTACTAGGGAGGCTGAGGCAGGAGAATCGCTTGAACCCAGGAGGCGGAGGTTGCAGTGAGCCAAGACTGCACCAATGCACTCCAGCCTTTGCAACAAGAACAAAACTCCGTCTCCAGAAAAATTTAAAAAAAAAAAGAAAAAAAACACTTATTTGATGCTTTTATAGGAAGCACTAAGACACTGAGCACAGATACAAAGGGTCATGATTTTAAGAGCTGCTATTCGTAATTACTTGCTAAGCAAAATACCAGATGTTTTCCAAAATTATTTAATCTTCGTAGGAGGCAAATATGTATTCATCTCGTTTTTATAGAAGAGGAGATTGAGCTTTATGTGTTGGGAATTTGAACTCATGTGGAGCTGGTCCAGAAGAGCACTCTCTGTCCAAAGCGCTCCCCATGCTTATTTTGTGTCTTAAAAGTAAGGCAGTACAGGCCAGGCGTGGTGGCTAATGCCTGTACTTTGGGAGACTGAGGCGGGCACATCACTTGAGGTCAGGAGTTCGAGACCAGCCTGGCCAACATGGTGAAAGCCCGTCTCTACTAAAAATACAAAAATTAGCCAGGCTTGGTGGCCCATGCCTGTAATCCCAGTGACTTGGAAGGCTGAGGCAGGAGAATCGCTTGAGCTCAGAAGGCGGAGGTTGCAGTGAGCCAAGACTGCGCCACTGCACTCCAACCTGGGTGACACGGTGAGACTCCATCTCCAAAAAATAAATAAATTAATTAAAGTATGGCAGTACATTGGGCTTAGCAAGCGAGAAGTATGAGAGTTTGCAAAATTTCTTAACACAGATTAACAAGGTGAGATTTAAGCTGGGTGTTGTATAGTCAGAGGATAGGAAAGACAAATCTTACTTTTTCCTGGGCTTCCCAGAGTTGTAGGAGTAACTAACTGAGCAATCCCTGTCCTCATACCTGGATTGTATTTCTTAGGCTTCTCCAGTTTGACATCAGAAGTTGAAGAAACGCTTGGTTCCATTTGTTCCATATTTGCGTCATCTTTAACTGGCACCAGTGTCAAAATCACACTTTCCTCATCATCTACTTCCCCCTCCAAGAAATTCTGGAAAGAGAAGTCAGTCACTGATTTTCATTTGATGCGGTACAACTAAACTGCTTGCTTTCAAGGCAAAAGTCATGAATAAGGAACTGAGAAGACAGTAGGTGGATGGAGAAAAGAATTACTGGGATTCCTAGAATGTGATGTTGATTAGCAGACCCTTTATTAAATAAAGGAAACATGGAAAAAAACGGGCAAAAGCCAATTTACATGTAGGTGTTAATGAAAGAGAAAATAGAAGGGTAGGGCTTGGGTTTAGAGAATTATTTCCCTCAGGGCCTTCCTCCTCATCAGCCAAAACACAAAATACTTTCATTAAGTCTCCTAAATCTGTATGGAGTGTGTTCCTGCCTTTCCATCTTCTATCACATGATTCCCAAGATTCCCAATTCCCATATCAAATTTCACAGCACAAGCAATAACCTCCTGTTATCCCCAAATCCACTGTAACTCTGCTATTTCTGCACCGATTGTTCCATGCTTGTTGAAAATTATTCAATGGCTTGTCATTGTTATTCTGGTTAATGACAAAACTCAAATTAGCTCACAGAGCTGTGTAGCTTACAAATTCTCCAACAGTCTGGTCCCTGCCTGCCTCTCCAGCTCATGACCTCTGAGCTTTCTGAGCTCCAGCCACACTGGGCTCATTTCAGCTCCAAGACCTGAGGAGAGTGTATCTGTTTTACTCTCTGTTGCTTTCACAGAAACACAGCAGTCTACACAGAGTAGGCATTCAATGTTGTTTTTATGATCTGATGAATAAAAGATAAAGTAGAAAAGCAGGTAGATAGAAAGAAACTAACATTTACTGGTTCTCTACAGTACACAGGCACTATGCTAGGTGTTCTTTATTTCTCAAATTTAATTCTCATAGTATACTTGTAGTAATTTATTAATTTTCCTGCTTTACAAATGAGGAAACTAAATGAGCAATGCCATAGAGTAACACAGGCTTGAGTATGGTTCTGAAGTTAGCTTTTCTTCTCAAATCCAAGGGTGAATAAACTCCATTCCAGTCCTATTGCAATATTCTCTTCTAGTGCTGATGCCACACTCCTGTCTCCTATTTAACCTCTTCAGTAGTTTCCCATTACTCTTAGTTTACTTCAAAATAACACTGACATTATTTAGGGAATACTACTCTATTACAGAGAAAAGTAGGGGCTCAAAGCAGCTATGTGACTTCCCCATAATCATATAGCTAATATTGGCCAATTCAGTCCTTTAGCCAGAGGACGGGTACAGTGATGCCTGTAAATACACTATGACACCTCCTCTAGTTTCTCATAGAGCCAGGACTACCCAAGCCTAATCTTGAAACTCATTTGGTACCAAGGCCACTGGGAGTAGATATTTCCTACTCTGAAAGAAAGTAACCAATTGGTCACTTTACTTTATGACTTTATCCACATTACCGCCTTCACTTTCTTTTCACCTTTGCTTTTAAAAAAAAACTTATTTTTAATTTTTAATTATCTTTTCTCTAATATTATTATTCTCCATGCCATTTTTATTTATTTATTTTTACCATTTTTATCTTGTCCAGCTATAGCACTTCTCATCTTTCCTACCAAAGAAATATTTTCCTTTGGACTAAGAGGAGAAAATTTTACTTCTTTTTACTCTCATCCAAATGCACATAAAAGCACAATCACATGAAAGAAAACTAACAATCTATTTGCAAAGAAGAGGAGGTTTCAAGATGGAGATTTCTTACATCCAGGAATGAAGATTTGTGGTAAAAGAGAAACATAAGGGAGACCTAGAAAGACTCTGAAAAGCGACTGTGAGAAAAGTAATTCTATTAGAATGAAACTTACCTTCTTGCTGCTATCCAAATTTGCATCTGACATTTTCAGCAACACCCTGGGGAAGGCAAGGACAGCAATGTTAAGGATATGGTAGTTTACTTCTCTTAACCTGCTTTCTCCTTTTATAAGCAAATGTTTCCTTCTACTTCCTGTTACCCAGATGAGCTCTTGTTTTCCTTTCCTCCTCTTTTTGCCCTCCCTCATTTTCTGGTAATGGGATAATTTTATCAATTTTATACCCTGTCTTGTCCATTCAGTGACAATGTTTTTTTAAAAATTAGGCTGGGTGCGATGGCTCATGCCTGTAATCCCAGCACTTTGGGAGGCCCAGGGGGGGCGGATCGATTGAGTCCAGGAGTTCGAGATCAGCCTGGGAAACATGGCGAGACCCCCATTTCTACAAAAAAACACAAAAATTAGGCGGGCGTTGTGGCGAGCGCCTGTAATCCCACCTACTCGGGAGGGGTTGGTGGGAGGACTGCTTGAGCCCAGGAGGCGCAGGTTACAGCGATCCGAGATCGCACCACTGCACTCCAGCTTCGCGAGACTCTGTCTCAACAAGTGAAAGAAGGAAAGAAAGAAGAAAAAAAAATAGGTGAAACTTGAAAGAAAACTGAAAATGACAAACACTTGTTGACAAGTTCCAATGGAATGAACAGAATGTTTTAGAACAGTTATAAGACGATATTGGTAACAAATTACTTATTACGAAGGGAATGGAAAAAAGATTCAGAGCATTTTACGCAGGTATTTTATACCTGATTTATGCACGGGGGTATGTTACTCACTGAAAGATTCCAGATTTAAATTGTGGGGGTTGGATAACATAATCTCTCTTCGATCTAGTTCTAAATACAAATATTAAGCCTGCAATAATATTGAGCTGGTTGGAGGAGAAGGATTTGGCTGTTCAGAATAGCAACAAGAGCCAAAACACCAAGGCAAGTGGTGGAGTAACGAAGGCAGAAGGAACGATGCACTTAGGAATTGCTGGAGCCTAATGTTGGACACGGAATGTGGCAAAATATGAAGCAGGTGTTCTCATAGGTCACTCTAAGAAGCCAGAGCAACTAAAGGAAATTTCATTCACCAATAATATGGCAGCACTGGACAACCAAGTACCTTTACAATGGGCTTTTTCTGTCCCTGGGAAAATGATTTGGTCCATTAATCTCAGGACCCAGGGTGACCATGGTCCATTTAAGTTACTAGTGTATTTAACACATTCAAAATATTGTCTGGACCTGGCACGGTGGCTCATGTCTGTAATCCTTTGGGAGGCCTTTGGGAGGCCGAGGAAGGACGACCACTTGAGTCCAGAAGTTCGAGACCAGCCTGGGCAATATAGTGAGACCTCATCTCTATGAATAAATAAATAAATAAATAAATTTACAAAAGAAAAAAATGTAGTCTGAAAAAGCTCAGCTTCAGTTTACTGAGGAACTGATTGGAAAAATAAATTATGAGGCCCCACCCCACCACCCAAGACATCCTGAATCAGATCATGGAGGGTGAGGCTGAGGGGCTGAGGAATCTGTGCTTCCACAAGCCCTCCAGGTAATTTTTTCTTTTTTTCTTTTTTTAGACAGGCTCTGACGCCCAGGCTGGAGTGCGGTGGCGCGATCATAGCTCACTGCAGCCTCGACCTCCTGGACTCAAGCGATCTTCCCACTACAGCCCATGCCGTCCCACCCCCGCCCCTCCCCCCACACTCCAGTAGTTGGGATTACAGGCCCGCGCCACCACGCCCCGCTAATATTTAAATTTTTTGTAGAGAGGAGACCTGGGATGGAAGGAGATTGCGGGGACGGAGAGGATGTGGGTAGGGGGCCTCACTGTGTTGCCCAGGCTGGTCTTGAATTCCTGGCTGAGTTCCCAGACTCAAGTTGATCCTCCCTCCGCAGCCTTCGGAGTGGGTGGGACTACAGGCCTGCACCGCCACGCCCAGCCCTCCGGACGATTCTTAAGCTCCTGAAGTCTAGAAGCCTTAGCTAGATCAGGCCATAAACAAAGGGCTTTGGAGACAGGCAGTCCGCGGCAGATAATGATCGGAATTCCGGCTCCTCCCTTCCAGGGTGGAACCTGAATGCAGCCCTCTAAGATGCAGCCAGGAAAGCACTCCGCCTACCCGGTTGGGTGTGGCCCCTGGTGCTTTGAATGGGCAATTTAGAGGAAAGCTGACCTAATGGCCTGAGTTGATCCTAATGCCTTAGGTAGGGACAGGATTTCGAGTGGGAAGACCATTTCATTACCATGTTTTCTTTTCTTCATTGCATTTTTTACAATATAATCATTTTAGGCCGGGCGCGGTGGCTCACGTCTGTAATCCCAGCACTTTGGGAGGCGGAGGCGGGCGGATCACCTGAGGTCAGGAGTTCAAGACCAGTCTGGCTAACATGGCGAAACCCCGTCTCTACTAAAAATACAAAAATTCGCCGGGCATGGTGGCACATGCCTGTAATCCGAGCTACTAGGGAGACTGAGGCAGAACAATCGCTTGAACCCGGGAGGCGGAGGTTGCGGTGAGCCGAGATTGCGCCATTGCACTCCAGCCTGGGCAACAAGAGCGAAACTCCGTCTCAAAAAAAAAAAAAAAGTAAGAAAATCTATGAAAATCTATGGGAAGAATCTATATTGGAATAGCTTAGGGAAACTTTAGAGAAGATTACACTTTTTGAGGAAGAGCTTACCAGTCGTGGAAGTAGTCAATACAAACAGGGAACAGACTCCCTAGCTACTCGGGAGTCTGAGGCACGAGAATCGCTTGAACCCAGGAGGTGGAGATTGCAGTGAGCCAAGATCACGCCACTGCACTCCAGCCTGGGCGACAGAGAGAGACTCTGTCCCCCCAAAAAAAAAAAAAAAAAAATCTTATTTGTTTTCCTGGGGTTTTTTCCCCAGCTTTTTGAGAATGTTTTATTATGGGAAGGTTCAAACATGTACAAAAGTGTGTCTACTTTTTGTCATAGTAATTTACTTACAGCCAGTCTGGTTACATCTAAATTGCCGTCCATTCCTCCTCCATGGGTTATTTTGAAACAAGTGCCAGATCGCCTATGATTTCGTTCATAAATTCAGGGAAAAGGCCGGTGCCATGGCTCACACCTGTAATCTCAGCACGTCAGGAGGCCGAGGTGGCAGGAACAGTTGAGCCCAAGAGTATGAGACCAGCCTCGGCAAGATAGTGAGATCTCATTGTTACCAAAAAAATAAAAATGAAAATAAAAATAAAATAACCGGGCGTGTGGGTGTGGTGAGACATGCCTGTGGTCCTAGCTACTCAGGGGGCTGAGGTCAGAGGATCCCTTCAGCCCAGGAGCCCGAGGCTGCAGTGAGGCTGTCTCAATAAATAAATAAATAAATCCAGGGGGAAAAAATACTTCGTTCCTATTATAACTACGATATCCTTTTTACATCTAAACATAATTTAAAAAATCATTATTTAATATTATCAAAGTATTCAAATATATGTTATGTTCAAATATCCAGCAGTATTCAAAACTCCAATTATCTGGCTGGGCACCGTGGCTCACGCCTGTAATCCCAGCACTTTGGGAGGCCAAGGCAGGTGGATTACCTGATGTCAGGAGTTTGAGACCAGCCGGCCAACATGGAGAAACCCTGTCTGTACTAAAAATACAAAAATTAGCCAGGCATGGTGGCACGCACCTGTAGTTCCAGCTACTGGTGGGGGCTGAGGCAGGAGAATTGCTTGAACCCAGGTGGTGGATCTCAAAAAAAAACAACAAAAAAAAAACTCCATTTATCTTATATATTTTTCTCTTCCCTCATTTTCTTTTTTTTAACAATCTATTTGAATCAGCGTCCAATCAAGGTCTGTGATAAATTGAAATAGGCCTTAAATTTTTCTTTATAAGTTATCTCCATCTGTTTTTATTTATTTATTTTAGGATCTCACTATGTTACACAGGCTGGGCTTGAACTCCTGGGCTCAAGCAATCCTCCTGCCTCAGCCTCCTGAGTAGCTGGGATAACAGGCACATGCCATCACACGCAGCTTCCACTTCTTACCTCTTACAATTCACTGTTGTTGTTATTGTTGAAATAATTGTGTGAATTTCCTATAGTTTCCTATTTGAATTTTGCCAGTTCTTGTTTTACCCTTTAGTCTGTTCTAGCTTCTGTTGCCCAGGCTGGAGTACAGTGGTGCGACCACAGCTCACTACAGCCTTTACCTGCTGGGCTCAAGAGAACCTCCCACCTCAGCCTTCTGAGTAGCCATGGCTACAGGCATGTGCCACTGCGCCTGTCTAAATTTATTTTTTTGTACAGACGGGGTCGCACTATGTTGCCCAAGCTGGTCTCTCCCAGGCTCAAGCAGTCTCCCGCGTTGGTCTCCCAAAGTGTAAGGATTACAGGTGTGAGCCACCACACTGAGTCTGCTCTTTTAAGTTTTTAAGAAAAATATTATTTCTGTCCCTCTTCACTCATCTGACGCCTCGTTCTTTAAGCTTAAATGCATTTCCTAAGAGTAACCCTAAAAGAGATTCCTCTTGTCATTCTGTCATTCTAGTCCTTCAAAAAAAAATCATTTGAATCTGTAATTTTGTATGTATTTGGAATCTTACGGTAATTTCATCTCCTCAATTAGCAGGTTCTATGACAACAATGGCCAGGTTGGTTTCAGTCACCTTTCAGAGCCTTGCACTCTGGCTCAGAAGAGAAGCTCAATCAATACTAGAGGTTTTTGTTGTTGTTGTTTTCTCGAGATTGAGTCTAGCTCTGTCGCCCAGGGTGGAGTGCAGTGGCACGATCTCGGCTCACTGTAAACTCCACCTCCCGGGTTCAAGTGATTCTCATGCCTTAGCCTCCCGAATAGCTGGCGTTACAGGTGCCTGCCACCATGCCCAGATAATTTTTGTATTTTTGGTAGAGACGGGGTTTCACTGTGTTGGCCAGGCTGGCCTCGAACTCCTGACCTCGTCATCCACCCACCTCGGCCCCCCGAAGTGCTGGGATTACAAGCCTGAGCCACCGCACCTGGCCTATTTTTTTTTTTTTATTTTTTGAGACGGAGTCTCGCTCTGTTGCCCAGGCTGGAGTGCAATGGTGTGATCTTCACTCACTGCAACCTCTGCCTCCCGGGTTCAAGCGATTCTCCTGCCTCAGCTTCCCGAGTAGCTGGGATTACAGGCGCCTGCCACCACACCCAACTAATTTTGTATTTTTAGTAGAGATGGGGTTTCACCATGCTGGCTAGGCTAGTCTCGTACTCCCGACCTCAGGTGATCCGCCTGCCTCGGCCTCCCAAAGTGCTGGGATTACATGTGTGAGCCACCACATCCGGCCAATGCTAGGGTTATTAATATTGCCTGAACCTCCACATTTCTACCCCTTCCCACCCAACTCTGTTGTATAGCAGATGTCTGTTTCTTTGCTGCTGGTAAAGGATTTGGTGTAAATACTTATCACAGACTAATTTGACTATTTCTACCAGACTGTGGCACTCTGAAGTTCTCAGACACATCCTTATTCCCATGGGGCTCAGTAGAGTGTCCAGTTCGTAGAAGGCTCTTCATTAGGCCCCTAAAATAACTCTAAAACAGATACCACCAATTTTAGTTTGGGAATTAGTGTACGTATACTTCAAAGCTTAAAAGTAGCCACTAACAGGGGGCTGAACTATTAAAAACAACCTTCAAAAAAATCTTTTCAGCTGGGCACAGTGGCTCACGCCTGTAATCCCAGCACTTTGGGAGTCTGAGGCGGGCGGATCACGAGGTCAGGAGATCCAGACCATCCTGGCTAACAAGGTGAAACCCCGTCTCTACTAAAAATACAAAAAATTAGCTGGGCGTGGTGGTGGGCGCCTGTAGTCCCAGCTACTCAGGAGGCTGAGGCAGGAGAATGGTGTGAACCCAGCAAGCGGAGCTTGCAGTGAGTCGAGATCGGGCCACTGCACTCCAGCCTGGGGGACAGAGAGAGACTCTGTCTCAAAAAAAACAAACAAACAAACAAAAAAAAACCTTTTCTGAATACCTTTTTTCTTATTTATTCCAATAATAGACAATAGTCCTGAAATACAAATGCATTACTTTTTTTTTTTAATTTTTATTTTTTGAGAAGGAGTCTCACTCAGCTGCCCAGGCTGGAGTGCAGTGGCGCCATCTCAGCTCACTGCAACCACCATCTCCCAGGTTCAAGAGACTCTCCCATCTCAGCCTCCCAAGTAGCTGGGATTACAGGCACCCGCCATGATGCCCAGCTAGTTTTTGTATTTTAGTAGAGACAGGGTTTCACCATGTTGGCCAGGATGGTCTTGAACTCCTGACCCCAGGTAATCTGCCCGTCTTGGCCTCCCAAAGTGCTAGGATTACAGGCGTGAGCCACCGCGCCCGACAAAAATGCATTACTTTATTCAAATACATACTTTATTTTCTGTATTGTAAGGTAAATAAAAATGCATTGTATTTCTCATTTAGATAAGTGCTTTCAAAATCATTTTTATTTTTTTAAATTTAATCTTACCTTTTTTCAAAATAGCTTTTATTTATTTGTTTATTTTGAGATAGGATCTCACTCTGTTGCTCAGGCTCGGGTGCAATGGTATGATCAGGGCTCACTGCAGCCTCTCACTCCTGGGCTCAAGTGATCCTCTTGCCTCAGCTTCCCCAATAGCTGGGACAACATGCTCATGGCAACACACCCAGCTAACACTTTCTAAATCAGAGAAATATGTTCTTTTTTTGTTGTTGTTTTTGAGACAGAGTCTCGCTCTGTCGCCCAGGCTGGAGTGCAGTGGCGCAATCTTGGCTCACTGCAAGCTCCGCCTCCCGGGTTCAAGCGATTCTCCTGCCTCAGCCTCCCGAGTAGCTGGGACTAACAGGCGCCCGCCACAACCCCAGGCTAATTTTTTGTATTTTTAGTAGAGGTGGGGTTTCACCATGTTAGCCAGGATGGTCTTGATCTTCTGACCTCGTGATCCGCCCACCTCGGCCTCCCAAAGTGCTGGGATTACAGGCGTGAGCCACCAAGCCCGGCCAGAGAAATATGTTCTACAAAAATAGATGTTTATGGAACACCAATATATAATAGATAAAAGTGGAGCGACTCTGGTTGGGTTTTTTTTTTTTTTTTTTTTTTTTGAGGCGGAGTTTCATTCTTGTTGCCTAGGCTGGAATGCAATGGCGTGATCTCGGCTCACCACAACCTCCATCTCCCAGGTTCAAGCGATTCTCCTGGCTCAGCCTCCTTAGTAGCTGGGATTACAGGCATGCACCACTACGACTGGCTAATTTTGCATTTTTAGTAGAGACAGGGTTTCTCCATGTTGGTCAGACTGGTCTTGAACTCTCAACCTCAGGTGATCCACCCGCCTCGGCCTCCCAAAGTGCTGGGATTACAGGCATGAGCCACTGCGCCCAGCCGCATCTCATATATTTCAGTGAAAATACAGTATGGCACAGTCAGTTTGGAAAACAGTTTGGCAGTGCCTTGTCAAGCTAAATGTACACTTAATATATGGCCCAGCAATCTCCTTCCTTGAGTATTTAGCCCAAATGAGTGAAACTTCAATATTCAAACAACAAATTACAGAGAGGTTTATAGAAGACTTATTTGTAATCATCAAAACCTAAAAATAACCAAATATCCTTCAAGTGGTGAAGGGTTCACAAACTGTGGTACCTCCACAAAATGGAATAGCACTATTCATTAATGAAAAGGAGCAAACTAATGATACATGCAAAAACATGTATCAGTCTCAAATACATTACGTTAAATTAAAGAACTCAGGCTCATTACATTTTTACAACATCACGGAAAAGCCAAATAATTAAAATGAAAAATAGATCACTGGGGCCAGGCGTGGTGGCTAAAGCCTGTAATCCCAGCACTTTGGGAGGCCGAGGTGGGTGGATTACGAGGTCAGGAGATCAAGACCAGCCTGGCCAAGATGGTGGCACCCCGTCTCTACTAAAAATACAAAAACTAGCTGGGCGAGGTGGCTCAGGCTTGTAATCCCAACACTTTGGGAGGCCAAGGCCGGCAGATCACAAGGTCAGTTCGACACCAGCCTGGCCAACATAGTGAAACCTCATCTGTACTACAAATACAAAAATTAGCTGGGCCTAGTGGTGTGCACCTGTAGTCCCAGCTACTCAGGAGGCTGAATCAGTAGAATCACTTGAACCCGGGAGGCGGAGGTTGTGGTGAGCCGAGATCACGCCATTGCACTCCAGCTTGGGCAACAGAGCAAGACTCCATCTCAAGAAAAAAAAAAAGCCGGGCCCAGTGGCACATGCCTGTAATCCCAGCTACTCAGGAGGCTGAGACAGGAGAATGGCTTGAACCTGGGAGGCTGAGGTTGCAATGAGCCAAGACCTCGCCACTGCATTCCAGCCAGGGTGACAGAGTGAGACTCCGTTTCAAAAAAAAAAAAAAAGGCCAGGTTCGGTGGCTTATGCCTGTAATCCCAGCATTTTGGGAGGCCAAGGCGGACAGATTATGAGGTCAGGAGATGGAGACCATCCTGGCTAACACGGTGAAACCCCATCTCTACTAAAAATACAAAAAAATAGCTGCGTGTGGTGGCAGGTACCTGTAATCCCAGCTACTTGGGAGGCTGAGGAAGGAGAATCATTACAGGCGTGAGCTACCACACCCGGCCTGAAACAGGAGTTTGAAGGAAGAGCAGAATGTAGAAAGTTCTTAACCTTTGCATTCTAGTTAGAGCTGCATGACTTCTGGAATGGGGAGGAATTCTTGTCCAGTCTGTTTACCTCTTTAGAACCCTCCTTGGTGTTATAAACCCCCTGATGTATTGTGGTCCTCCTCCTTGTCATCTACCATGGAGATAAACAAGACTTCTTTCAATCTGTAGCTCTGACATGTACAGAAATATTAGGGGTAGAGTTATGTGACACAAACTATTTCCTCTTTAATTTCCAAACTAACCATTTTTTCTCCTTTGCAATAAAATTTAGAGTGAAATGCACAGATCTTGAGTGTACACTGTAATGAGCTTTAAAAAATGAGTAGCCAGGCCGGGTGCGGTGGCTCACGCCTGTAATCCCAGCACTTTGGGAGGCCGAGGCGGGCGGATCACCTGATGTCGAGTTCGAGACTAGCCTGACCAACAGGGAGAAACTCTGTCTCTACTAAAAATACAAAAAATTAGCAGAGAGTGGTGGCACATGCCTGTAATCCCAGCTACTCGGGAGGCTGAGGCAGGAGAATCACTTGAACCTGGGAGGCGGAGGTTGCGGTCAGCCAAGATCGAGCCATTGCACTCCAGCCTGGGCAACAAGAAACACTATGTCAAAAATAAAATAAAATAAAATAAATGATTAGCCAATTCCCCCAATCAAGATAGAAAATATTTCTATCACCAGAAAAATTCCTTTGGGGCTCTTCCAGTCAATTCCCATTACTTCCGCCCTTTGGAAAACCAGCTTTACTTTTTATCACCAAGATTAGCAATTCTTACACTCTTCTGCAGGACTTGTGAAAACACATTGCTGAACCACCCCCTGTGTCATTCAGTAGGTCTGAGATGAAGTAATATGCATTTCAAAGTTCCAGGCTAATATGGATGCTCCTGGTTTGGGGACTAAATGAGAATCACTGTCACATTTTATGGAAAACTTTTTTTTTTTGAGATGGAGTTTCGCTATTTTTGCCCAGGCTGGAGTGCAATGGCGGGATCTTGGCTAACTGCAACCTCTGCCTCCTGGGCTCAAGCGATTCTCCTGCCTCAGCCTCCCAAGTAGCTGGGATTACAGGTGTGTGCCACCACGTTCAGCTAGTTTGTATTTTTGGTAGAGACAGGGTTTCACTATGTTGGCTAGGCTGGTCTCAAACTCTGGATCTCAGGTGATCCGCCCCACTGGGCCTCCCAAATTGTTGGGATTACAGGTGTGTGCCACTGCACCTGGCCCTTTTTGTGTGTGTGGGACGGAGTCTCACTCTATTGCCCAGGCTGGAGTGCAGAGGCACAATCTTGGCTCACTGCAACCTTTGCCTCCCAGGTTCAAGTGACTCTCCTGCCTCAGCCTCCTAAGTAGCTAGGATTATAGGCATGTGCTACCACACCCAGCTAATTTTTTTTTTTTTTTTTTGAGATGGAGTTTTGCTTTTGTTGCCCAGGCTGGAGTGCAATGGCGTGATCTTGGCTCACCACAACCTCTGCCTCCCGGGTTCAACCAATTCTCCTGCCTCAGCCTCCTGAGTAACTGGAATTACAGGCATGTGCCACCACGCCCGGCTAATTTTTGTTTTTAGTAGAGACAGGGTTTCTCCATGTTGGTCAGGCTGGCCTTGAACTCCCAACCTCAGGTGATCCACCCCCTCAGCCTCCCAAAACGCTGGGATTACATGTGTGAGCCACCGCATCCGGCCAATTTTAGCTTTTTTTGAATACAGAGATTGTCCTCTCGTTACTCACTGCAAGATCCGCCTCCCGGGTTCACCCCATTCTCCTGCCTCAGCCTCCCGAGTAGCTGGGACTACAGACGCCTGGCTAATTTTTGTATTTTTAGTAGAGATGGGGTTTCACCTTGTCAGCCAGGATGGTCTCGATCTCTTGACCTCGTGATCTGCCCGCCTCGGCCTCCCAAAGTGCTGGGATTACAGGTGTGAGCCACCGCGCCTGGCCCTTTTTTTTTTTTTTTTTTTGAGGCAGGGTCTCTGCTCTGCTGCCCAGGCTGGAAGGGCAGTGGTGCGATCATGGCTCACTGCAGCCTCAACCTCCAGCTCAAGCAATCCTGCCATCTCGGCCACCCGAATAGCTGGGACTACAGTCCACAGGCCACCACAGCGGGCTAACTTTTGTACTTTGGTGAAAGGGTTTCAATATGTTGCTCAGGCTGGTCTTGAACTCCTGGGCTCAAGTCATCTGCCAGCCTCAGTCTCCCAAGTGTTGGGATTACAGGCGTGAGCCACTGCCCCTGGCCCCTGTGGCTCTTCACATATGGCTATGTCTAAGTGTCATTCAAAGCAAGGTAGACTCAATTAGCCTGAGACAACAGGTGTAATCAGGACTAATTGTTTCCTCATTATTAGATTTACATTATATTTTTGGCAATGATATTGTGTACTTCCCATTGTTTATCAGAAAAGACATTTTAGTTTGTAACATTCCTGGTGGTGCTAAGTTGGAATCCTTGGTTAAGGTGGCTGTAGCCAAATTCCAATTTTTACGTCAGTAAGCCCCATCGTGCCAAAATGTAGAAATTTTATTTCCATCAACAATATGTTCAGAAGCCCTGACCAACGTTTACCCTTGGAAGCTGCCATGTCCCTTTGGGGCCAAGAGAAATTTGCAAGGCTGGCTCCAGGTTTCCCACACCAGATACAATGTGGGCACAGACCTATTTGTACAAGTTATCTTAACATCCAGATGGGAAATTGGGAATATAAATCTCTTCTCTCAGCTCCCCCCAAAACAGCAAGATGTCATGCCTCTGCCAGGGAACTCATCTGAGACACAGGGAGTTTATAGCTCCAACTGTCTTCCTCTTAGCATTCTGGGAGCATAGCAGGGAGACAGGGAGTGGGGGACTGAATGTGATTGATAGGAACTTTGGGGGAGGCCTGTGAAAATTAGGGTGATTTGGCAAGTATGTAACCTTAAGGTTTTATCTTGCTGGGGCAGGAAGATGAGTAAATAAACTGTCTTACTGGTAGACTCCAATTATTAATTTATTTTGTATATAGAGAAATTTAAGTTTATTGAAATGTGTTAGAAGCAGGGGAAGTATCTACAAGCAGAATCGTAAAGCCAAGGACATTTCCAAATTAATAGAAAGGAAGGAAACAGAACAGAAACTTGACCCATCCAAATAAAGCAGGGGAGAAGTTTAAAAAGGAAACAAAAGGAACAATACACATAGTATAAGAAAAAATGTCTATTATTTATTACACAATAATTCTGACCACCAACAACCAACGGCGGGGGCGGGCAGGAGAGAAGAACATCTTGCTTCTCAACAAACTTTCCTCCCTTGCTTTAACATTTTTGAGGATTCTTTCCCAAACCTATTACACCTGTATTATGATGGTTACAAATTTTCCAACTCTTCCACTCCTTCCAGTGCATTATTTTTAGTATCTTCATTAAACGGGCAAAAAAAAAGATCCCCTACTTGTAATAACAAAACAATGTTGGAAACTGTCATTAAATCAGGATAAGTGAAAAACAGATCTGTTCCCAGACTCGCAGGACTATAAGTTTAGGAAGTACACAAAAAAATTAAAAATTAATTACACAATAGGATACATTAAATATGTGCAGCTTTTTGTATGTGAATCATACCTAAGTAGTTTTAAAAACAAATGATCCAACCCATACCACCAACTAATAAAGAACAAACGAGTCATACAAAAGAAAAATCACACTTTTTGGTTTACTCCTACTTGAGTTAAGAACACTAACAATAAAATTTGCATGCAATGAATATGGTTCTCTAAATACAACAGATGAATTATTTTACATACACATCTTATTTTTATTTATGGAGAATCGGTTAATAAACACATTTTAAATTCAATATATTATGTATTTATGAGCGGGAAGCAACCTTAAACATTTTAAACTCCAGAAATATACAAAACAATTATAAGTGAAATAATACAAAGTCCCTTGTGTTTTGATCCTGGAGTCAAACCATAGAAATCTCAGGTTATTAAGAGAACTTTGAAAAATATTGTTTAGAATATTAAAAATCATGTGTTTGGGGGAGGGAGGGAATTAACAGCCTTTCTTTGCCTTAAAATACTTTACGTTTTATGAAATTGCAATTGGAATGAAGCAGCTCCTAAAGTAGTCAGTGTTCAGAGGAAGAGAAAATTGAGCACAAGAGCCAACTACCATTTTACTCAAGTCCATCACAATGCTTAGCTGAAGAACTCACTTAAAAGAGCTGTTGAAGGTCAGGCGCAGGGGCTCATGCCCATAGTCCCAGCATTTTGGGAGGCTGAGGAGGGTGATCACTTGAGTCCAGGAGTTTGAGACCAACCTGGCCAACATGGTGAAACCCCATCTCTACTAAAAATACAAAAAATTAGCTGGGTGTGGTGGCAGGTGCCTGTACCTAGCTACTCAGGAGGCTGAGGCAGGAGAATCATTTGAACCCAGGAGGCGGAGATTGCACTGAACTGAGATTGCACCACTGCACTCCAGCCTGGGCAACAGTGAGACACTGTCTCAAAATACAACAAAAAAAAGCTGCTGCTGAAGTCATGTCTATTTTAGAAAAGTAGTATGAATGAGTTTTTCTACATATTAACTACAATTTATGGTAATTTGTGAAATGTTTTTCCATTTTTAAATGTAAGAGTCTCTATCTCCACTCACAAAGCAACAGGCACTGCTAGGGGTCTTAGGCTAACATCTGCCACCCCACCAGTCTGCATGGCCCATAAACAGGTGCAGAGGACCAGAGTTCACCTGTCAG
The DNA here is from genome assembly GCF_000001405.40 of Homo sapiens. Classification (NCBI taxonomy): domain Eukaryota; kingdom Metazoa; phylum Chordata; class Mammalia; order Primates; family Hominidae; genus Homo; species Homo sapiens. Next base: position 109,327,916 of record NC_000003.12, read on the forward strand.
CAGCACCGCAGAATCCAACTCTCCAGCTTTTCTGCCATTAATTACCATAGATGTGGCCTTTTTCCTGATATTCTATTCCCATTGGAGGCTTTTTATTAAGACCTTGTTCCTATAAAGCAAATAAAGTATTTGTTTTTAAAAAGAATGAAGAAATATTAAAAATAGCCAAGAAACCCGCTGCTGGAATGCTGTTGAAATTGCCCTTACAACTTTAGGATCATAGGTAGCAAGCCTGTGATCCTGTCATTCAAGAATGAAGATCATCAGCCAAGTTATCATGCCTCTGTAATATATTCCCTGACTTGTGCCAACCATGGACAGGAGGCCTTGGAGGGGCTCTTTTCATCACTTTCCCAAAAACCTAAGTATGTCATTAAAGGACTACCCAAAGTGACCTCCTCAGTTCTCTTCAACTTGCTTGGCATAGAGAGATTATCAAAACACTCACAGCAAAAAGTAGGATATCCCAAAGAAGGAAAAGCCAATCACACATTCACATACTTCCTCCTGTGGGAGATGGTCTTGCTACGTTTCCCAGGCTGAGAAATTACCGATCTCTCCTTTCCATCTAGTCGATTCTTCCCTTAACTTAAGGAACCTCTTCTTTGATATTCATCATGTTATTCTAGGTGTTTACATGCCCACCATCCCTGTTAAGACTGTAGGCTACTTAAAGGAAGAGGTTTTTTGCTAGTCATTATTTCTGTGTAGAGCATACACTTTGAATATAGTAATTATATAATGTTTGTTGCTCCCAGAATTCTGTGTCTCCAGGTAGAAGCATTAAACCCTGACACATAAATGCTTTCTTTTTCCTGGGGATAAACTTAACTGAGTAATAATTTTCTTGAAACTCTTTACTGACAATTTGAGCTTGAAATACCTGGCTATTTAAGATTAATGTATATCTTAACTTTCTGCAATTGAAAATCCGGCACCCACTTTTAGTTTGTAGAAAAGCATCAGGTAATTACCTGTGAACACATTTGGGGCACAACATATTGTCTTCAAGGTGCGGGGGTGGAAAATTGGAGGCAGGAAGCAAGAAGAGTGCACTCACTCTCCCTTCTTGCTTTTCTGGAACCCAGGCTTGACCAGCATGAAACTGCAGGTGAACCCAACCATCTGTGTCTGCAGGGAGACTTTTCCCATGGACCACACACCACCTGACACCTGGCAATGGCAAAGGAAAGAGACAGGTACCCGCACACCAGGATGACATACTGATGTAAGACTGCATTATGGCCCATCACCCTTGATTGACCAGCTCCAAGATGTGAACCCTGAAATCCTAACTTAACCTCTTCTCTATTCTGTTCTCCTTTAGAAAAGCATACAAGCTGGGCGCAGTGGCTCACGCTTGTAATCCCAGCACTTTGGGAGGCCGAGGCGGGTGGATCACGAGGTCAGGAGATCGAGACCATCCTGGCTAACACAGTGAAACCCCGTTTCTACTAAAAATACAAAAAATTAGCCAGGCGTGGTGGCGGGGGCCTGTAGTCCCAGCTACTCAGGAGGCTGAGGCAGGAGAATGGCGTGAACCCGGGAGGCGGTGCTTGCAGTGAGCCAAGATTGCACCACTGCACTCCAGCCTGGGTGACAGAGCGAGACTCCATATCAAAAGCAAAACAAAACAAAAAGCATACAAGACAGTTCCTGTTAAAACTTAAAAATCTAGTTGGAAGTAGTATAGTTGTAGGTGGGCAGATGGTAGAAAGACTAACCCAGAGTGTCTGGAAAGGGCTTCATGAAATAAGCTCAGGGGTCTCAGCTCTTAACACACATTGGATTATGCTAAGCAGTTTGTCTTCTTTTGTTGTACTTTCTGTAATTCTTCCAACATATAAGGTAGGTATTACCCATTTTACAATGAAAACGCTGGGAAATATTTTAAATAACTTATTAATGCCATTCTGGGGCTCAGTTGCAGGCAATTAATTTTAGACCTTGCCTTTAATTTAAATTGCTTAAAGGGTAAAGAAAGAAAACCAGACTGCTATCCCCTTCTGATGCCATCAATAATTTAGAGCAGTGGTTCTCAAACTGTGGTCCCCAGACCAGCATCCTTAGTACTGCCTGGGAAACTGTTAGAGATGCAAACTCTTGCCAGGTACGGTGGCTCACGCCTGTAATCCCAGCACTTTGGGAGGCCAAGGTGGGAGGATCATCTGAGGTCGGGAGTTCGAGACCAGCCTGACCAACATGGAGAAACCCCATCTCTACTAAAAAGACAACATTAGCCGGGCATGGTGGCACATGCCTGTAATCCCAGCTACTCAGGAAGGCTGAGGCAGGAGAATTGCTTGAACCTGGGAGGTGGAGGTTGCGGTGAGCTGAGATCGCGCCACTGCACTCTAGCCTGGGCAACAAGGGAGAAACTGTCTCAAAAAAAAAAAAAAAAAAAAAAAAAAAAAAAGGAAAAAAAAAAAAGAAATGCAAATAAATGCTCAGGTCCTGCCCTAGACCTGCACCAGAAACTCTGTGGGCAGGGTCCAGGAATCACCGGCCCTCAAAGGGATTTTGATATACCCTAAAATGTACCAGTGATTAATATCTACTAAGCTTATTTCCCCATTGGACCAGAATAAGCTCTTCATGTTGCGCTTACCAGAGGCCTCTTGTGGAGATTCCACTGCCTCTGGTGTCCTCGCCCTGGCTGAAATTCTCGCCCAGGAGGCCAGCAAAGCCTCTGGGGCAGAAGTTGTCACCACAACTGTATTAACTCCCTCAAGGAGAGCAGTGGAATTTTCCAGGGCAGGCGGCTCCCCCACAGGAGGAAGAGCCACTTCAGGAGGATGTGTCTCAGAACTTTGCAGGGACGTTTCCCCCTTTTCCACCTTTAATTTTTTTTGCAATGATTTCCGGATTTTGGCCTCTTTTGCTGTGCTAGGAAAATCCTACAAAAAGGGTTAAATAATAAAGATAAAAATACAGATTAAAATTCTAACAAAAATGGCCTAAGGAGCTCTTGATCAAATACAAAGTTTCACTTAGGAGGACTAGGTTCAAGAGATCTATTGTACAAGTTGGTAACTATACATAGTTAATAACAATGTACTGTCTTCTTGAAAATTGCTCAGTTGGCCACCCAGTGGCTCAGGTCTGTAATCCCAGCACTTTGGGAGGCCAAGGTGGGTGAAACACTTGAGGTCAGGAGTTCGAGACCAGCCTGGCCAACATGGTGAAATCCCGTCTCTACTAAAAATACAAAAATTATCCAGGCATGGTGGCTCATGCTTGTAATCTCAGCTACTCCAGGGGCTGAGACAGGGGCATCACTTGAACCAGGGAGGCAGAGGTTGCAGCCTGAACTGCAGCCTAAGTGACAGAGGGAGACTCTGTCTCAAAAAAAAAAAAAAAAAAAAAAAAGAAAGAAAAGAAAAGAAAAGAAATGAAAAGAAAAAAATAGAAAAAAAGAAAATTGCTGGCCAGGCACAGTGGTTCACGCCTGTAATCCCAGCACTTTGGGAGGCCGAAGTGGGTGGATCACCTGAGGCAGGCGCCTGTAATCCGAGCTACTCTGGAGGCTGAGGCAGGAGAATTGCTTGAACCCGGGAAGTGAAGGTTGCAGTGAGCCGAGATGGTGCCACTGCACTCCAGCCTGGGTGACAGTGCAAGACTCTGTCTCAAAAAAAAAAAAAAAAAAAAAAAAGAAAGAAAGAAAGAAAAAAAAGAGAAGTAGAGATGGGAAATATTGTTCTTTCTTAGAACTAGGGGTGGAGGAACAAGGTGAGGCTAAGACAGTTCCTTTACTCACTTTTGAGGCTACAATAGGTAATTAGGATAAGCATTGAAACGTCCATCCTTTAAAAAGTTACCTTTTGATTTGGGTAGGCAAAGGCACACAGGCGCTTATATGCATCCAATTTCTAAGACAATAGAAAACTGAGTTAGTAAGGCAAATAAGGTTCCTACCCTTCCTCCCAGCAGCACCGTCCCCAGCCTGGGACCTCACCTGGCCTTTGGAGCTCAGCTTCAATTGTTGGCACCAGGCCCGCAGAATGTCCCGGTGAATCAGATTAACAGGTGGCAGTTTAGAAGGTAATGGAGGGATTGGTATCTTCTTCTGAGGTCTGGGGTTGTCAGTGTGCTCTGCCTTTTTCTTAGGGCAGAGCACTGAAGCAGAATGGAATCAAATGAGTAGTAATTATCTTTGTGTAGCTTTTCTGAATTTCAAAAGTAAAATCACTTTTTTTTTCTTTTTTGAGACAGAATCTTGCTCTGTCGCCCGGCTGGAGTGCAGTGGCGCGATCTTGGCTCCCTGCAACCTCCGCCTCGTGGGTTCAAGTGATTCTCCTGCCTCAGCCTCCTGAGTAGCTGGGATTACAGACGCCCACCACCACGCCCGGCTAATTTTTTGTATTTTTAGTGGAGATGGGGTTTCACCATGTTGGCCAAGCTGGTCTCGAACTCCTGACCTTGTGATCTGCCCACCTAGGCCTCCCAAAGTTCTGAGATTACAGGCCTAAGCCACCGCGCCCAGCCTAAAATCACTTTTAGTTAATAGTCCAATCCCTCTCAAACCTAGGATTTACCACTTCTAAAACCCAGTTTTATTCCTAAATTGCCCCACTACTGAGGTACACTTGCTCCTTTGTGAGCTCCTTAATCCACAGAATCCAGGTGGTGGCATCGGAGGTTGCACTTCCATCCCAGGGGAATTACCGCTGTCTTAGACTTGAGATCATACTCAGTGGTGTCCTCTACCCCCAGAGCAAAATCAACACCTGACAATGCTACACAGGCAACCACTAATACCCTTAATTCTGCCAGCCCACCCTAGGTCAGGGAAGCACTCTGGTTTCATAGCAGGTATGTTTCCTTAGCTCTGCTGTGTTTCTGTTCATCCCGCTTCTGCACCTCACATACCTTGTCTTCATTCAGTAAAGATTTCTGGCTGGGCGCAGTGGCTCACACTGTAATCCCAGCACTTTGGGAGGCCGAGGTGGGTGGATAACCTGAGGTCAGGAGTTGGAGATCAGCATGGTCAACATGGTGAAACGCCGTCTCTACTTAAAAAATTAGCTGGGCGTGGTGGCACATGCCTGTAATCCCAGCTACTTGGGAGGCTGAGGCAGGAGAACTGTTTGAACCCGGGAGGCAGAGGTTGTAGTGGGCCGGGATCGTGCCATAAAAATTTCTAAGGCTGGGCATGGTGCCTCACACCTGTAACCCCAGCACTTTAGGAGGCCAAGGCAGACGATCACTTGAGGCCAAGAGTTTGCAATCAGCCTGGCCAATATGGTGAAACCCTGTCTCTACTAAAAATACAAAAATCAGCCAGGCATGGTGGCACACGCCTGCAATCCTAGCTAACTTGGGAGGCTGAGACAGGAGAATTGCTTGAACTCGGGAGGCACAGGTTGCAGGGAGCTGAGATGGTGCCACCACACTCCAGCCTGGATGACAGAGCAACACCCTGTCTTGGTGTCTCAAAAAAAAAAAAAAAAAAAAAAAAAAAAAACCAGCCTGTAATGACACTAATAGTAGGGTTTACTCTGTACATATTACTTCTCAGGCATAGTCTAAGTGCTTCACTTAACTACTCTATGTAAATTTTAACACTCCATTCCCACCGCTTAATAAAGGTAGATATTGTCCTAACTTATTTTTAGAATAGGAAGTCCGGTTTCAAGAATGGATCTTCAAATTTACAGCTGTCTGTTCCCAAATCATTGCACACTGAAATCCTTAACTCCAAGTAGCAAGTGAAGGAAAAAATGATCAGCAGAACCAAATATGCTGTGGAAGTCTGAAGATAGGAAGGGATCAGTTAGAGCAGTGGTGACCAAAAGATGCTTCAGGAAGGTAACAGTTTAAGCTTGGCTTCCATGAAGTGCAGGATTTGCACAATACATGATGGAAATTTCTTCCCTGGTTTTTCTTCTTCAGAAAAATTCCTCTGGCTTCTAAGACCCGAGAAGGTGGGATTTGAGAATTTGAAGACCTCTTACCTTTACTGCCTTTGATAGACATTTTTTCTTTGGTTCTCTTTGCTGATGTTCCTGGCAAAGCAATTGAATTTGGTTGATTAGAAGCCTGCTGATCCTCTTCCCTCGACTTCTCTGTGGAGGTCCACTGGGGAACAGAGGAGCTGGTCAGTCATTCCTCTAGTGTCCAAACCACACATACACTACCTGCCTCAAGATAACTCACTTCTAAGGCACCAACGCAGTTACTGGACTCCACTGGCAGTGTGGATTCTCCTCTGGGTATCATCTTAATACTCAGTTTCATTTACAAGACTGGGAAACAATGATGGAAAAAAAGGGAGGAAGCCAGTTTGAAAGCACATGAAAAGACAGATACAAACAAGAGTAGAAGAAAACAGCTCTGCCTTGAGGGGAAAAAGCGCTTAGGTAGGCTCACGCCTGTAGTCTGAGTGCTATAGGAGGCCTAGGCAAGAGGATTGCTTGAGTCCAGTAACTGGATACCAGCCTGAGCAACAACATAGTGAAACCTTGCCTCTACATAAGGAAACAAAATTAGCTGAGCATGGTGGTGTGTGCGTGTAGTCCAGCTACTCGAGACTGAGATAGGAGGATTGCTTGAGCCAGGGAGGTAGGTAGAGGCTGCACCACTGCACTCCAGCCTGGGTGACAGAATGAGACTGTCTCAAAAAAAAAAAAGAGGCCCTTAACTCACTTACTATATTCCATCATCTCTCACCTGGCAGAATTTTTTCCCCCAGTCCTTCATTCTTGACGCCTTCCAAATAATTTTCTAACACTGTTGGCAGAGTGACACTATGAAAAGTTTCAGTGGTTTATTGCTCTTAACATAAAAGTAATTGTCTTTAACATTACCTACCAGCCTCTTATCTCCTATTTCACACTGCTCTCCCTGACCAAGCTCCAGCCACATAATTCCTTTCCTTTCCAAAGTTGTTACATTCCTCAGCCCCAACCTCCACCCTACTTCTATTTACACTTTAAAATCTTACACCTTAAAAATCTTACTCTTCTTTTAAAAGTCTCACCTCAAGTGCTATTTAACCTGGTCCTTCCAGACCAATCTACTAAATACTACCTCATTTCTACCACTTGTTAATTGCAATTACATTGGTTTGTGTGATTTCTTTTTCATCATAGGCACTCAATAAATATTGGTTCATTGAATTAAAGGAAGCAAAGTGGGAGTGGGGAAAAGTTGTTTAATCCAGAGACAGTAACATATATTGAGCCTCTGTCTCATACTAGGCATTGGCTTTGATATGCTCCTCACTTTCATTTTTTTAAAAAATATTTATTTATTAAAGAAAAGGTCTTGCCCTGTCACACAGGCTGGAGTGCAGTGACAGGACCATAGCTCACTCCAAGCTCTACCTCCCGGGTTCAAGTGATCTTTTGCCTCAGCCTCCTGAGCAGGTGGGACTACAGGATAATTTTTTGTAGAGGTGAGGTCTCCCTATGTCTCCCCCCACTGATCTCAATCTTCTAGCCTCAAGCAATCTTCCCGCCTTGGCTCCCCAAAGAGTTGGGATTAAAGGCGCGAGCCACTGCGCCCAAGGGTTCCCTATTTTCTTTTTCTCTGAGAGGAGTCTCGCTCTGTCACCCCGGCTGTAGTGCAGTGGTCCAATCTCGGCTCACTGCAACTTCCATCTCCCCGGTTTAAGCAATTCTCTGCCTCAGCCTCCCCACTAGCTGGAATTACAGGCGCCTGCCACCACACCCGGCTGAATTTTTCTATTTTTAGTAGAGATGGGGGTTTCACCATGTTGGCCAGGCTGGTCTCAAACTCCTGGCCTCAAGTGATCCGCCCACCTCAGCCTCCCAAAGTGCTGGGATTACAGGCGTGTGCCACTGTGCCTGGCCTTGGCCTTCCTTTTTTCATTCATTTAATTCTCATAGCAATCTGGCAACAATTACTTCTCAGACACAGAAGCTGAGAATCAGAGGTAACATAAAGACACAGATTAGGGGTACATTAGATATAAATTAAAATTTAAATATAAAGGCTAGGCTCCGTGGCTCACGCCTGTAATCCCGGCACTTTGGGAGGCCGAGGTGGGCTGACCGATTGAGGTCAGGAGTTCGAGACCAGCCTGGCTAACATATCGAAACTCAGTCACTACCAAAAATACAAAAACTACCTGGGCGTGGTGGTGCGTGCCTGCAATCCCAGCTAATCGAGAGGCTGAGTCAGGAGAATCGCTTGAACCCGGGAAGCAGAGGCTGCAGTGAGCCGAGATCGGCTACTGCACACCACTCTGGGCGACAGAGTCAAACTCATTAAAAAAAAAAAATTAATATAATAAAATTTCTCCTAAATCTAAATCCTTTTCTTCACTTTCAGGGTGGATTACTGGACAAATTAACATTTGTATGGCATTTTTACATCTCTATAGCAGTTCTACATTTTGATTTGAAATTTATATTTGCATAAACCTTACAAAAAGTACTCACTTTGGACCTCACAAAAGACTTAAAACCGAGACAGTTAAAAATGACCCAGTTCAAGTCAAGAGGACCTGAGAGCGCTCGGATATGGCCGTTCAGTGCCTGTGCAACGTCTTAAATCCTCTCTTCCTTCAGTTTCTGTCTGCATTGTTCCCAATGTCTGGCTTCTGATTACTCCTAGGTCCTAAGGACGCTGGGAAAAGGGGACGAATTCATTCTCAGCACCCTCGGTTTAGGATCTGTGTCCGTCTAAAGGAAATTAAGGGGTTTCATTCTTTTCCAAACTCAGCTCAATTACCTCTTCCTAAAATCTTTCCTTTAACACCCTTTTCTCCTGTTACCATTTCCCTCTAGCCCCCATATTCAGTTAGTTCTTTCTGACAGGACTAAGCACCTCTTCAAAACAGAAAACCCGGGCCGGGAGCAGCGGCGGGCGCCTGCAGTCCCAGTAGCACTTTGGTAAGCCGAGGTGGGAGGATCGTTTGAGCCTGGGCGGTTACAGTGAATAGTGATGGTGCCACTGCACTCCAGCCAGGGAGACAAAAGTGAAACCCTGTTCCAAAACACAAACCTGAAAACCTAATTTTTTAACTTTTTCTTTTGAGGTGGAGTTTCGCTCTGGTTGCCCAAGCTGGGGGTGCAATGGGGCGATCTCGGCTCACCGCAACCCCCGACTCCCGGGTTCAAGCGATTCTCCTGCCTCAGCCTCCCGAGTAGCTGGGATTACAGGTGTGCGCCACCACACCTGGCTAATTTTGTACTTTTAGTAGAGACGGGGTTTCTCCATTTTGGTCAGGCTGGTCTCGAACTCCCGACCTCAGGTGATCCGCCCGCCTCGGCTGCCCAAAGTGCTGGGATTACAGGCGTGAGCCACCGCGCCCGGCCTCTTTTTTTTTTTTCCCCATCTTTTGACACACTCAACCTCCTCAACTAAACCTAGAAAACCTCATTTCTTACTTGTCTGCTCACTCCAATATACCAGGCTGCAATCATATTCTTGGGCCTTACTCTTAAAATAAAAAAAAAAAAAGTCAAGAGGAGAAAATTCGAAGGCACATTCTTTTCTCCTTAAAGGAAAAATCAGGAGTGCCCAGGGAAGACAGAAACACAAAGACAGACAGAAAACAAATCCACTAAAACTGTACTGACCTCCTTGCCTTTTGCCTTCTCCATACTTGTAGAAGAAGCGGAGCCTCGCAACATGCTTCCAAAATGGCCCCTGCCCCAAGATTGCTATTTGCAAAGTCTCCTCCCACTTCCTGCCGCCCGAAGACCCTTTTTCTCTCCACCTCACCTCTTCTTTTCTTCTCCCCTTCTGTTCCCTCCCCCACAATTTGTAAATGCTAAAATTGCATTCTTTCTTATTCATGGGGTGACTTTTGTCTGGGTTGAATTACTAATACTATTCCTGGCCCTTTTCTGTTCACTTTAAATGTAATTATCCAAAGTATGGTTCCGGAGACATTGGGAGATTGAGCACTCCTTCAGAACGATTCTACGGGGAAAAAAAACAAAAAACAAAAAACAAAAAAACAGTGGCCAGAGACTTGAGCAGGATGTGTGAAGGGATTTAATAATGGAACTTGTGGCAACAGTAGACTTCAGAGACCAGACTGGCGGCTTGAAGAAAGCTATTTTCTCGTACCAAATACATTCCATTTCCTAAGTAAGTTACTCAACCAACTAAAACTCCAGGTTTCTCTGTACTAATACCGAGCATCTTTTCATCTGCCAACGAACTAATAATAGTAGCTTTTAAAGTCTATAGAGTATTTGTTATTTATTTTGTAGAGGGCAAGTGGGGGGGTCTGGCTATTTTGACCTGGCTGGTCTCGAACTCCTGCCCTCAAGTAATTCTCCAGCCTTGTCCTCCCAAAGTGTTGGGATTACAGGCGTGAGCCACCACTCCCCGCCCGAGTATTTTTTTATATCTCAAATTGTGAGTTTTAAATTCAGTCATTATTGTTCCCCATTTTATATATGACTAAAGTTGGTATAAATTTTTATTGGTAACTTTTTCAATAGCACAGTAAGTGAACCCCTAACCTACTGACTCCCAAAGAAGTTCAAGTTTTTCTCCTTAAAATAATTTGAAAAATCTTTCCTCAGATCAGTGCTCCCTGTCAGATTGTCAAGAGATGTGAAGTGAAGGAAGCAGTGGCTGTGCGACTGAAACCCTCCCTTGTCAGGGTCCAAAGTCTCTTTTGTTCTTTGGTTTACTTTGTTGTTTTTTTTTCCTACATCTCATTGCTTGTCCTAAAATGATAAATAAGAGACTGTCTTTATCCAAATGGTGTTAGTAATCTGCTCACAGGCTAGAAATCCACGGACAGAAAAAGTAAGTAAACGGAGCCCAGGAATAGAGAAGGAAGTGCAGGTTGTGGACTGGGCAACCCCCAAGGCGGCAAAGAGGAAACCAGGTGAGTTGAGGTCATCTGGGAGATATTAGGGCTTTGATTTAACAATTCTTTACCACAGCCTTTGGTAACCACCAGTAGGACTTTCTAATTAAGGTTTGTGTATAAAGTGTATAACTGAATCATCTTTCTTTTGTCAGTGTAATTGAACGTAACATTCAGAATAACTGGAGTTCTGGGCTGGGCATGGTGGCTCACGCCTGTAATCTCAGCACTTTGGGGGGCTGAGGTGGGCAGGTCACTTGAGTTCAGGAGTTTTGAGACCAGCCTGGCCAACAATGGCAGAACCCCTTCTCTACTAAAAATGCAAAAATTAGCCGGGCATGGTGCGTGCCTGTAATCCCAGCTACCAAGGAGGTTGAGGCAGGAGAATTGCTTGAGCTGGAGAGGCAGAGGTTGCAGTGAGTCAAGATCGTGCCATTGCACTCCAGCCTGGGTGACAGTGTGAGACTCCATCTCAAAATAAAACATAAAATAAAAATAAAACATAAAAACACAGACACCAAATCCAGGCCAGATTGATTCATTTTTAAATGTAAGGCTTTAGCAGCTAGCCAGACAGGATTTAAACCCAACCTCCCCTTCACTAGCTGTGTGACCTGGGCAATAACGTTAGGTCTCTTTGTTTTCTCATCCATGAAATGAGAGTCATGAAAATAATAGCCTTTACTTAGAGGGTTGTGGGCATGTCTGGAGAAAACAGTGTCTGGAGAAAACAGTGGCTGGCACAGCACATGTTGGGATCAGAAGAGCAGGGCGTGGTGGCTCATGCCAGTAATCCCAGCACTTTGGGAGGCAGGAGAATCGCTTGAGCTCATGAGTTCAAGACCAGCCTGGGCAATATAGTGAAACCCCATTTCTACCAAAAATACAAAAAATTACCAGGCGTGGTGGCGCAGGGGTGCCAGCTACTCGAGAGGCTGAGGTGGGAGGATCGCTTGAGTCCAAGAGGTGGAGGTTGCAGTGTGATCATGCCGCTGTACTCCAGTCTGGGTGACATAGTGAGACCTTGTTTCAAGAAAAAGACAAAAAAAAAAAAAAAAAAAGAGTTGGAGAGGAATGAATTTGAGAGATTTAGGGGTATTCTGGTTGGGTTTTCTTTTATTTTTCCTTTTCCTTTTTTTTTTTTTAAGAGGTCTCCCTATATTGCCCAGGCTGGTCCCAGGTGAAACTCCTGGTCTCACATGATCCTCCAGCTGTAGCCTCCCGAGTAGCTGGGACTAAAGGCCAGCACCCCTAAGCCCAGCTTTTTCTTTTCGCTTTCTTTTTTTATAAAAAGTTTTTTAATTGTGTAAAATGAACTGAATTAATGAGTCCTTTAGTTTACCCGGAGGCAGTGAGTCTTCCAAAGTCATTAATCTGCATCTGCAGAAAACAAACCAGCATTGATTCATATGTAACACTGTTTCCTAACAGAATGGAGAGAGGGGGCAGGAGGTGTGGCTGTGGGGGAGGGAGGGAACCCTTGTCTGTGTCTCTCTGCTGTGTATTCCAGAAGCGCTGAGTCAAAAGCTGGGTTTATTTAATATCTATATAGAGTTCCCCAATTTATAACAGTGCATGAAAATACCTCTTTCCCCATGTCCAAGAGTCTAGTATTTTAACAAGTACACTAGTACTTGACACACCTAATTTATAATAATTCTACCTTGTAGTATCTCCTATAGTGGATAATCATTGCCGTTTTAGTGGTTATTTTACTGTAGGAAAAGGTGAGTCAGTTAAAATTAAATTTAGGGAGTAAGGCAGATCATGAGGTTAATTAATAACTTTTGTTTAAAAAGGGAAAAGTTGGAGGTAGATGATAGATCTGGTTATCATCAAAAACAAGAAAACCCAAACCTATTTGCTTATAAACAATTTCCCTCCCTCCCTCATTTCCTCCCTTCCTTCATATCTTATTTTTATTTTTTATTTGAGACAGAGTCTCGCTCTGTAGTCCAGGCTGGAGTGCAGTGGCGCAATCTCAGCTCACTGCAACCTATGCCTCCTGGGTTTTTAAGCGATTCTCGTGCCTCAGCTTCCCAAATAGCTGGGATTACAGGCGCCAGCCACCACGCCCGGCTAATTTTTTTTTTTTTTTTTTAATTTTTTTTTTTGAGACAGAGTTTCGCTCTTGTTGCCCAGGCTGGAGTGCAATGGCGAGATATTGGCTCACCGCAACCTCCGCCTCCCGGGTTCAAGCGATTCTCCTGCTTCAGCTTCCCGAGTAGCTGGGCTTACAGGCATGTGCCACCACGCCCCCTAATTTTTTGTATTTTTAGTAGAGACGGGGTTTCACCTTTAGCCAGGATGGTCTCGATTTCCTGACCTCAAGTGACCCGCCCGCCTTGGCCTCCCAAAGTGCTGGGATTACAGGCGTGAGCCATCATGCCCAGCCCTCCTTCATATCTTTTTTTGTTTGTTTTTTTTTTTTTGAGACGGAGTGTCGCTCTGTCGCCCAGGCTGGAGTGCAGTGACGCGATCTGGGCTCACCGCAAGCTCCGCCTCCCGGGTTCACGCCATTCTCCTGCCTCAGCCTCCCTAGTAGCTGGGACTGCAGGCGCCCGCCACCACGCCTGGCTAATTTTTTGTATTTTTTAGTAGAAACGGGGTTTCACCGTGTTAGCCAGGATGGTCTCCATCTCCTGACCTCGCGATCCGCCCGCCTCGGGCTCCCAAAGTGCTGGGATTACAGGCGTGAGCCACCGCGCCCCGCCATATCTTAAGCACTGAAAATAAAAAGGCGAGTCTGGGCGCGGCTGCACGCCTGTAATCCCAGCACTTTGGGAGGCCGAGGCGGGCGGATCACTTGAGGTCAGGAGTTTGAGACCAGCCTGGCCAACATGGCAAAACCCCGTCTCAACTAAAAATACAAAAAACAGCCGGGCGTGGTGGCGCGTGCCTGTAATCCCAGCTACTTGGAAGGCGGAGGCAGGAGAATCGCTTGAACTCGGGAGGCAGAGGTTGCGGTGGGCCGAGATCGCGCCATTGGACTCCAGCCTGGGCGACAGAGTGAGACTCTGTCTCAAAAAAAAAAAAAAAAAGAAAAGGTGGCTTTGGTCCTTAATTACCACAAAGTAGGAAGAGTTCCAAAATGCCAGTAAACATAGTATCATTGACTCAAATACTTGTTTTTTTTAGACATCCTCTTTTAAAAAAAAAATAACATATTGGGGGTGGGTGGGTTGGTCTCCTTCCATTCCTCAGGCTGGTCTCAAAACTCCTGAACTCCAGGGATCAAAAGATCCTCCCGCTTTAGCCTTCTGAGCAGTTGCAGGTGTGCACCACCACATCCTGTTTGGACATTTACTTTAAAGAACTGGATTTACTAACCAGGGGGCAGATTTACCATGAAGCTAATTAAGTTTCAGGTCCTTTACTTGCACTGGCCCATTCCAAGTTGCTGTCAGGCCCCTGGCAAGCTTGCATTCGTAATTATATATATATATTTTTTCTTATAGAGGGACCACCAGAATTGTATAACCTTCAGGCTCCACAGATCGGCTTCAGTGACAATGCTTACACATTGAAATGTTTGTTTAAAACAGTAACACAGGCTGGGCGTTGGTGGCTCACACCTGTAATCCCAGTACTTTGGGAGGCTGAGGCAGGCGGATCACTTGAGGTCAGGAGTTCGAGACCAGCCTGGCTAACATGGTGGAACCCCGTCTCTACTAAAAATACAAAAATTAGCCTGGCGTGGTGGCACACGCCTGTAATCTCTGCTACTCAGGAGGCAGGAGAATTGCTTGGACCTGGGAGGCAGAGGTTGCCGTGAGCCGAGATTGCGCCATGCATTCCAGCCTAGGTGAAAGAGCGAGACTCCGTCTCAAAACGAAACAAAAAACAGTAACGCATCTGGGAAATCTCCCCTAATATGCTTTCCTTTTTCTTCCTCTACTAGTTCCATGCTCCCAACCCCCAATTAATTGTGCTCCAGCAGAATCATCTCGATTATTAGGTTTTCACTTTTTGACTCTCTTCCTAAGTGCTAAGTGCCAAAGGAATTCTGTGTCCTAGGGCCATAATTAGCACATATGAAATTTTGTATACATTAAAAAAAAAAACCACTTTGGGGCTGACAAATTGCAAAAAGACTTAAGTGCACCAATTAGAAAAAGTTGCTACTTCCTCCAGGCTCTTGCAACTGTGAGTGAAGTCACAGGGCTTGGCAAATGGCTCCTGAGCTTTATTTCAGCCCAATTCTTGTCCGTTCTCAGGTCCCCCTCTCAGAGACTACAATCTGTACAACCATAGGGGCAGCCCTGTGTCCCTACTTTATTTCAAGTTTGTTAAACAGATTCAGATGCTTTTTAAAAAATCCATTTTATGGCTGGGCGCGGTGGCTCACGCCTGTAATCCCAGCACTTTGGGAGGTCGAGACAGGTGGATCATGAGGTCAGGAGATGGAGACCATCCTGACTAATATGGTGAAACCCTGTCTATACTAAAATACAAAAAAATTAGCCGGGCGTGGTGGCAGGCGCCTGTAGTCCCAGCTACTCAGGAGGCTGAGGCAGAAGAATAGTGTGAACCTGGGAGTTGGATCTTGCAGTGAGCTGAGATGGCGCCACTGCACTCCAGCCTGGGCAACAGAGCGAGACTCCATCTCAAAAAAACAAAAAAATCCATTTTAATATTATTTTTAATTGACACGTAGTAATTATACATATTTATGGGGTACAGTGTGATATTTTCATATATGTATACAACATGTAATGATCAAATCAGGGTAATTATTATAGCCTATTTACTGCCTCAAACATTTATCATTTCTTTGTTTTTGTTTTTAGAGACAGGGTCTCGGTCTGTTACCCAAGCTGAAGAGCAATGGGATGATCATGGCTCACTGCAGCCTCAGATTCCTGGGCTCAAGTGATCCTCCCATCTCAGCCTCCCAAGTAGCTGGACCTACAGACATCCACCATCATGCCTGGGTAATTTTTCAATTATTTTGTGGAAATGAGGTTTCATTATGTTGCCCAGGCAGGTCTCAGATTCCTGGCCTCACACTATCCTCCTGCCTTAGCCTCCCAAAGCGCTGGGATTATAGGAATGAGCCACCACACCTGGCCCTTATCATTTATTTGGGTTGCAAACATTCAAAATCCTCTCTTCCAGCTATTCTAAAATATATGACAAACTGTTGCTAATTATAGTTACCTTGCCTGGTGCGGTGGCTCTTGCCTGTCATCCTAGCACTTTGGGAGACTGAGGAGGGAGAATATGCTAGAGCCCAGGAGTTTGAGACCAGCCTGGGCAAAATACTGAGACTTGGAGTGCAACGGTGCAACCACAGCTCACTGCAGCCTAGGCTCAAGTGATCCTCCCACCTTAGCTTTCCAACTAGCTAGGACTCCAGGTGCGTGCCCACCTAATTTATTTGCCCATTTTTAGTTGTAATTTTTTTTCTCTTGAGTATTTTGGGTCCTTGTATATTCTGGATATTAGTCCCTTTTTTTTTTTCTTTTTTTTTTTTAAGATGGAGTTTCACTCTTATTGCCCAGGCTGGAGTGCAGTGATGCAACCTCAGCTCACCACAACCTCCATCTCCTGGGTTCAAGCTATTCTCCTGCCTCAACTTCCCGAGTAGCTGTGATTACAAGCGCCTGTCACCACACCCGGCTAATTTTGTATTTTTAATAGAGACAGAATTTCTCCAAGTTGGTCAGGCTGGTCTCGAACTCCTGACCTTAGATGATCTACCCGCCTTGGCCTCCCAAAGTGCTGGGATTACAGGCGTGAGCCACCATGCCTGGCCTATTTAGTTCCTTTTTTGGATAAATTTTGGTTTGTTTCCTGTGCTTTTGAGATCCTATCCATAAAATCTTTGCCCAAACCAATGTCCTGAAGCAATTCTCTTATGTTTTCTTCTAGTAGTTTTATAGCTTCGGGTCTTACATTTAAGCCTTTAATCTATTGAGAGTCGATTTTCATATAGGGTGAGAGATGGGGTTCTAGTGTCATTCTGCTGCATAGGCATATCCAGTTTTTCCAGCACCTTTTATCAAAGACTGTGTTCCCCAGTGTGTGTTTTTGGCACTTTTGTCAAAAGCCAGCTGGCTATAAATATGTGGATTTATTTCAAGGTTATCTTTTCTGTTCTGTTGTTCTGTGTCTGTTTTATGCCAGACCATGCTGTTTTGGTTACTATAGCTTTTATTTTCTTTTTTCTGACAGTCTTGCTCTATCGCCCAGGCTGGGGTGCAGTGGTGAGATCTCAGCTCACTGCAACTTTCACCTTCCAGGTTCAAGGGATTCTCCTGCCTCAGCCTCCCAAGTAGCTGGGATTACAGGTGCGCACCACCACGCCTGGCTAATTTTTGTATTTTCAACAGAGATGGGGTTTTGTCATGTTGGCCAGCCTGGTCTCGAACTCCTGGCCTCAAGTGATCCGCTCACCTCAGCCTCCTAGAGTACTGGGATTCCAGGCATGAGCCACTGCACCCAGCCTACTATAGCTTTATCGTATATTTTGTTATTTTTATTTTATTTTATTTTTTTGACATGGAGTCTCGCTCTCTTCCTCACCTGGGACTGCAGTGGTGCAATCTTGGCTCACTGCAACCTCCGCCTCCTGGGTTCAGGCGATTCTTCCACCTCAGCCTCCTGAGTAGCTGGGACTAAAGGCGTGTGCAACCATGCCCAGCTAATTTTTGTATTTTTAGTAGAGATGGGCTTTTGCCATGTTGGCCACGCAGGTCTTGTATGTTGATTTTGTATCCCACAATTTATTGAATTTGTTTATCAGCTCTAAGAGTTTTTCGGTGGCATCCTTAGGTTTTTCCAAATATAAGATCATTTCCAAATCTTAAATGGTTGAAAATTACAACTGTGCAATTTCCTTATTCCTGATGGTTTCCCCTCTCATTTCCAAATGGTCTTGTATTTGACTGGTGCAGTTTGACTTCCTCCTTTCCAATTTGGACGCCCTTTAATTTTTTCTCTTGCCTAATTGCTCTAGCTAGTATTTCCTCACATGCTTTTGAAGCCAAGATATATGACTGTATGTTTATCAACACTCAAGGAGATTCATCACTGTTGTAGAGGACATTGATAAGTTTCCCAAAGTGTGTTTTTCAGCAAGTCAACTGATAGTGCCTGTAGACTGAATAGTGTTGATTTCCCAAGTCATTTGCTGATACATTTCTGGGGAAGAGAGGCAGTTGTGAGACTGCAGGCCCTAATGAAACGATTTCAGTTGAAAACAGGCTGGCTCTGAACTATTCTTTGTTATCATAAGAACTCACTGAAATATAATGACCTACTTTGAAGTAAAGGAAGGAGCTCATAAAGATTTAGGTAAGATGAAGTGACTGAGATCATTTTTTCAGCTCCCTCTGTCAGCATCCTTACTTCCTTCTTCTCGTTACCCATCAAGTCCTAATGAATCTACCTTCTAAATGTTTCTCAGGGCTGATTCTTCGTTTTCATCCTCTAGTACTATCTGCATTCAGGATCTCATTTCATCTCACCTGCATCACTGTGATAGCTTCCTTATTGATGCTTTTGTCTTCATCCGGTCTCTCACCCCTTCCAAACCATCCTCCACGTGAGCCTGGCTATGGAAGGCTGTTCTGCCCATCTCCAGGGAACACAGCTCTGATGTGAATGGCACCCCCTGGAGTTCTTTCATTTCTTGTATCCCAACAACTCGGGGAATAGAAAACATGAGTACCTGAGGCTTTTTTACATACATAATCATCCCAAGGAATTTATGAGTGAGAGTTTCTAAAAGCAAGCTAATTTAATCCTGTAGCATGTTTGCATTTTTGCTCAAAAGCCTTAACTCTTGTTAAATATAATTCACTTTCCTGTGGCTTTAAATGTTACCCAGCTCTGAAATAAGGTGGCTTTTATGATAAGAATTGCTTTCCTCCTGAGCTTGAAGCACAGCCATGCGTAGAACAGTAAAACTAACTTAAATGAGAATGATTACTAAATAACTGTGGCTTCAAAGAGAAGATAGGTAATAATACTTTGCATTCATACAAGCCTGCCTTTCATTTGAGTATCGCAAAGGAAAGCAAAATGTAGCTGATGCTGTGTTATGGTTGAAAATTACAACTGCGCAATTTCTTTATTCCTGTTTCCCCTCTCAAATATGATACCGAGTTAAAGCATCTCTAGAATTCAATGTGTATTGATTTTGAACACAGGCTTTTTCTGTCTGTTTTCTACCCCTTTAACATCAACCACAAGTTGCAAAGGCATCAGTGAACCACATGCTTTTGTGGTTTTGAAGCATTTGCTATCACTGGAGAAAAATATAATGATAAAGGATAGAAGAATTTCTTACTCAGCTGTTTTAAACTTATGGTGGAAAAATAAAGAGATGAAGATAGAGACAGAATATTCTCTGCACCCCCAGAATCAGTTCATTCATGGTGCTAACAAACACTTCAAGAATGTGCCAGAGAACTCGCCTGATTCACTTTACTGAAACACAAGATTCACAAGGTATGCTTAGTGGTATAAAAGGTAACTGTTTCCATTAAGGCCCTGAATTACAATACTGTGAATGTTCTGAATATTGATAGATCTAGAAATCCTAGAAGTACATTGGTAGGGACCCTCTTTACATACTTCCTCTTGTGAGGTTGTAAACTTCTTTTTGGTGGCTTTAAAATAGTAATATAGGCCAGGCATGGTGGCTTACACCTGTTATCCCAACACTTTGGGAGGCCGAGGCAGGCAGATCGCCTGAGGTTAGGAGTTCGAGACCATCCTGGTCAACATGGTGAAACCCCGTCTCTACTAAAAACACAAAAATTAGCCGGGCGTGGGTAGCGTGCATCTGTAATCCCAGCTACTCGGGAGGCTGAAGCAGAATTGCTTGAACCCGGGAGGTGGAGGTTGCGGCGAGCCAAGATCACACCACTGCAACTCCAGCCTGGACAAGACTCAGTCTCAAAATAAAATAAAAAAATAAAAAAATAATGGTTTCATATATAATACTCTGGTTTCTCTTCAGGTCATATAAATCTTTCTTTCTTTTTTTTTTTTTGTGGGGGGAACAGTCTTGCCCTGTCGCCCAGGCTGGAGTGCAGTGGCCCTATCTTGGCTCACTGCAAGCTCCGCCTCCTGGGTTCACACCATTCTCCCGCCTCAGCCTGCGGAGTAGCTGGGACTACAGGCGCCCGCTACCACGCCTGGCTAATTTTTTTGTATTTTTAGTAGAGACGGGGTTTCACCGTGTTAGCCAGGATGGTCTCGATCTTCTGACCTCGTGATCCGCCCGCCTTGGCCTCCCAAAGTGTTGGGATTACAGGCGTGAGCCACCGCGCCTGGCCCAGGTCATATATATCTTTCATTTTTTTTTTTTTTGAGATGGAATTTTGCTCTTATTGCCCAGGCTGGTGTGCAATGGCGCAATCTCAGCTCACTGCAACCTCCGCCTCCTGGGTTCAAGAGATTCTCCTGCCTCAGTCTCCCAAATAGCTGGGATTACAGGCATGCGACACCACACCCAGCTAATTTTGTATTTTTAGTAGAGACAGAGTTTCTCCAAGTTGGCCAGGCTGGTCTCAAACTCCTGAACTCAGGTGATCCTCCCGCCTCAGCCTCCCAAAGTGCTGGGATTACAGGCGTGAGCCACTGTACCTGCTCATAAATCTTTCATCTTTTACTAAAACTAATTTTTTGTTTTTTTTTGGAGACGGACTCTCGCTAGTCACCCAGGCTGGAGGGCAGTGGCGCGATCTCGGCCCACTGCGACCTCCGCCTCCTGGGTTCACGCTGTTCTCCTGCCTCAGCCTCCCGAGTAGCTGGAACTACTCCGGGGCTCAAGCGATCATCCCATCTTGGCTTCCTAAAGTCCTGGGATACAGGTGTGAGCCACCGCGCTGAGCCTTTATTTAATGTTAATTAAAATCTAAATAGCCACATATGTTCAGTGGCGTCCATGTTTAGATGGCACAGCTATGTCTCCTTACATCCTTGACTATGGTTCCTTTTTTAGATCAACCCTCACCTCCAAGGAGAACTACTAATGTAGGCAATTAGCAGCAATTATAGCAGGATAGTCTCAGAAAACCATTGGAATTGGTGCAGTCTTGTGTGGGTGCATTATCTAGGGAGCTTCCCATTTTGTCTATGTATGGAATTGTTTTTAAAGAGAATAGATAAGACCATTTGTCTTAGTTTGTGCTGCTATAACAAAATACCACAGACTGAATAATCTATAAACAATAGACATTTATTTTTTATAGATCCATAGACAAAGAAGTCCATGGTCAAGGCATCAGGTGATGAGGCCCCAGTCTCTCTGCATCTAAGATGGTGCTTTGTTGCTGCATCCCCTGGAGGGAAGGAACGCTATGTCCTCACAAAGCAGAAGGGACAGAAAGGGCAAAAAGGGGTCAAACTCCCTCCATCAAGCCCTTTTATAATGGCATTAACCCATTAATGAGGGCAGAGTCCAAATGACCTAAAGGCCTCCCAAAAGGCCCTACCTCCCAATACTGTTGCATTGGTAATTAAGTTACCAAGATATGAATTTTGGGGGACACATTCAGACTATAGCACCATTCAATCCACATGACCCTTATATTAGCCTATGTAATACCAAAAGTAGTAATTAGGTTATTTACACAGATTGATTACCCTGTGTAGACAGTGAACAACGGCTCTGATGCACAATTAAGATGAACTTCACAAATACTGTCCTAGAGATGACTTTGGTAAAGGGTCATAGAAAACTTTATGAAATGCATTTTTTTTTTTTGAGACGGAGTCTTGCTCTGTCCCCCAGGCTGGAGTGCAGTGGCTCAATCTCGGCTCACTGCAAGCTCTGCCTCCCGGATTCATGCCATTCTCCTGCCTCAGCCTCCCGGAGTAGCTGGGACTACCAGCTCCTGCCACCACACTCGGCTAATTTTTTGTATTTTTAGTAGAGACGGGGTTTCACCGTGTTAGCCAGGATGGTCTCAATCTCCTGACCTCGCGATCCGCCCGCCTCTGCCTCCTAAAGTGCTGGGATTACAGGCGTGAGCCACCGTGCCCGGCCATGAAATGCATTTTTTAAGCATGTTAGAATATTTAGGTATGATACCTCATTTGATTTGATTCAGAGGCAATTTTCAGACAAATGTCCAAAGGAGAGAGAGAGACTCAGCTAGTGGACATAAGCTTTCTTGACACTACAGTGAAAAAGATATTAAGAATATTAAATCCCTTCTGCTCACGTGGGGAAGTTCATTAGCAAGAGCCAGAGGTCAATTCCAACAAACATATACTGACTCCTATGGGCCAGCACTGACAAGAATTTAATGATAGCGCAGTTGTGTTCCTGGCAGATGCATGATGAGAGTTGTGCTTTAGGAAACTTACTTTGATCAGGGGCTATTGTGGGACTTCTTGCTAGGGACAGGGAAGACCAGAATGAGGTGGTTGTTGGTGGGACCGGAAAGGCAAGTTATGTGAAGCCTTGCAAAGTCAGAATCTCAGGGGAACTTATAAGATATGGGAATTAAACTTTGTTATAATAATGAGGTTTAAATTTGGGTACTAGGAAATGGTGCTATTATTCACATCACATTAGAACAAAAGAGATATGGAAGAGAGGAAGATGTACTGTGAACTTGAGTGATTCCTCCCTTCTTGGTTTTTGCAGAGCACTTCATATAGGTTGCATAGTTTTTATTCTACAAAATAATGCTTTGCTGGATTGGGAGTTCCTAGATTACAAGGACTACATGTTATTTAACTTTATATTGCTAGTACTAGACTAAAGGCCTAGCACAGAGATATTGACTAAGTCATGAGTAAATGACTGAATGGATGAATAAAGAAAATGCTAGGGGCCCGGCGAAGTGGTTCACGTCTATAATCCCAGCACTTCGGGAGGCCAAGGCGGGTGGATCACAAGGTCAGGAGTTTAAGACCAGACTGGCCAACATGCTGAAACCCCGTCTCTACTAAAAATAAAAAAATTAGCTGGGCATGCTGGCGGGCGCCTGTAATCCCAGCTGCTCGGGAGGCTGAGGCGGGAGAATCGCTTGAAGCCAGGAGGCGGAGGTTGCAGTAAGCCGAGATCGTGCCACTGCACTCCAGCCTGGGCGACAGAGCGAGACTCCATCTCAAAAAAAAAAAAAAAAAAAAAGGAAATACTAGGGACTTGGGTTAGTTCTCTTAATTGCTGCCAAGCCTAAGTTTAGGTGTCTCCACAGCAGTGTTGCCATTGGCTCAGATAAGGAATATTAATGTCGAATATATGTCATAGGTCTGGGTTTTGGTTGGTAAGTGGTGGTGGGTGGTAGTGCGGGTATGTGGTGTGAAGTAAGCAGAGGGTATTGTGTGATGGATAGAAGAAAAGACATCTAAGTAGGTACATTTATTTATTTAATGTATTTATTTTAATCTTTTTTGTCCTTCTTTTTAAAACAATATTTTTTTGTAGAGGTGGGTTCTCACTAAGTTGCTCAGACTAGTCTCGAACTCCTGTGTTCAAGCGATCCTCCTGCCTTGGCCTCCCAAAGGGCTGCGATTACAAGTGGTACATTTATTTTTAGTATGCTCCTACTTCCCTTTCTATTACTATGATTAAATTTTGTTTCTCTATTTCCTAATTCTCAGATATCTATTCATTTATTAACTCAACTAACATGCATTTTCACCTAATGTATACCAGGCATTGTGTAATGTGCTGGGATACAAAATCCAAAGAGCAATTTCTGGAGTGCAGGTTATCCTAGCCATTAGGCTTGTGCTGTTCTCTTGCAATTCATATTAGCATGCCCAGTGAGTCTTTGATAGTCTCTTTGTTTTTTGGTGCAATATGATATCCCATGTTTATCTTACATTGCATCATTTCTCTTTGAAATAGTTCCCCTTACTTCAAAGAAATGCATAGTAAAATTTATGCTATCTAAAAATGTCTTTTTTTCTGCTTTAAACATCTATTTCATAGGGAGAATGTTTCAACCTTGAAAAGTATTAACATTGGGTCTTTATTAGTTGTAAAATATGTATTTACTTTTTTAAGTTTAAAGGCATCTTGATAATTTTCCATGAGACTTAGCAAAATTCCAATATTGATATTTAATATTTTAAAGTAAGCCTCTTTCTTAGTGATTCCAATATAGATCCAATATCTGCTTTGGATATAATAATGATCTATAGTATAAATTGGGTAAAAACCATATTCAAATGGCATATCTTTTAAAACACTAACTTTGTTTTGGGAAGCAACAATTTTGCAGTGGCATGATCTCGGCTCACTGCAACCTCGGCCTCCCGGGTTCAAGCGATTCTTCTGTCTCAGCCTCCGCGTAGCTGGGACTACAGGCACATGCCACCATGCCCAACCAATTTTTGTAGTTTTAGTAGAGACGGGATTTCACCATGTTGTCCAGGCTGGTCTCAAACTCCTGACCTTGTGATCCACCCACCTTGGCCTCCCAAAGTGCTGGGATTACAGGCGTGAGCCACCGCACCTGGTCCTGGAAAGCAATAATTTTTCTTTAGCACATTGCTAAACAAAGCAAGAAAGCAGCCATTACAAATAAACTCTTCCTACCTTTTTTTGTCCCTTATCATTCTTCTTGCTTAAGAAATAAATGTATCATGCTTTCCCACATGATAATTTGATCCTTTTTTTTTTGGAAACATCTTGCTCTTTCGACCAGGCTGGAGTGCAGTGGCACAATCATGGTTCACTACAGCCCTAACCTCCCAGGCCCAAGTGATCCTCCTGCCTCAGGCTCTGGAGTAGCTGGGACTACAGGCACGCATGCCACTGTGCCTGCTTGATATTTTTAGTTTTTGAGGAGACACGGTCTCACTATGCTTCACAAGCTGGTCTGGAACCTGTGGCTCAATGATCCTCCTGCCTCAGCCTCCCAAAGTGCTGAGATTACAGGCGTGAGCCACTGCTCCCAGCCTAGAGTTGTTTACTTTCTTTTCCACTCAGTTTGAGCATTTGTATAGGAAAAATAGCTAATAATAAGGATGCTGTCTAAATAATTACTTGGAAAGTAATGAACTTTTATAGAATATTTGATTCATAAACTTAAAAGATTATGTAAATTAGTAACATTAGTTAATAACATTGAAATACTTTCAATAGGTTTTGGGCATTGGGAAAATGATTTTAAAATGAAAATACTTTCATCATTCATTAATGCCAGTACAGCATGACTTGCTCTTAGTTTGCATAAATAATGTAGGTGCATTCTTCAGAAAAGGTAACCATCTTTGCTAAAGCTCTTCATGGTGCCTAGCAGAATTTAGAAGCTATAATCTCAGTTGATGTAGTCAGCTTCAGAACTGTCTTACCCTTACAGATGGAATGTCAGTATTGCAACTGTGATGCCTTTATATCATGTGAGAAGAACAATAGAGTCCTGGGAGGCAAGTGCAGATGACCCCAAGGTCCTTGTGGACAAGGAAGTAAAAGCTAAGAAGAAATGGCACGTTTCTTAGGAAACATTTCAATATTGTTATTTATACAAGGATGCAGAGAACAGTACAGCTGGAGAATTAAATGGAGAGATCAGCGCACAGATGGGTAAGAAAGCACTGTTTTGCCAACTGGATAACATCTGGCACATTAGAGTCAACCTAAATACCTAACAAGCTAAACAAAAGTTCAAGTAGCAGATGATCTCTTTATCTTTCTGCAAAGAGCAGGAACATAGCAGCCAAAAATGAGTCATGTTAGATGTGGAAATAAGAGATACAGTTTAAAAAATAAAATCCTCCTTTAAACAGTTATGGAATATGCAGCTGGAATTGTAGCAATCAGGAAAGTGAGAAGAAGGCAGTTTATAGAAAACCTATAAACTATTAACTCCATTGCAGTGGTTTACTATATAAAATACAGCAAATTTGTCTTCCACTCAAGATTGCTAGCATTTATCAGATTATCAGCAGTGCTTATAAGGCAAAACAAACAATTTTTTCAGAAGTAAAGCAGAGACATATATTGGTAATCAATTACAGGTCCATGACTCTAATAAAGCTTTTTTTGAGATCAACTTATAAAATGTTCTATGCATTATCAATATTTTTAGGTGACTTTCATGCCAGAATTTCTATTCTTGGCTCTTTCTCTATATTTTGCATCACCATGCCTGGGATACCTTTCTGAGACAGTGAATCCAATCTGAGGTTTAGTCACAGTAACAGAAATTAAAATGGCATCAAAAATCCAATCTGTTTTTTGTTATTTTCTGACTTAGGGAGGAAAAAACCCAAGTTGGCAATTTGACCTTCATATTTGATGTTTCATTATTGAAGAAATGTAATTTTCAAGTTTTTATGTTATTTTATTTTTTTATTTTTCGGATTCAGGGTCTCGTTCTATTGCCCAGGCTCTCTGAGGAGGGAACATATAAATGGAGAACTGAATAACAGGAAGGAGCCAATTACATAAAGAATGAGGCAAGAACATTCTAGACAGCGGACAGAGCTAGTGCTAAGGTCCTAAGGCAGGAATAAACATCATTAGGAACAAAGCATGGAAAATATAATGTGTGTGTGATGAAATTACTGGTTGCATTAAATATGATGGCAATGACAGTACAAATAGTAGATAATTAACAAATCCTTAGGAGAGGAAATAAATTTAAAGTGTCCATGAATGGTGCTGATAACTGCAATGTGGTCACAAAAACGAGCCAGACACGTTTACAAAGGTCCGGATGTACCAGAATGAGTGAGTTTAATTCCTGAATTAATTCCAGTGACTCCTGGCCTAGACTCAAAGCCATCATAAGAACATCATCAGAATGGATCCAAAGAGTAGAATATTTTTTCTGCAGTTCGAACTTTAGGAAGAAGTCAGACTATAACATCACCATTGTAAAAGGCAATGGCTTGGCCAGGCACAGTGGCTCACGCCTGTAATCCCAGGACTTTGGAAGGCCGAGGCAGGCAGATCACCTGAGGTAAGGAGTTCGAGACCAGTCTGGCCAACGTGGTGAAACCCCGTCTCTACTAAAAATACAAAAATTAGCTGGGCGTGGTAGCGGGCACCTGTAATCCCAGCTACTCGGGATGCTGAGGCAGGAGAATTGCTTGAACCCGGGAGGCCGAGGTTGCAGTGAGCCGAGATCGTGCCACTATCCAGCCTGGGCGACAAGAGCGAAACTCCGTCTCAAAAAAAATAAAAAAGGGCGATGGCCTATAACAAACCCAATCCTCACTCTCACCTCCACTTTTAAATCTCTCTTTAAAAAGCACTGTAAAAATATTTTATACAATCTTCTAGTTCTTTTGTAGTATTGGCCAGTAAATATTACTATTTATCATCAGTAAGGGAAATAAATCTTAGACTTCCATCTCCTCCCAATTTAATACTTTTAAATAAGTTTTAAATGAAATTTGCATTTCCGTGAAATTATTCATTCTACTCTGACCCTTCGTGAGTAGTTTCAATGCTTTTGCTTACAAGCTGTCAAGCTGCAGATTTAAAATGGTAACTACTTGTTGAGGCTGAAAGTTCAGAAAACCTAAAGAGAATGAGATACTGTTTTCATAGTTCCCTTAAATAAGTAATGAGGCCGGGCGCGGTGGCTCACGCTTGTAATCCCAGCACTTTGGAAGGCTGAGGCGGGCGGATCACGATGTCAGGAGATTGAGTCCACGGTGAAACCCTGTCTCTACTAAAAATACAAAAAAAATTAGCCGGGCGTGGTGGCGGGCGCCTGTAGTCCCAGCTACTCGGAGGGGCTGAGGCAGGAGAATGGCGTGAGCCCGGGAGGCAGAGGTTGCAGTGAGCCGAGATCGCGCCACTGCACTCCAGCCTGGGCGGCAGACCAAGACTCCGTCTCAAAAAAAAAAAAAAAAAAAAAAAAGAAAAGGAATGATAAATTATAGAAAGGCATTTTAAACTAAACATTTTGCAACAGTACACTGAAGAGGCTAAATCATTGTGTGATAATTTGGAGTGTCTCCCTTTTCCCTTACATCCAATCTACCCCAGTGTCAGAAGTTTAATGTAAAAGAAATAACTTTATTAAGGGAAGAATAGCTGTCATAGACCCTTTCCTGCAACTTAGGAATCATGAGACCTGTGAACTCTTACTTGCTCCGTAAGTCAGCCTAGGAAGTGACTTAAAAGGCTGTCAGGAAACGCACAGGGGGCTCATTCGCTGCCTGGTGAGACCTGGGAGAAATCAAGTCTTCAGAGATGCAAATTAACTGCAGAATACAACCTATTGTTGTATAGATTCAGTTTAAAGAAAAGGCTTTCCTGAATGCAAGACAAAATGGACTTTTGAAATGCTGGGGACTGACAGAGAAGTTGAGTACTTCATTCTAGGCTTTCCATATGAAGGGAATTAGGAATTTTAGACTCAGGATCACACTTGTAAGAACACTGTGTTTTGCAACTTCTTCAGGATTGTTTTATTTGACATCTTGTTGCCTACTAATGAGAGCAGTTAACTCAACATTAAAAGCCAGTATGTGTGTATTCAGGGCCAATCAGACTGCCCTTCTCATCCCTGAGAATCCCTGGGAAGAGAAATACTTTTTCTAGTGACCAAAGAAAGGAAAACAAGGTGATTCCGTGGGAACTGCTACAAGAAGACATAAAGGAAAACGGAGCATGGGCAGTCAGCTGAGCATGAAAAACAGCTGCCTGTCACCCACTGTGGCTTTAGGGCAGCGGCCTTTCTGACCTTTGGAAGATAAGTGGCTTCCAGAATTTCCGACGCACAGGCTGCACCTCAGACCAATTATGCCATTACTCTAGGGTGACCCAGGTAACACTTTTGTTTTTTTTAAACAAATTAGGTTCCCAGGTGTTTCCATAATGCAGTCAAGGTTGAGTCCCCTCAAACTTTCAGGTGCTCATGAACCACCTGGGGATTTTATTAAAATGCAAATTCTGATTCAGTAGGTCTGGAGCAGGGCCTGAGTTCTGCATTTTCAACTCAGCTCCCAGAAGCTACTTATTCTGCTGGGGCAGGGGGATCAATGCAATGCAAACCCTTGGACAGACATTAACTCTAGCAGAAGTAGATTCTGCATAATGATTTCAATGCCTACCATTAAGCCAGTGATCGACATTTAAGTAGCAGAAATTTAAAAATGTAAATCTTGAAAATCACAGTAAGTTTAGAGTATAATCTAAATGCGTTACTACTGTTTACAAGTCTTTCAATTTGACAAGGTCTCTGAACTCTCCCCTATCACTTTCCTCTGGCTTACTCTTCTTCAGGGCAGAGTTATTCTTGCTGCTTCTCATACATGCCAGACCCGTCTTCCCTTCACAGCCTTCAAACTTTCTGCTCCTTGGAATTCTTGCTTAGAATACCTGCCCCTCCATAACCTCATGGCTTGCTCCCTTTTCATTCAGCTCAAATGTCACCTCTTCAGCCCTTCCCTGAGCACCCATTCTGGAGAGACCACTTTCCCTCTGCTTCTCTGTCTCATAGCCCTCTCCCCACATGGCACTGATAGCTATTTGAAATTGGTCTGCTTATTTGTTTGCTTATTGACTAAAGGAAACAAAAAAATATTTTACACCAAATATACTTATTTGACATATTTAAAGATGGCTATTTAGAGAGCCTGAAAACATAAGAATAGCTAAAAAGCTTTTTCTCTTCTCTCCCTCCCATAACCTCTCTTGCCATGCTCTGAGCCCCTCTTCTTTCTGTAACCTCAGGTGGTATAAAAGCATCAACTATCTGGCCCTTTCTTTTTTTTCACTGTTGTTGCCCAGGCTGGAGTGGTGCAATGGCTCAATCTCGGCACACCGCAACCTCCACCTCTTAGGTTCAAGCGATTCTCCTGCCTCAGCCTCCTGAATAGCTGGGATTACAGGCATACACTACCATGCCTGGCTAATTTTGTATTTTTAGTAAAGACGGGCTTTCTCTGTGTTGGTCAGGCTGGTCTCCAACTCCCGACCTCATGTGATCTGCCCTCCTCAGCCTCCCAAAGTGCTGGGATTACAGGCGTGAGCCACTACCCCCAGCTTATCTGGCCCTTTCTTTGAGTTTTTAAAATCTGTGTTCCTCCCATGCATGCATGTGTACATTAATGTTTTGTCTGCCTTTCTCCTTTTAATCAGCCTTTTGTCAGTTGATTTCTAGTGAACCTTCAGAGGGCAAAAGAGATTTGTCTTAGCCCCTACAAGTTTTTCTCTCCCTCCATAAGAATATTAACCATGAGAGAAAAGCCTCTGTTCTAGGTCCCTGCTACATTCCCAGATCCTAGAACACAACTGAACCCATAGAAGGACACAGAAGAAAAAAAAATGAAAGCGAATGGTAAGGCCAGGCGTAGTGGCTCACGCCTGTAATCCCAGCACTTTAGGAGGCTGAGGCAGGCAGATCGCGAGGTCAGGAGTTCAAGACCAGCCTGGCCAACATGGTGAAAACCCTTTTCTACTAAAAATACAAAAATAAGCTGAGCGTGGTGGCGGGTGCCTGTAATCCCAGCTACTCAGAAGGCTGAGGCAGAGAATTGCTTGAACCTGGGAGGCAGAGGTTGCAGTGAGCTGAGATCGCGCCACTGCCCTCCAGCCTGGGCAACAGATCAAGACTCCGTCTCAAAAAAAAAAAAAAAAAAAAAGGAGAAAATGAAGCCAGGCGTGGTAGCTCACGCCTGTAATCTCAGCACTTTGGGATGCCGAGGTGGGCAGATTACCTGAGGTCAGGATTTTGAGACCAGCCTGACCAACAGGGAGAAAACTCATCACTACTAAAAATACAAAAATTAGCTGGGCGTGGTGGTACATGTCTGTAATCCCAGCTACTCGGGAGGCTGAGGCAGGAGAATCGCTTGAACCCGGGAGTCGGAGGTTGTGGTGAGCCGAGATTGCGCCAGCCTGGGCAACAAGAGCGAAACTCCGTCTCAACAAAATGAAAAATAATAATAATAATAAAATGAATGATAAAAGTATCAGTCTGGGTTTTCCAAAGAAAGAGAGACAGAGAGGTTCAGGAATTGGCTCACATGATTGTGGACACTGGCACATCTAGAATCCATGGGGCAGGCCAGCAGGTTGGAAACTCAGGCTGAATTCTTTCTCTTTTGGAAAACTTCAGTTTTTTTGTTTTTGTTTGTTTGTTTGTTTTGAGACGAAGTCTCCCAAGCTGGAGTGCAATGGCGCGATCTCAGCTCACTGCAACCTCCACCTCCCAGGTTCAAGTGATTTTCCTGCCTCAGCCTCCTGAGTAGCTGGAATTACAGGTGCCTGCCACCATGCCTGGCTAATTTTTGTATTTTTTTTTTTTTTTAGTAGAGATGGGGTTTCACCATGTTGGCCAGACTGTTCTCGACCTCCTGACCTCAGGTGATCCACCTGCCTTGGGCTTCCAAAGTGCTGGGATTACAGCTGTGAGCCACTGTGCCCGGCCAACTTCAGTTTTTTTGTTTGTTCATTTTTGAGACAAGATCTCATTCTGTTGCCCAGGCTGGAGTGCAGTGGCACAAACATGGCTCACTTCAGCCTTGACCTTTTTGCTCAAGCAATCCTCCTGCCTCATTTTCCCAAGTAGCTGGGACTACAGGTGCAGGCCACCACATCTGGCTAATTTTCACAATTTTTTTGTAGAGATAAGGTCTCACCATGCTGCCCAGGCTGGTCTCAAACTCCTGGGCTCAAGAGATCCTCCTGCCTCATTCTCCCAGTGTTGAGATTACAGGCATGAGCCATGGTGCCCAACCAGGATGTTGTTGTTCTTAACCTTATTCTTTTTTTTTTTTTTTTTTTGAGATGGAGTTTCACTCTGTCATCTGGGCTGGAGTGCAGTGGTACAGTCTCAGCTCACTGCAACACTGCAACCTCCACCTCCCAGTTTCAAGCAATTCTCCTACCTCAGTCTCCCGAGTACCTGGGATTATGGGCACCTGCTATCATGCCTGGCTAATTTTTGTATTTTCAGTAGAGACAGGGTTTCACCATGATGGCCAGGCTGGTCTCAGGCTCCTGACTTCAAGAGATCCTCCCACCTCGGTCTCCCAAAGTGCTAGGATTACAGGTGTGAGCCACCACACCCGGCCTAGGAACCTTATTCTTTTTTTTTGATACAGAGTCTTATTCTGTTGCCCCGGCTGGAATGCAGTGGCACAATCTCAACTCTCCGCAACCTCTGCCTCCCGGGTCTGAGTGATCCTCCTGCCTCAGCCTCCCACGTAGCTGGGATTACAGGCACGTGCCACCATGCCCAGCTAATTGTTGTATTTTTAGTAGAGACGAGGTTTCACCATATTGGCCAGGCTGGTCTCGAACTCCTGACCTCAGGTGATCCGCTTGCCTCAGGCTCCCAATGTGCTGGGATTGCAGGCGTGAGCCACCTCTTCCGCCAGTAACCTTATTCTTAAAACCTTCATCTAGGCCAGGCGAGTTGGCTCATGCCTGTAATCCTAGCACTTTGGGAGGCAGTGGCGGGCAGATCACAAGGTCAGGAGTTCGAGACCAGCCTGGCCAATATGGTAAAACCCCATCTCTACTAAAAATAAAAAAAAAATTGCTGGGCATGGTGGCAGGCACCTGTAGTCTCAGCTACTCAGGAGGCTGAGGCAGGAGAATCGCTTGAACCCAGGAAGTGGAGGTTGCAGTGAGCTGAGATCATGCCACTGCACACTGCACTCCAGCCTGGGTGACAGAGCGAGACTCCGTCTCAAACAAAAAACAAAAAACAACCTTCATCTAATTGGATAAGGCTCACCCATATCATGGAGAGTAATCTCCGTTATTTAAAATCAATTGACTGTAAATGTTAATCACTTCTACCTAATAACTTCATACCAACATCTAGACTAGTATGTAACCAAGCTGGGCACATAGCCTAGCCAAGTTGACACATAAAATTAACCATACCATTCCATTAGGTGATGGGGATAAAGCAGTGCAAAGATAATAAGGTCTTTGTTTTTGTTTTTTTTTTGAGACGGAGTCTTACTCTGTCGCCCAGGCTGGAGTGCAGTGGCATGATCTTGGCTCACTGCAACCTCCGCCTCCCAGGTTCAAGCGATTCTACTGCCTCAGCCTCCCAAGTAGCTGGAATTACAGGCACCTGCCTTGAGTCCCAGCTAATTTTTGTATCTTTAATAGAGACAGGGTTTCACCATCTTGGCCAGGTTGGTCTTGAACTCCTGACCTCAGATGATCCGAAGAGAGGGTTTCACCATGTTGGCCAAGCTGGTCTCGAACTCCTGACCTCAGATGATCCACCTGCTTTGGCCTCCCAAAGTGCTTGGATTACAGGCATGACCCACCATGCCTGGCTGCAGTTTTTATTTTATAGATGAGGAAACTGAAATTTAGAAAGAAAAATACCCTGTCCTGAGGCACACTGCCAAGAAATAAAAAAGCTAGGATTCAAACATAGATTTTGGACTATGAGACTGTTAGTCACTCAGTAATATTGTTCTGATAGATATACTTGTTCTGATTTTATACTTTTGCAGATAAGAACATAAAAGCTTAGAGAAGTAAAAGTACATATTCAGAGACACATCATATATGTTCAAGCCAGGATTTGAAGACATGTTTGCATGACTTCAAAAATCATACTTTTTCTTCTGTACACTATGTTAACTACTGGACTACCCTAATAGACTACCCTAAACTACTTCTGGATCTAAAATACAACAATCAACAAAACCATAGATACGAAAATTGAAAATTATCTGCAGCTCATCCTAGTCTTCCATATCCAATAATGCCATTAATTCTTTTTTTCTTTTTCTTTTTGTTTTTTGAGACAGAGTCTCGCTCTGTCACTCAGGCTGGACTGCAGTGGCAAGGTCTCTGCTCACTACAAACTCTGCCTCCCAGGTTCATGCAATTCTCCTGTCTCAGCCTCCGGAGTAGCTGGGATTACAGGCATGCGCCACCACACTGGCTTATTTTTGTATTTTTTAAGTAGAGATGGGGTTTTGCCATGTTGGCCAGGCTGGTCTTGAACTCCTGACCTCAGCAGACCTGCCAGCCTTGGCCTCCCATGCATATATTGCATAATGCTTCTATTGAACCCATCACTCAAATAGTGAACATAGTATTTTTTTTTTTTTTTTTTTGAGACTAAGTCTCGCTGGAGTGCAATGGCGCCATCTCGGCTCACTGCAACCTCCCGGGTTCAAGAGATTCTCCTGCCTCAGCTTCCCAAGCAGCTGGGATTACTGGCACCTGCCACCACACCTGCCTAATTTTTGTATTTTTAGTAGAGACGGGGTTTCACCATGTTGGCCTGGTCTCCAACACCTGACCTCATGATCCGCCCTCCTCGGCCTCCTAAAGTGCTGGGATTACAGGCGTGAGCAACCATGCCTGGCTGAACATAGTATTCTCTCTTTTTTTTTTTTTTTTGAGACGGAGTCTCGCTCTGTCGCCCAGGCTGGAGTGCAGTGGCGCTATCTCTGCTCACTACAAGTTCCGCCTCCCGGGTTCATGCCATTCTCCTGCCTCAGCCTCCCAAGTAGCTGGGACTACAGGCACCTGCAACCACGCCCGGCTGATTTTTTGTATTGTTAGTAGACACGAGGTTTCACCGTGTTAGCCAGGACGATCTCGATCTCCTGACCTCGTGATCCACCCGCCTCCGCCTTCCAAAGTGCTGGGATTACAGGCGTGAGCCACCGCGCCTGGCTTGAACATAGTATTCTTAAATATGTTTCTTCTTTTCTTTTCCTTAATTCAGACTGTTATTTAACCAGTTTTCTTCTGAATTACTGTTACCACTTACTGACTGATAAGGTCTCCCACCTTCCCCTTACCCAGTCCTCACTATTACCCCTAGTTGAGCCGTCCGAAACACAGATTTTTAGCTAGTCCTTGGCTAGAAAATCTTTATCGTTCTCTATTTTCTATAGAATTAAGTAGACTCCTTCCCTGTCTGTCAAGGTTTTACATAATCTGTTCTCAAACTGCTTCCATTTGCCACTACACCTTTCAAGGAACACAGTAAATATCTTTTATTCAGCATAGAGAGTGTATTTATTTTTATTTATTTATTTTGAGGCAGAGTCTCACTCTGTCCCCCAGGCTGGAGTGCAGTGGCACGATCTTGGCTCACTGTAACCTCGGACTCCTGGGTTCAAGCGATTCTCCTACCTCAGCCTCCTGAGCAGCTGGGACTATAGACGCCCACCAGCACCCCTGGCTAATTTTTGTATTTTTAATAGACACGGGGTTTCAACATGTTGGCCAAGATGGTCTCCATCTCCTGACCTTGTGATCCACCTGCCTCGGCCTCCTAAAGTGCTGGGATTACAGGCATGAGCCACCGTGCCCAGCTGTATTTTTAACTTTTATTTTGAAACAATTTCAAGCTCATAGAAATATTGCAAGAATAGTACAAATAACCACTGTGTACCCTTTAGTCAGATTGACTAATGTTTAACATTTTGCTATATTTGCTTTCTCTCTCTCTTTTTATACATGCACGCACACAGACACACACAAAATGTTCTTTCTTTTTAAAAAACAGGATCTTACTTTGTTGCCCAGGTTGTAATAGAGTGGCATGATCATAGCTCACTGCAGCCTCAATTTCCTGGGCTCAGGCGATTGTCTCACCTTAGCCTCCAGAGTAGCTGGAACTACGGTCACTCACTACCATGCCAGGCTAATTTTTTCTAGAGATCGGGTTCCACCATGTTGACCAGGCTGGTCTCAAACTCCTGAGCTCAAGCTATCCACTTGTCTTGGCCTCCCGAAATGCTGGGATTACACGTGTGAGCCACTGCGCCTGGGCACAAATTTCCTAATCATTTGAGAATAGGATGCATAGATCATGTTTCTTTCTTCCTCAGCACTTCATTATTTCCTAAGAAGAAGGACGTTTTCTCATGTAACCACGTATCAACCACATATGGTATAGTTATCAAATTCAAATATTGATACAATATTTTTGTCTTATCTACAGTCCCTATTTCAATTTTGTAAATTGTCCCAGTAATGTCCTTTACTGCAATTTTAAAAATAAAGTTTAAGGCCAAGCACGGTGGCTCATGCCTTTAATCTCAGCACTTAGGGAGGCCAAGTCAGGAGGATGGCTTGAGGCCAGGAGTTCAAGACCATCCTAGGCAGCATAGTGAGACCTTGTCTCTACAAAAATACATAAATGAAGTTTAAGGGGAAGACATTCTATGACTCAGAATGAGGTGTTGCCTGATGAAAGATAAAAAATCAAGGATTTGGTCTAGGATTATGTGTTGTACTGATTGCCACATCTCTTCAGTCTTCCTTAATCTGCAACAGATTGTCAGTCTTTTTTGTTTGTTTTCTTTTTCATGACATTGACATTTTTGAAGAACATAGTTTAGTTATTAGAATGACTTAATCTGGGATTGTCTGATATTTCTTCACAATTAGATTGACTGAAGGTTTTATTGTGTACAGAGAGGGGGAGGGGGCTCAGTTCTTGGCAATTTCCTCATAGCAGCCAGACTGGGTCGCAGCTCCTCCTGCTGCTTCTTGACATGGACGTGTGTTCCCACCCTTTTCTTGGTGAACTTGAGGGCCCGTTTGGTGCTTGGAGTCCTTGAGCAGCTCCATGGCATGCAGCTCGTAAGGGTGAGAGCCACACACCTCTTGGATCATGTCCCTTGGATTTTGTATGCTTGGTGAGGCGCCTGCAGTGGTGGCTGTGCTGTGCCCCGCTCACCTTCTTGGTTGCCCTGGTGGAGGCCATGGGCCATAGGGTAGCGCAAAGTCCTGGCTGCTGCTCTCCAGGGTAGCTGTGGGAAGGGCCCAGCCACTTGGAACTCTAGGATTCACAGCTAGATCTAAACTATGCATTTTTGTCTGGAATACTATGCAAGTGATGTGCTAGTAATAATAACCATGGTTCCATAGCTGTAATATGACTATATGCATAACACAATAAGCCAGAGTGCTTCATCTTTTAGTCTCCCACATC
Organism: Homo sapiens; assembly: GCF_000001405.40. Lineage (NCBI taxonomy): Eukaryota > Metazoa > Chordata > Mammalia > Primates > Hominidae > Homo > Homo sapiens. Next base: position 109,364,543 of record NC_000003.12, read on the forward strand.
GCAGCTTATCCAAGTTGAATCCTATTCGTTTTTAAAGATCAGCCCAAGTTCTACCTATTAGCCAGCTCCCTGCAGCCAACACAGAGTTCTCCTTTTCTGAAGTACTCAATCACTTGTCTAATTCACACATTTAGCTACTGCTTAATAATAGGTCTCTGTGCATTGCTTATTATCATTGCATAAGTAGACATCTCATTTTCCTGTCCTTGAAGGCAGAAGCTCTGTTTATTTTATTCTCTTGAATACTCCATAGTTCCCACTCAGTGTAAATTTTCAGTAACTACAAGCTGTTGCTTAAGAGAGCTTAATGATTTGGGTTTCTCTGATAGTGGTGATTAGTGTAGAAGTGTGGTTGAAACAACAGGATCACCTGTGCACATCCATAGTGAATCTCTCCTTGGCTCACACAGGATTTTTAATCTCTGTTTTTTTTTTTTTGGAGACAGTCTCGCTCTGTTGCGCAGGCTGCAGTGCAGTGGCACAATCTGGGCTCACTGCAACCTCTGCCTCCCAGGTTCAAGCGATTCTACTGCCTCAGCCTCCCAAGTAGCTGGGATTACAGGCACACGCCACCATGCCTGTTAGAAACTAAGACACAAACACATACCTTAGCCTGGCTAATTTTTTGTATTTTAGTAGAGATGGGGTTTCACTGTGTTGCCCAGGCTGGTCTCCACCTCTGGAGCTCAGACGATCTGCCTGCTTCGGCCTCCCAAAGTTCTGGGATTACAGGAGTGAGCCATCGTGCCTGGCTAATCTCTATTATTAAGAAAATTCTAATGAATCCATATACGGCCGTGCATTGCTTAATGACAGGGATACATTCTGAGAAATGCATCGTTAACGTGATTTTTGTCATAGGAACATCATAGAGTGTACTTACATAAACCTGGATGATATAGCCTACTACACACCTAGGCTGTGTGGCATAGCCTATTTACAAACCTGTACAGCATGTTACTGTACTGAATACTGTAAGCAGTTGTAACACAATGGTAAGTATTTCTGTATTTAAACACATGTAAACTTAGAAAAGATACAGTAAAAACATGGTATACAAGATAAAAAATGGTATGCCTATATAGGGCACTTACCCTGAATGAAGTCTGCAGGACTGAAAGTTGTTTTGGGTGACTCAGTGAATGAGTGGTGAGTGAATGTAAAGGTCTAGGACATTACTGAACACTACTGTAGACTTTATAAACACTACACTTAAGCTTCACTAAATTTATTAAAAATTTTTTTCTTTCTTTAATAGTAAGTTAACCGTAGCTTACTAACTTTTTTTTTCTTTATATTTTTTGAGACAGGGTCTCACTCTGTCACCCAGGCTGGAGTGCAGTGGCACCATCTCGGCTCACTGAAACCTCTGCCTCCTGGATCAAAGCGATTCTCATGCTTCAACCTCCCAAGTAGTTGAGATTACTGTAACTTTTTTACTTTATAAACTTTTAAATTTTTAAAAACTTTTTGACTCTTTTGTAATAACAACTTAAAACACACATTGTACATCGTACAAAAATGTCTTTATATTTTTTCGTATGCTTTTTCTATTTTTAAAATTGTTTATTTTTACAGTTTTAAACTTTTATTTTAAAAACTAAGACAAAAACACATACCTTAGGCAAGGCCTACACAGGGTCAGGATCATCAACATCACTGTCTTCCACCTCCACATCTTGTCCCATTGGAAGGTCTTCAGAGGCAATAATATGCATGGATCTGTCATTTCCTATAATAAAAATTTCTTCTGGAATATCTCCTAAAGAACTTGCCTTAGGCTGTTTTGCAGTTAGCACTTTTTTTTTTAATAGAGTACACTCTAAAATAATAATAAAAAGTATAGTATAGTAAATACATAAACCAGTAATGTCATTTATTATTATCAAGTAGTATGTACTGTACATAATTGTACATTCTATATTTTTATAGGACTAGCAGTTCAGTAGGTTTTTTTATACCAACATCACCAGAAACACATGCACTATAACATTATGATGGCTACAATGTTACTGGACAATAGGATTTTTCAGCTCCTTTGTAATCTATTTTTATCTATCTATCTATCTATCTATCTACTTATTTTTGAGAGAGAGTCTCCCTCCGTCACCCAGGCTGGAGTGCAGGTGACGCGATCTCTGCTCACTGCAACCTCCACGTCCCAGGTTCAAGTGATTCTCCTGCCTCAGCCTCTGGAGTAGCTGGGATTACAGGCATGCACCACCATGCCTGGCTAATTTTGTATTTTTACTACAGACAGGGTTTCACCATGTTGGCCAGGCTGGTCTCAAACGCCTGACCTCAGGTGATCCACCCACCTATGCCTCCCAAAGTGCTGGGATTACAGGTGTGAGCCACTGCACCTGGCCGCATTTCCTTATTTATTATTATTATTACTCTGTTTGTAAGAAAAACAGGTAATATAAGAGCCAATATATTTTTATATTTAAAAAAATTAAGCCAGGGGCAGTGGCTCACGCCTGTAATCCCAGCACTTTGGGAGGCTGAGGTGGGCAGAGTACCTGAGGTCGGGAGTACAAGACCAGCCTGACTACCATGGAGAAACCCTGTCTCTACTAAAAATACAAAAAACAAAACAGCTGGGCATGATGGCGGGCACCTGTAATCTCAGCTATTCAGGAGGCTGAGGCAGGAGAACTGCTTGAACCGGGGAGGCAGAGGTTGCAGTGAGCCGAGATAGCGCCATTGCACTCCAACCTGTGTAACAGAGTGAAACGCCATCTAAAAAAAAAAAAAAAATTAAAGTGGTAACATATATTCATTCACATTGTAACAAAATTCAATCTGCACAAAAAGATAAACAGTGAATATCAGTCTCATTTTTATTCCTGACCTTAATCCCCCAGTTGCTCCTCAAAGGCCACTACCGTTGTCAGTTTCTTGTACATTCTTCCAAATATGTTCTGTGTACCGTCTGTGCTTCAGTTTACTCATCTGCAAATAGGGATAGTAATAGTGCCTGTCTCACTGGGCTCTTGTGAGGATTAAATGCATTAGCATGTACATAAGCACAACGGTGCCAGTTACAAAGGTGCCATGTACAAACCACTTGATCATGTTATATAATCATTTGATGTGCTGTTAAATTCATTTTGCTAGGTTTTGTTGAAGGTTTTTATATTTATTTTCACTAGGAATATTGGCCTGTAGTTTTCTTTCCTTATAATGTTTTTATCTAGCTTTGGTATGAGAACAATGCTGGTGGCTTAAAATGAGTTTAGAAGTGTTCCTTTCTTTTTAATTTTTTATTTTTTTTTCTTTGAGACGGAATCTCACTCTGTCACCCAGGCTGGAGTGCGGTGGCACGATCTCGGCTCACTTCAAGCTCCACCTCCCGGGTTCACGCCATTCTCCTGCCTCAGCCTCCCTAGTAGCTGGGACTACAGGCGCCCGCCACCACACCTGGCTAATTTTTTGTATTTTTAGTAGAGACAGGGTTTCACCATGTTAGCCGGGATGGTCTCGATTTCCTGACCTCGTGATCCGCCCGCCTCGGCCTCCCAAAGTGCTGGGATTACAGGCGTGAGCCACTGCGCCCGGTTGCCTTTCTTTTTAATTTTTTAGAAGAGTTTGAAGAGGATTGGTGTTAATTCTTCAAACTCTGTCATCTAGTCCTGGGCTTTTCTTTGTTGGGATTTTTTTTAATTACTGCTTCAATCTTCTCATTATTTTTCTGTTAAAAATTTTTATTTCTTCATGACTCAGTCTGATTAAGTTGTATGCTAGAAATTTATTCATTTCTTCTAAATTATCCAATTTGTTGGCGTAGTTATTCATAGTAGTCTCTCATGATCCTTTGCATTTCTGTAGCACCAGTTGTACATACCTCACGTTTTAAAAGTTTTAAAAATTATTATGCATGTACTAGTATGAAGATTATATATTGGTCTGTCCAATAGACATATAATGTAAGCCATATATGTAATATTAAATTTTCTAGTAGCCACATTTTTAAAAAAGGAAAAAAAAGAAAACGTTTTAATAATATATTTTATTTACCACAATATATTCAAAATAATATCATTGAAACATGTAATCAAAAAAATATATTTTAATAAGGTGTATTCTTTTTTGGTATTAAGTCTTTGAAATTTAGGCTGTATTTTATGCTTACAGAACATCTCAACTGAGACAATTTCTGATTTAAGTGCCTAATAGCTACATATCGATAGTAGCTATAGTAGCTAATGTATTTTTTTTTTTTTGAGATAGAGTCTTGCTCTGTCGCCCAGGCTATAGTGCAGTGGCCATGATCTCCGCTCACTGCAACCTCCGTTTCCCAGGTTCAAGCAATTCTCCTGCCTCAGGCTCCTGAGTAGCTGGGATTACAGGCATGCGCCACCACGCCTGTCTAATTTTTGCATTGTTAGTAGAGATGGGTTTCACCATGTTGGCCAAGCTGGTCTCGAACCCTTGACTTCGTGATCTGCCTGCCTCAGCCTCCCAAAGTGCTAGGATTACAGGCGTGAGCCACCGCGCCTGGTTGTAGCTACTGTATTTTATAGAGAAAGTCCATGAATTGCAGGTAGAATTTTTTTTTTTTCCTCTATCATCTTAGGTCCAGCGCTGGGTCTCTGCAAAGTAAATTGACAAAAGACAGATTAATACAGAAATACAACAAATTTAATTGTATGCATGCACAGGAGTTCACAAAAAATGTGACTCATGGATGTGGTGGCTGGGTGCAGTGGCTCACGCCTGTAATCCCAGCTCTTTGGGAAGCCAAGGTGGGCGGATCGCCTGAGGTCGGGAGTTTGAGACCAGCCTGACCAGCAAAGTGAAACCCCATCTCTACTAAAAATTAAAAAAAAAAATTAGCTGAGTGTGGTGGTGCGCGCTTGTAATCCCAGCTACTCGGGAAGCTGAGGCAGGAGACTCGCTTGAACCCAGGAGGCAGAGGTTGCAGTGAGCCGAGATCGTGCCATTGCACTCCAGCCTGGGCAACAGAGCTAGATGCCGTCTCAAAAAAAAAAAAAAAAAAGTTATTTTAGAATTTTAAATGCCACAGCAGAAATAGATTTCCAGAACGGTTAATGTAATGTGAGGAGCAAGGGCTTCTCATTGTTCTTAGGAAAAAGGCTAAATTCCTCTTAGTAGCCCATGTCAGCAGCTGGCCTGCCCTGTCTGCCCTCTGCTGGTTCTGCACCAACCATGCTCAGGGCCACTTATGGAGTTCTCCCTAGGTTCCCTATGAACCTTTTTAATTCTGCTGGATGCTTCCTCCCACTGACCCTCCAATACATGTGCACACATCTGCCCCCTTGCCTAGTGAGTAATGTATGAATCAGTTTATTATTTACTTTTTCATTTATTTTTGAGACAGGGTGTCACTCTATTGCCCAGTCTGGAGTACAATGGTATGATCATGGCTCACTGTAACCTTGAACTCCTGGGCTCCAGTGATCCTCCTGCCTCAGCCTCCATAGTAGTTAGGACTACAGGTGTGCACCACCACATCCAGCTAATACATTTTTTTTTTAAGAGATGGGGTCTTGCTATGTTGTCCAGGCCCAGTCTTGAACTCCTGGCCTTAAGTGATCCTCATGCCTTGGCCTCCCAAACACTGAGATTAAAGATGTAAGCACCCAGCCGGCATCAGTTTAAAGAAAAATATATATATATGCTTGTGTCCAAATATTGATTCATTTTATTACAACATAAAATATATACAAACATAAAATTTATTTTTTTGAGACAGAGTCTCACTCTGTTGCCCAGGCTGGAGTGCAGTGGTGTGATCTCAGTTTACTGTCACCTCTGCCTCCCAGGTTCAAGTGATTCTCCTGTCTCAGCCTACCAAGTAGCTGGGATTACAGGTGGGTGCCACCATGCCTGGCTAATTTTTGTATTTTTAGTAGAGACAGGGTTTTGCCATGTTGGCCAGGTTGGTCTCGAACTCCTGACCTCAAGTGATCCACCCTCAGCCTCTTAAAGTGCTGGGATTACAGGTGTGAGCCACCATGCCTGATTGGATACAAATATAAAATTATAACTCCTATGTTCACAGTTCATATACAACATCACACCCCAAATAAATTTTACTTAATGGCTATTAACTAAAAAGAAAGAGACCATATGGCTAGGCACGGTGGCTCACGCCTGTAATCCCAGCACTTTGGGATTACAGGTCTTTTTGAGCTCAACATGACTGGTCTATAGGTGCTGTGTCATGACACACACCATTCACCACTCTCCTCTATGTGAACTACTGTGAAACCGTCTTTGTTTCAGCATTCATGATGCACATTTGATCTTCTCTTGGCAGGAATACAACACATACATATTAAATTAGTCTATTCTCTTTCTTTCTTTCCTTTCCTTTCTTTCTTTCTTTTCGTTTTCTGAGACGGAGTCTTGCTCTGTTACACAGGTTGGAGTGCAATGGCGCTATCTTGGCTCACTGCAACGTCTGTCTCCCGGGTTCAAGCAATTCTCCTGCCTCAGCCTCCCAAGTAGCTGAGCATTACAGGTGCGCACCAACACACCTGGCTAATTTTTGTATTTTTAGTAGAGATGGGGTTTCACCATGTTGGCCAGGCTGGTCTCGAACTCCCTTGTGATCTGCCTGCCTCGGCCTCCCAAAGTGCTGGGATTACAGGCATGAGCCACCATGCCTGGCCTAAGTTGATATCTTCTTTTCACCTTAGCCTGAGATTACTACAGTTGTACTACTTGTGGCCAACTCAGTAAAAAACACACATGTTCAATGTGAGCTTCGGGCAGAACTCAGTTATAAAAAATGATCCAGAAAGTGTTTCTGTTAATTTTTAAGGTTGTCATCACAGTGAAAACAGAAAATTAAAAGATGTCTCATAGAGAACCCATGGGCCGAAGATTATCTTGAGATAATATTTTTTATTTATTTCTGTATGTTCTCTCCAGAGCTCAGAGAGCTCATCTTAAGTAAGATTATGTGACTACCCTCAACCCCCAAAAGTAAGGCAGGTCCCCCAATTATATATATATGCTTTATACCACCAGGTACTCTTTTATCTATTTATTTATTTATTTATTTGAGACGGAGTCTGGCTCTGTTGCCCAGGCTGGAGTGCAGTGACGTGATCTCGGCTCACTGCAACCTCTGCCTCCTGGGTTTAAGCGATTCTCCTGCCTCAGCCTCCCGAGTAGCTGGGACTACAGGCACCCGCCACCACGCCCGGCTAATTTTTGTATTTTTAGTAGAGACAGGGTTTCACCATATATATATACACCTTTTTTTTTTTTTTTTTTTTTTTTTTTGAGATTGAGTCTCACTTTGTAGCTCAGGCTGGAGTGCAGTGGCACAATTTCAGCTCACTGCAACCTTGGCTCCCGGGTTCAAATGATTCTTCAGCCTCAGCCTCCCGACTAGCTGGGACTACAGGCATGCACCACCATGCCTGGCTAATTTTTGTATTTTTAGTAGAGACGGCATTTCACCATTTTGGCCAGGCTGATGTCGAACTCCTGAACTCGGGATCCGCCCGCCTTGGCCTCCCAAAGTGATGGGATTACAGGTGTGAGCCACTGTGCCCGGCCAAAGATATTTAATAAATAGTTTTTGAGTGATTAAGTGAAGCAGCTACAAATCAAGAGACTGGAGTGCAAGTCCTATCTTTACTTCTGCTTGTGACATTGGCCAGTTATTTATCCTCTAGATCTCCATCTTCATATTCCATAAAATGAGACAAGTAGAGTAGATCAGAGATTCCCAAGCTTGGCATCAACTGGAAGGCCATTTAAACAATATAGATTGTGGATTTCCACCTGTAGATATTCTGATTTATTAAGTCTAGGGTAAGCCAGATAATCTATTTTTAAAACTCCTGAAGTTACAGTGTGCAGCTGAGGTTGGAAACCACTGAAGTAGCTCCAACATTCTATGATTCTTTGTATATATTAGTCCTTAACTTGAATTAAGCATATAGTGATTGAGGCTAAATATTACTAGCTAAATAAATGTGCTAAATATTACAAACATTGGGACTAGTAATATGAGGAATATTTAGACTTTTCTGACCCTAAGAATGTGCCATTTGGCTGGGAGACATACAAGTCATCTGATATGTTAATGAACACATTGGTAGCACAGAATGCTGCAAAAGGCAGACAGAAGGCTTTCAACTAAGTCTGATGCTTAGGGAAAGATTGCAAGAGATCAACCTTGACCATTGAAGGAAAGGTAGGGATTAATCAAGAGGGGAAGGCTTGTAATCAGAAAAGACAAAAGTCCACAGACATGGGAAAATCTAGTTCACCAGAGTCCTGCAAGTGATTCACTAAAGTTGTAGCACAGCCAGAGGTAGGAGAGTTTAGCATTTTCTGGAAACAGAGTAGTTATTACAGGTCAGTGGCTGAGAGCAAGGATTTTTGAGCCAGAAAAATCTGGTTTAAATTCTGGTTTTGTTACACACAGCCTCCCTCTGTGACTTGAGAAGATAACTTGTTCACACTCAATTTTCTTATCTGTAAAAGTAGGGCCAACACCTGTCTTATAAGATTACTATGAAGATTAAGTGAGGCAAAATGAGACAATGTACATACAGCACTTAACACAGTGCCTGGTAGATTGCAACCAAAGAATACATCCAACAAAGCAAGTTCATTGCAGCTTTTCTTTGTGTATTTCAATTTTAATGGCTATACAATACTGATATTGTATTTAAACCTTTTTTTAAATGTAATTATTATTTTCACATAAAAAAATTCAAATGTATAACAGGTTATTCAGGGAAAAGTAAAGATCTTTCTCAAACCTTTGTGTCTGTTCTACTATTTGTTCTTCCTAGAGGCAACCAGGATATACCATTTTTTAACATGCCCTCTAGAGATATTCTGAAGTACATTTGACATAGCAATAAATTAGAAACAATAAAAATGTTCATTACTTTGGGAAATGTCTGTGGAATAGCCACCCTTTGGATATTATGTGGCAATTTGAAAAAGCAGGCTGCAAAATATGTGTTCATTGTGATATCTACCTTTTAAACAAACCCAAAAATATAACATGCAAAATATAATTTTATATTTATATATTATCTAATTATTAAGAATTAGGTGCACTTTGTTTTGGTGTTTTTACAGTCTAACATGACTTTTTTATATTTATATATTAATGATACAACAGTTTGCTTAATGAATAAATGTATTTTCTGGTCTGCTAACTTGAGGGAGTTACTCCCAAAAGTAATTTAGTCATAGTGAAAGGATTGCTGAATAAGTCTGTATGGCTCCAATTTAAAGCCTTACACACTAACACATTGCTTAGAATTCTATGATTGTCTTTCCTCTGAAGGCCTTGTAATTTTATTATTATAGCCTTCTAGTAGAAACAGCTAGGTGAATGCCTTAGTGTGATGGGGCATAATATATATCCTGAGATATCAATGGCTGTAAGACTCATTGCTGATTTAGTCATAGATGTTTTACTTATACACCACATGCATACATTAATTGAATGGTACATTTGGATTTCAGAAATGATCGAATGGAAAAAATCCTGCAGTCAAGTATACATGATATTTAAATGGCATTTCTGTATACTTTGTTAGAGACAAGTGAAAGAGGCAGCTTGTTATACTACAGGATTATGAAGACTTTCCATTAAGTATGATTATTGTTTTCCAATGTCTCATTCCTGTTTTCAAGTCATCTCAGCAGAAGAGGACAGACATTGTTTGCATTACTTTCTTTTGGTTACAGTAGTTCAGCAATCTCAATTTCCTTCCGTTTTTTTTTTCTTTTTTTTTTTTTGAGATGGAGTCTCACTTTGTCACCCAGGCTGGAGTGCAATGGCACAGTCTCGGCTCACTGCAACCTCCACCTCCTGGGTTCAAGCGATTCTCCTGCCTCAGCCTCCCGAGTAGCTGGGACTACAGGTGCGTGCCACCATGCCTGGCTAATTTTTATATTTTTAGTAGAGATGAGGTTTCGCTGTGTTGGCCAGGCTGGTCTTGAACTCCTGACCTCATGATCCATCCACCTAGGCCTCCCAAAGTGCTGGGATTACAGGTGTGAGTCACTGTGCCCAGTCTTTTTTTTCTTTTTTTAAGACACAGTCTCACTCTAGGCGTCCCAAAGTGCTGGGATTACAGGTGTGAGTCACTGTGCCCAGTCTTTTTTTTTCTTTTTTTGAGACAGAGTCTCACTGTGTCACCAAGGCTGGAGTGCAGTGGCACTATCTTGGCTCACGACAACTTCTCTGCCTCCTGGGTTCAAGAGATTCTCCTGCCTCAGCCTCCCAATTAGCTAGGACTACAGGCGTGTGCTACCACACCTGGCTAATTTTTGTATTTTTAGTGGAGATGGGGTTTCAACATGTTGGCCAGGCTAGTCTCAAACTCCTGATCTCAAGTGATCCGCCCACCTGGGCCTCCGAACAGTTTTGTTTTTAGGTACTTAACAATCTATGTATACACTACAAGATTTCTTTTCTGTTTCGTCTTCCTTCCTTCCTTCCTTCCTTCCTTCCTTCCTTCCTTCCTTCCTTCCTTCCTTCCTTCCTGCCTTCCTTCTTTCTTTCTTTCTTTTCTTTTTTTCTTTCTTGAGATGGAGTTTTGCTTTTGTTACCCAGGCTGGAGTGCAATGGCACAATCTTGGCTCACTGTAACGTCTGCCTCCCGAGTTCAAGCAATTCTCCTGCCTCAGCCTCCCAAGTAGCTGGGATTACGGGTGCCCGCCACCACGTCCAGCTAATTTTTTTGTATTTTTAGTAGAGATGGTGATTCACCTGTTGGCCAGGCTGTTCTCGAACTCCTGACCTCAGGTGATCAGCCTACTTCGGCCTCCCAAAGTGCTGGGATTATAGGCATGAGCCACCATGCCCAGCCTTCTGTTTTCTTTTTTTTGTTTGAGGTGTGTGGTAGTGGAAGAGAATGCATACTGGTCACACTAATGATACTAGAAATCAGATAATATAATACATATGCCATGTTACATGACACACCTAGTGAAGTTTGGGATGGTATAAGTTGTCTAAACACATTAAAATTTGATCATAAAGATATATTTATGTATTATATTTATATAATAAATTATATTGTCATAATAAACATACTATATTTAGTTTCATATTGGTTCAGGGCAGGTTGAGCTACCAAATGAGTTTATGCGAAACTTACAGAAAGATATTTTATTACAGACATTTGGTTGTGGACTCTTATTCTCTCTCTCTCTAATACACATAAATGTGTATGTGTTTGTATATTGTATGTATATCTATAATATACATATGTACATATAAACACACACACACACACACACTTATGTACAGTTCTTATATCCTATATATAGTTCCTGTGTCCAGCCAAAGGTGTTAGAATCAGTAGCTTTATTATTTAATAAACAACTAAATTTAATGTTCTTTTTCATTCACATGTTTTGTTTGTCTGTGAAGGGCATTTTTCTCTTCTGTCAAGGTGCAGTGTGGGAACATTGGTGATTTGAAGAAATAATTAGGCTTTCTTTTTCTTAGCAATTCTGCTGTATCAGTAGGGAATGGAAACGACTATTAAGAACATTCCCAAAGCATAAACTTTACAAACAGACAGAGTCAAATTTGAATCCCAGCTCTACTATTAGTTGGTGTACTAATGACATGTCAACAGGGGCTCATGTAAGTCAACCTTGGATACAAGTAGATTGTAAATTGTAGAAGTTGGTTAGTGATTAACTGGGAAAGAGGAAAAGAATAGTGGCTGGAAGAGCAAAAGGAAAGTAGCTAGATTGTAATACTTTATTTCTTTTTCTTTTCTTTTCTTTTTTTTTTTTGAGTTGGAGTCTCGCTCTGTTGCCCAGGCTGGAGTGCAGCGGCCAGATCTCTGCTCACTGCAAGCTCCGCCTCCCGGGTTCACACTTCTCCTGCCTCAGCCTCCCGAGTAGCTGGGACTACAGGTGCCTGCCACCACACTCGGCTAATTTTTTGTATTTTTAGTAGAGATGGGGTTTCACTGTGTTAGCCAGGATGGTCTCGATCTCCTGACCTCGTGATCCACCTACCTCGGCCTCAAAGTGCTGGGATTACAGGCATGAGCCACTGCGCCTGGCCTATAATACTTTATTTCTTGATTTTGGTGGTTGTTGCACCAGTATGTTAACTGTGATTATTCATCAGGCTGTATAACCTATGCACAGTATCTTTCCGGGTGTACTATTTATGTATGTATTATTTAATAAAATGTTTATAAGAGTGATAGTCTGAATCTTTGCGTCCCCCACAAACTGATATGTTGGAACCTAATCCCCAGTGCAATGGTATTAAGAGGTGGGGCCTTTGAAAGACAACTAGGTCAGGAGGGCTCCATGATCAGGAATGGGATCATAATCCTTATAATGGGGGCTTGAGGGAGCTTGTTTGCCCCTTCTGTCACATGAGGATACATAGAAGGAACCATCTTTGAAGCACAGAGGAAGCCCTCATGAGACACTGAATCTGCTGGCACTTTGACCTTAAACTTCCCACCCTCCAGAACCATGAGCAACAAATTTATGTTGTTTTAAAATTACCCAGTCTAGGCCGGGCATGGTGGCTCATGCCTGTAATCCCAGCACTCTGAGAGGCCGAGGCAGGCAGAACACTTGAGGCCAGGAGTTCAAGACCAGCCTGGTCAACAAGGTGAAACCTCATCTCTACTAAAAATACAAAAATAAGCCAAGCGTGATGGTGGGAGCCTGTAATCCCAGCTGCTTGGGAGGCTGAGGCACAAGAATCGCTTGGACCCTGGAGGTAGAGGTTGCAGTGAGCCAAGATAGCGCCACTGCACTCCAGCCTGGGTGACACAGTGAGACTCAGTCTCAAAAAAAAAAAGAAGAAACGTTGGTTTAGATTTTAATCTTTTGGGTAAAAGGAAGCCATTTAGTATTTTAAGAAAAAGAATGACAATCATTTGCAGTAGGGGGAATGTGAAGGCTAGAACAGAAGTGGAGAAATAATTATTTCAGCAGTTAATGTGAGAGATGATGATAATCTTAACCAAGACTAGCAGCGTCAATTGAGAAGACGGAATTGATCCAAGAAATTTCAAGGTGGTAAAATTGACAGGCTTAGTGACTGTGGTGGATACCTGAAAGGAAGACCCATGCCCAGATCTCTCTTCAAGGATGTTCAGTGACTCCATTTTCTGGGAGTGCCAGTTTCTGAAAATTATTATTATTTATTTTATTTATTTATTTATTTATTTATTTATTTATTTATTTATTTTTTGAGACGGAGTCTCGCTCTGTCACCAGGCTGGAGTGCAGTGGTGTGATCTCGGATCACTGCAACCTCTGCTTCCCAGGTTCAAGTGATTCTCCTGCCTCAGCCTCCCGTATAGTTGGGACTACAGGCACCTGCCACCACGTCCAGCTAATTTTTTGTATTTTTTTAGTAAAGATGGGGTTTCACCATGTTGGCCAGGCAGGTCTCGAACTCCTGACTTCATGATCTGCCCACCTTGGCCTCCCAAAGTCCTGGGATTACAGGATTGAGCCACTGCGCTTGGCCTGAAAATTATTTTTAATATTTTTATGTAATAAAAAACTAAACCATGAATGTATTTTTTTTTTCAAGATGAGATCTCGCTTTGTTGCCCAGGCTGGAGTGCAGTTGCTCTCAGTTCACTGCAACCTCTGCCTCCCAGATTCAAGTGGTTCTTCTGCCTCAGCCTCCCGTGTAGCTGGGATTACAGGCATGCGCCACCACGCCTGGCTAATTTTTTGTATTTTTTTAGTAGAGACAGGGTTTCACCATGTTGGCCAGGCTGGTCTTGAACTCCTGACATCAAGTGATCCGCCCACCTTGGCCTCCCAAAGTGCTGGGATTACAGGTGTGAACCACTGTGCTCGTCCTATGCAATTCTTTTCAATATTTCATGATAACCACTTCTAAGTATTGGTGACCTATACCTCAGGACTTCAGAAGTAGCATCAGAGACCTCCTAATAAAAAGAAGCTGGGCCGGGTGTGGTGGCTCACACCTGTAATCCCAGCACTTTGGGAGGCCGAGGCGGGCAGATCACGAGATCAGGAGATCAAGACCATCCTGGCTAACATGGTGAAACCCCGTCTCTACTAAAAAATACAAAAAATTAGCCGGGCGTGGTAGCGGGCTCCTGTAGTCCCAGCTACTCGGGAGGCTGAGGCAGGAGAATGGTGTGAACCCAGGAGGCAGAGCTTGCAGTGAGCCGAGATCATGCCACTGCCCTCCAGCCTGGGCGACAGAGCGAGACTCCGTCTAAAAAAAAAAAAAAAACTGTCATCTTCATTTTGCATACTGACTTCTGCTATTCCCAGGCTTATTTAAAAAATAAGCGAAATAAGCTAACTCATAAAGTACGCTACAAGCAGGAGAATTGCTTGAACCAGGGAGTTGGAAGTTGCAGTGAGCCAAGATTGTGCCACTGCACTCTAGCCTGGCGATAGAGCGAGACTCCGTCTCAAAAAAGAAAAAGAAAAAATAGTGGTCTTTAGTTATAATGTTTTCTATGTGGAAATTTTCTGAAAATTCTTCAAAAAGAAGTGCTTCTTTTGTGCTGTAGGAAATGATGAGACCAGTATACCCAATTCATCTTGGTTTCACAGACTTGCAGAGTGGCAAATCACTAGAGGGCAAACGTCGCACTGCCTTAGAAATGGAGTTGGTATTGGTGAATTCAACAAGAGGACCAGAAGGAGGAGGAAGAGGGAAGATTTTAATGCTGTGCAGTGGTGCTCAGGTCTAGGTCAAGAACAATGAGTCTCATATGATTGTCTCTTGACTTTGACTATCACGGTAGGACTTTACTGACAAGCCGGGTAATAACAGGGAAATCCTATTCCTTTTGCCTTCAAAATTTATTTTGTCTTTATTTCACTTGACCTGGTTCATTTCCTCTATAGTTTCTTATTTCAGCAATATTTATTGAACACTATCATGATTAATCAGGCACACCAGGTGCTGGTGACAGGAACAGTGAACAAAACGGACAAAAATTCTTGTAATCATGGAGCATGTATTCTAGTATGGAGATAAAAAATAAGCGAAATAAGCTAACTCATACAGTATGCTGCAAGCTGTAAGCTGTTGTATGTTGTGGAGAAAATAAAGCAGGGAAAAAGGAGTCAGAGAATGGTGGAGGGGGTTGCAGTCAGACTACCTGCTTAGCTGAGTCCTGCACAAGGATATTTGGGCAGAGATAAGTATGAGCTGACATCCAGCCATCTTCTGGTGAGAAGATGCCTTTTTCTGAGTAATGACAGGGCTCCAGAAGCCTCAGGTAGTGACCAAAATGTTAATCTCTGCCTTTAAATGGGACACTCTTCAAAATGTCCTTCTGGCAATATTGAGTTCTTAAGCTTTTGAATGCGTTGGATATAAGCTTTTGCCAAGGTTTTAAAATTTTATGCTATAACTTTAAACCTTTTTGTAGATGAGAAAATCACATATTATTGAATTAAAATCTTATTCAAGTCTAACAACATTCCATCGGTTGTATTTACTTTGTCTATATAGCCTGCTAGACTCTTACAGCAGAGTAGCAAATGGGTTGATGAGATTCTCTTCAGAGAATCAGAGTCAGGCTGAGCATTCTTCCATACGTGGCACTGTTGGTGTTTTTGGACTGATTATGTGAAGAGCAAACCCAGCATCTTCTTGGGACTCCAAGGAAAGTTGCATATTCTATAATTTATAGGGCCATTGCAATTTTTCTAATTAAAAACGAATATAACTTCTGCCCTTTTCAACCACAGCACATATGTTCTGTCTCCCATTGTTCCCTAGTAAGAGATAATGGCCTGGCAGTGTAGACTAATTTCTTGAGTATTTTAATTTGGAAGCCAATTAGCCCTCCCTATCTAAAGCACATTTTGACATTTTCTTCCCAAGACAAGCCAGTCTTGACTTTCTGCCCCTCTCTTGGTACAGACAGTGCATGTTACATGTATTAAATTACAATTATTTTAATAAAAAATTAAGATTAAAATTTGAAAACATAGTCTACTTAGAGATACCAAGTTGTGGAGTGTGCTATGTAAAATGAGGACAAAATTTTCACTGAACATCTTCTTTCCCTTGATATCACTGATCAATTTTTTTTTTTTTTTGAGACAGAGTCTCACTTTGTCATCCAAGCTGGAGTTTAGTGGCACAATCTCAGCTCACTGCAACCTTCACTTTCTGGGTTCAAGCAATCCTCCTGCCTCAGCCTCCCAAGTAGCTGGGATTATAAGTGTGTGTCACCACGCCTGGCTATTTGTTTTGTATTTTTTATTTATTTTATTTTATGTATTTATTTATTTTTTATTATTTTTTGAGACAGAGTTTCACTCTTGTCACCCAGGCTGGAGTGCAATGGCACGATCTTGGCTCACTATAATCTCCACCTCCTGGGTTCAAACAATTCTCCTGCCTTAGCCTCCTGAGTAGCTGGGACTACAGGTGTGCGCCACTGTGCCCAGCCAATTTTTTTGTATTTTTAGTAGAGACGGGGTTCTGCCACTTTAGCCAGGCTGGTCTTGAACTCCTGACCTCAGGTGATCTGCCCGCCTTGGCCTCCCAAAGTGCTGTGATTATAGGCATGAATCACCGTGCCTAGCCTGTATTTTTGGTAGAGATGGGGTTTAACCATGTTGGCCAGGCTGGTCTCAAACTCCTGACCTCAAGTGACCTGCCCCCCTCTGCCTCCCAAAGTGTTGGGATTACAGGCGTGAGCCACCGCGCCTGGCCAATATTTGATTCCTACCTTTTATTTCCCTTGTAATTTCTGTTTTGCTTTGATCAACTGATTTTGTCCTATAAGTTTCCGTACTCTCTTTTAGTGAGGATGAGACTACGGGGTTAGCCTCAGAATTATAGAAAAACTCAATTTAGAATTGTTAAAGGAGAAGATAGAAAAGGACACTAGCTTGTATGGATGAAGAGGGTTAGTCATTCTAACCATTCTGGAGTGGATGACAGTTAAATGTTAATCAGAATTGAGTCTCAGTGTCTTTTTTCTATTTGTGCTATTTCTCTCTTCCCTTGTTTCTCTTCACCATCTTGTTGAGCATTCCCCATGGCTTTTCTTGGGTAAAAGCCAGACAACCAGGTACTGCAAGAGCACCGAACCCCTCCCTTGATTCTACCCTTCATTTTGCCTCTAGATTTCACTCCCCTATATCTATCTCCATTACATTTTCTTTGTATCTACTAACTAAGGGATACAGATCTTCTTCCAATACAGAGTGTGATTGCAGCACAATTACAATTGAAACAAAAAGGAGAAGCTGACTTTGCTGAAAATATGAAAATTCATTCTGAATTCCTTTAAACTGTAGCACATATGCTTATATTAGTGGCAATACGAATTTGTAAGAAAAGGAAGAGAAAAAAGATCTGCCTTCCTTCCCTGCAAAATGGCATCACACATGACGATCAGAGACTGAATGTACAAATGAAAAATGGTTGGACCATATAAAAAAAAATAGAACTCTGAATTATGCTGCAACCTGCTTAGGAAACTAACTTCTTTATCTACAATAAGTAGTTCAGGACGCCAGCCTGCTATAAGTTGCGGGGACCCACTTGAAACACGAGAGTTGATACGAAGATTATTTTAAACTGAAGATATCTGAGATTCAACAGATGCAGGGAATAGCATCCTTGGAGCTTGTCTTATCTGACTAACAGCAGCAACTTCTGAAAAATGAGGCTACATAAATCCCCTCTCCTGGGGAGTTTCATGGCCATGAAGAAGATGGAAAGACCACCCACACTTGCATAAACAAACATTATAGCAAATTTTCTTAACTCCTGTTTGTTCTTCTAAAAACTCATTTGTTTTTCCTAAAGAAACCTATTTGTTCTATGAGAGCCATTTCTGCCCTCTCCCCTTTCTCTACTAAATTAGGTATATGAACCTCTAACTTCAGTGAGCAAACTACTTCTTTGTTGTATGTGAAGAAAACTTTTTTTCCTTTTTAATCTTTCTTTCGTCAATATAGGCCCCAGGTACTGAAGATAAGAATATAGAGAAGTTTTTCTTCTGACAGACTTGCTGGAAGCCAGGTGGCTATCGCTGGTAACAATCCAGGAAGCTAACGGATAACTTCTGTAACAACTGGACCCACACGGCCAGGACTTGATTAATGACTGACATCTACCCTAATTTTTGTGCCTACATCCAATTTAAGACCAAACAGAGAAAACGAAACACGCACCCCTAACCGATCATGCAGAATGCCCCTACTTCTGTTTAGCCCGCCTACAGCTTCCCCATGGCAATAGCCTCCAATCAGGATACACCTGAACCCTTCCCTCCCCACCCACTGCCCTGCTATAAAGCTTTCTCATTTCTCTGCCTTTGAATCACTGCCAAAACACAGCGACAGTAGCTAACTCCCTTGTTGTATAGCAGGCTGTGAAAAAATAGCACTTGCATTTCTCATTTGATTGGTCGTCATTTATTTCTATAACCATGTGTTTCATTCATGCAATTCAGAAGTTTCTTTGGAATAACTTGCAGAGTAAACTAAAAAATATTTATTTGCTATGATACTTTATATATATTTTCTGCTTATTTAAGTTCCCTACTGAGGTTTTGAAATTCTCCCTGATGCTGGTAGTATAAAAATCTTATTTGAAGCAAATCAATTAATCCTGAAGATGACTGAAAGATCAATATGAGATAGCTGCAGATAAACCAACTATTCTCTAAGCTCTAGGACACCTTCAAACAGCACATTCTGCCTTTTAATACAAGTATTTACACACTGATTTCAGTTGTAAAGAAATGAGAAACTTCAAGTATAAAAAGCTTGGGACTATGAAAACCAAGCGTTTTGTCTAAACATCTTTTGTTGTTGTTCTTGGTAAAAAAGAAGGCTTCGGGGCTGGTGGCACGCGCCTGTAGTCCCAGCTACTGGGGAGGCTGAGGCAAGAGAATCGCTTGAATCCAGGAGGTAGAGGTTGCAGTGAGCCAAGATGGTGTCACTGCACTCCAGCCTGGGCGACAGAGTAAGACTCCGTCTCTGGGTAGGGGGCGGGGAAAGGCTTTCAGAAATTTCGTAAAGTTTTAAGTTTGAAGCATCCTTTGTCAATAGCTCCCCTATCCTACCCGCAAACACATATGCACACACCCTACCACCACTGCCACTAAAAATTGAATAGAGAGTAAATGTCCCAGCTTAGCTAACGCTAGAGCAATTAAAATGTCATTAGATGCTAGACAGATTAATGGGGTTTTTTTTGGTTTGTTTTTTGTTTTTTTTTTTGAGACGGGGTCTCACTGTATCGCCCAGGCTGGAGTGCAGGGGCAAGATCTTGACTCACTGCAAGCTCCGCCTCTCGGGTTCACGCCATTCTCCTGCCTCAGCCTCCTGAGTAGCTGGGACTACAGGTGCCCGTCACCGCACCCGGCTAATTTTTTGCATTTTTAGTGGAGACGGGGTTTCACCGTGTTAGCCAGGATGGTCTCGATCTCCTGACCTCGTGATCCGCCCTCCTCAGCCTCCCAAAGTGCTGGGATTACAAGCATGAGCCACCACGCCTGGCCTTAGACAGACTAATGTTCATGCTAATGATCAACACAACGAGATTTGGGAATCAAGCCTTGCCCTCAACTATTCTGAAGTGGGCTAGTGCAAATGGACTTGGGCCCTGGAGCAGAAGTTGGGGCCAGGGGCCATGATGAGTGCTGGAATACATCACAGATATTATATTTTATTTTATAATTAAGTTGCTAGTTAAGTGGTGAGAGCCTGAGGCATGATTTAGAGTAACTGGTGATAGTTCTCTCTGGGAATGCTCCAGCCTGAGCTAACCTGGGGCATTTACTTTCTATTCCCTTTCAGTGGTGGTGGTGATGGGGTGTGTGTGCTGTAAAAGAAACTGATAATTTGGTTAATAGATAATTTTTGTAGAAAGCCATAAAATGACCTTGTGAATCTCTTCTGATTTCCAAAGGCTTCTGATTTGCTTTCATTCCTAGACGTCTAGTCATATCTCCTTTGTAGTAGTACTTCTATTTTTTTTTTTTTTTTTTGAGATGGAGTCTTGCTCTTGTTGCCCAGGCTGGAATGCAATGGTGTGATCTCGGCTCACTGCAACCTCCACCTCCCAGGTTCAAGTGATTCTCCTGCCTCAGTCTCCCTAATAGCTGGGATTACAGGCATGTGCCACCATGCCTGGCTAATTTTGTATTTTTAGTAGAGACGGGGTTTCTCCATGTTGGTCAGGCTGGTCTCAAACTCCCAATCTTAGGTGATCCGCCTGCCTCAGCCTCCCAAAGTGCTGGGATTACAGGTGTGAGCCACTGCGCCCGGCTCTTCTATTGTTTTTTTTTTTTAGAACTGAAATACATTTAAGTATAACTAAACATATGTAAAATATTATTCATGCTGTCTATTTTTTTTTTGAGGTGGAGTCTCGCTCTGTTGCCCAGGCTGGAGTGCAGTGGCGCGATCTCGGCTCACTGCAAGCTCCGCCTCCCGGGTTCACGCCGTTCTCCTGCCTCAGCCTCCCGAGTAGCTGGGACTACAGGCGCCCGCCACCATGCCCGGCTAATTTTTTTGTATTTTTAGTAGATACGGAGTTTCACCGTGTTAGCCAGGATGGTCTCGATCTTCTGACCTCGTGATCTACCCGCCTCGGCCTCCCAAAGTGCTGGGATTACCAGTGTGAGCCACTGCGCCCGGCCCATGCAGGCTATTTTTTTTCTCCTAGAATAGTGATTTAAAAAAAAAACTGAAAAATTAAAGTGAAAAGAGCATGGGCTTGGTAGCCAGACAGACTCGAGTTTGATTCTCCACTCCACCTGCATATCATGATTATTTACGGTTCTGGGGTGGGTCAGCTTTATGTTGGCATGTCACCAAGTTCAGAGCTTCTGTGCACCTTATTTTCATCTGTGTGTGTGTGTGTGTGTGTGTGTGTGTGAGAGAGAGAGAGAGAGAGAGAGAGAGAGAGAGACAGTGTTTTGCTTTGTCGCCCAGGCTAGAGTGCAGTGGTGTGATCTCGGCTCACTGCAGCCTCAACCTCCAGGCCTCAAGTGATCCTTCCGACCTCAGCCCTTGACCTCAGCCTCCTGAGTAGCTGGGATTACAGGTTCATGCCACTGCACCCAGCTGATTCTTTGTTTTTGTAGAGATAAGGTCTCACTATGTTGTCCAGGCTAATCTTGAACTCCTGAGC
The DNA here is from genome assembly GCF_000001405.40 of Homo sapiens. Classification (NCBI taxonomy): domain Eukaryota; kingdom Metazoa; phylum Chordata; class Mammalia; order Primates; family Hominidae; genus Homo; species Homo sapiens. The sequence goes on from NC_000003.12 coordinate 109,385,670, forward strand.
TCAAGCTATCCACCAACCTTGGCCTCCCAAAGTGCTGGGATTATAGACCAGAGCCACCACACCAGGCATTTTTATCATCTTTTAAGTCGCTATAAAAATATTTATCTTCCAAAGATTTTGATAAAAATTAACTCTAAAACACATAGAATTGCTCAAAGCAAATAGTAGAAGAGAAGTTTAGTTTTCTCATGTCGCTCTCTAACCCCATCTTTTGGTCTTACAAAAGATGCCCTGCTAACTTTCAAACCTTTCCTGGTGAGTTCAAGTCTCAGACGTCAATTGCCTCATTATAATTAGGCCCTCATAACCATTTATTATTTGGGAAACTCGTGGTCACTTTTTTGAGGTTTGGTTATTTATTTATTTTTTCACTGTGGCTTTCTTTTCATTTCTGCTGCCTGGCAGGACTGGGAGGAGATGGCAGTACCTGGCTACATGCCTCACATCCACTGGTCAAAGTATAGGCTTGTTCATAATGGATTCTACTGAGAAATACAGCAAACAGACTCTGTGTTCTGTGACTCCTGTCCCTTCATACACCCACCTGCATACTTCTAGTCATGGCTATGAAACTTGGTAGGCTATGAGTTTCTAGGTTTCTTTCTTTCTTTTTTATTGAGACAGGGTCTTATTCTGTCACCCAGGCTGGAGTGCAGTGGTGCGATCACGGCTCACTGCAGGCTTGGCTTCCCGGGCTCAGGTGATTCTCCCATCCTAGCCCCCTGAGTAGCTGGACTACAGAAGTGCACCACCACACTCGGTTAATTTTTTCATATTTTTGGTAAAGAGAGGGTTTTTGCCATGTTGCCCAGGCTGTTCTTGAACTCCTGGGCTCAAGTGATCCGCCCGCCTCGGCTTCCCACAGTGCTGGGATTACAGGTGAGCCACCACGTCCTTTTGTGTAAAGCTAATTAAGCGAGAGCAATAGAAAGAGTAATAGAGAAAGCATTCTCTCCCCCATCCCCATAAGTTATCACTTAATTAAAACTATTCCCATTTTCTAGATGAATAAATTGAACCTGTTGACAAACATGTACAGCTACTTTTAAAGCCATGGGAATGCCTTTAAACCTTAAGCATGTGCTCCATTTTTTTGGTGTTAAAACATAGCGCTCATGCCTGTAATCCCAGCACTTTGGGAGGCCGACGTGGGCGGATTGCCTGAGGTCAGGAGTTCAAGACCAGCCTGACCGACATGGTGAAACCCCGTCTCTACTAAAAACACAAAAATTGGCTGGGCGTGGTGGCGGGTGTAATCTCAGCTACTCAGGAGGCTGAGGCAGGAGAATCGCTTGAACCCGGGAGGCGGAGGTTGCAGTGTGCTGAGACTGCACCGTTGCACTCTAGTCTAGGCAACAAGAGCGAAACTCTGTCTCAAAAAAACAAAAACATAGCTACTTATATGCATTATCACAAAATGAAGTTGAGTACACTCCAGCTTGCACAGCCACTTTTAGTGAACTGTTTCAGCTTAGATCATAATTCCCTCAGGCTTAACTCTTTAGGTTTTAGCAGCTTAAATGTACACAGTATAGAGAAGGACTTTGTTTGGGGCTTGGAAAACAGTAAATCATTAGGCATCTTTAAAATGTTCAGAATATTTGAATAAATGCAACTGCACTGCAGCTTGCTAATGTAACATATTAGATGAACCCTAAATAACAACAACAGCTTGGAGAGACTCGAATGGTCCCTCTTTAATTTTGTTGCTGACACCTGGCAACATTTGGAACTATAAATAGAGTAGCAGGGAGGGGGAAGAAAGCCAAAGAGATTTCCTGTTGCTGTCTCAACACATAAAATGAGGTCTTTAAAGAAGAAGAAGAAAAATCACATCTGGAAAAAAATCAGGGGCCCATTCTACTAAAAAATGCACCTGCTATAGGCTCTAGCAGAGTATATTGTAGTTTAAACACCCTGAATTCTGGCTGGATTTGCAGGACTTGTCATAATTATGGGTGAAGCTGCAGGAAGCTGCTTAATTGTTCCAATATTAAAGCTTGATTTAGAGCCCCAAGACTTTAGGCTATAAAATTAGGGTGCAGGAGCACTGCCGCCTCTATTTGGATTTCCATTACCAATTATCCAATGTTGGATAAGGCAGAGGGAGTTGAACAAAGAAGGGAGGTAGAGGGTTACAAAATGGCCTTGACTGGGCCCTGGGTAAGGATCTAATTAGTGGTGTCAGCAAAGTAACCTATAGCCAGAGGGTATTCTAAAAATTCTGCTTAATAGATAGACTATTAAAGTTATTACCAGGCAGACAGAAACAGAATCTCTGCTTCTGTCTCATGTGAATTGGCTTCTTCCTTAATTCTCCCTCTTTCAGAAATCTAGGAATATATGAAGCAGAAATCATGACTTTTTGGTAGACTAAATCATCTGTTAGCAAGTGTGAAGGTGTCAAGAGCATAAACGGTGAAGGTTAAGCAGACTGCGCTTCAATCTCAGCCCTGCTTCCACTAGCCTTGTGATTTTTTTTTTTTTTTTTTTTGGACAGTGTTTCACTGTTGTCTCCCAGGCTGGAGTGCAGTGGTGAGATCTCAGCTCACTGCAACCTCCACCTCCTGGGTTCAAGTGATTCTCCTGCCTCAGCCTCCCAAGTAGCTGGGATTACAGGTGCGCGCCACCACGCCTGGCTAATTTTTTGTATTTTTAGTAGAGACGATTTCACCATGTTGGGCAGGCTGGTCTTGAACTCCTGACCTCAGGTGATCTGCCCCACCTTGGCCTCCAAAAGTGCTGGGATTACAGGTGTGAGCCACTGCGCCCTGCCTAGCCTCATGATCTTACTTAGGCTTCCCAAGTCTTGGTTTCCAAAAATCCCCACCTCATAAATATGCTGTGAGAATTAAATAAGATGATCCCCATCAAGAGCCTAGTGTAGTGCTGATGCTTAACCCCTTTTAGTTTCTTCCCTTCCCCTGAATACTGAGATATTTATTTTTTGGATACAGTTATTTAAGGGTTTTTTTTTTTTTGCTTTATTATTTTAACATTGCTATAATGCTAGAAGAGAAAAAAAAATCACATGTTTTCTTACACAGGGGAAACTCCAGCCATCTCAAATTTAGGAGTAAATTTAATGATGCACAGGTCTAAAACATTTCTCTATAGCCAAGTTTCTAATCCTTGTCTTGTACCAAAGGAGTCTAAGAGATTCAAGCATAATATTCAGCTATTTTAATAGGATTTCTAAGACTGTGAATTGGCTTATAATACAGGAAGCTCCTTCTTTTCATGCTAGGGTTGAAAGTCAACATTTTTTTCTTGAGGATTATAGGATTACCTTTTATACCGTATTTCATAAATTGTTATAAGAACTAGGGAACTCAATAAATGTTAAATAATGATATCAAATGTGAGTTTTCTTTTTTCTTTTAACACAAATGTATTAAATTGTCAATCTTCAAGTTTCTCTATCCAAGCCATTTATTCCAACTTAGTCTAGCAAAACAAACAAACAAACAAAAAAGTGAAAAATTCGCAAAATCCTTTATTTGCAAGTGGTCAAGTAAAACCAAATTGACACAGGTATCCCTCTAAACTAACTTGTGACATTTTCTCTGCACGTGACCCAGCCTGAGCAGGACTCTAGTTTCTATCAGTTTTCTTCTATTAACCTCTGATAGCAGCCTCCACACTAGTTTAAAGATCTCTTGCCCCAAATCAAATCTTTCCATGCTATGGAGCAGTAAAAGATTCTGTGTGACACAGAACTTTGCAGGGAAACCAGAAGAAAAGTGACATTTATTACCATATGTTATCAGTATCGAGACGCATTTAACATTTCCGAAATTGGAATGTGTCTAGGGCATCATATATGAAAGATTGTACCACCTAGGGCATCTTACATTAATTATTAGCTGGGGTAGATGTGACTAGTTGCCATTGCCCAGGTATGAGAGTCCTACATTATTAGGACTTGTTTCGCTCTTGTTGCCCAGGCTGGAGTGCAATGGCGCGATCTCGGCTCACTGCAACCTCCGCCTCCTGGGTTGAAGTGATTCTTCTGCCTCAGCAACCGGAGTAGCTGGGATTGCAGGCATGGGCCACCACGCCTGGCTAATTTTTTTTGTGTTTTTAGTAGAGATGGGGTTTCTCCATGTTGGTGAGGCTGGTCTCGAACTCCCAACCTCAGGTGATCCACCCGCCTTGGTCTCCCAAAGTGCTGGGATTACAGGCATGAGCCACGATGCCTGGCCGAGAGTCCCACATTATTATTCCTGGTGGGGTGACTGGAAAACTGCAACTCCTCAGCATTGCAAGCAATGGATCATATCAGGAACATTTGAGAATGACTATAAATCCTGGTTGTGGATTAGAAATCTTATACTGACTCACTTTATAGTGAGATCACAAAAGCCCCCAGAGATCACAGTGTTCTTTTGCTCTGACGGTATAATGGACAAAGTTGGTGGAACACCTTGAACATCAGTAATACTGAGTTGAAAAGTAATTCAGAAAATCCAGCCTGTGAATGTGAAGAAGTATTAGAAATATCTTGACCAATTTCGTTTACTTACATCTTCCTTTTAATAAAACACAAGAATGCATATAGATGGTATTTAAAGCCATCAGATAGAATGAGATCACCAAGGGAGTGAAGACAAAGGAGTAGGCGGGTGCAGTGGCTCACACCTGTCATCTCAGCACTTGGGGAGGCTGAGGCTGGTGAATTGCTTGAGCCCAGGAGTTTAAGATCAGTCTGGGCAACATGGTGAAACCCCATCTCTTCAAAAAATACAAAAACATTAGCTGGGTGAGGTGGCATGTGCCTGTAATCCCATTTGCTTGGGAGGCTGAGATGGGAGGATTGATAGAGCACGGGAGGTCGAGGCTGCAGTGAGCCATGATCAAGCCATTGTACTCCAGCCTGGGAGACAGAGTGAGACCCTCTCTCAAAACAAAACAAAACACCAGAAAAAAAACCCCAAAGGAGTTAGGTATCCTGAAAGCTAAGACAGAAAGCATTTCAAGAAGGGGAGAGGCATCAGGTTAGTCAAATGCTTCGATGAGGTCAAGTAAGATGACTGAGGATTGACTAGTGAATTTAGCCACATGGATGTTACTGATGACCTGATTGGTGCAGTTTGGTGTTTGCTGTGGGGTTGGCCTGATTGTAGTGGGATCTAAAGAGAATTCTAGGGGAGGAATAGGAGACTGGGAGTATAGATAATTATTTCAAAGAATTTTCATTTTTTTTTTTTTTAAAAGAAGGCTGGGCACGGTGGCTCACGCCTGTAATCCCAGCACTTTGGGAGGCCGAGGGGGGCAGATCACGAGGTCAAGAGATTGAGACCATCCTGGCCAACATGATGAAACCCCGCCTCTACTAAAAATACAAAAATTAGCTGGGCATGGTGATGCGCACCTGTAGTCCCAGCTACTCGAGAGGCTGAGGCAGGAGAATTGCCTGAACCCAGGAAGTGGACGTTGCAGTGAGCCAAGGTCGCGCCACTGCACTCCAGGCTGGTGACAGAGCGAGACTCTGTCTAAAAAAAAAAAAAAAAGAAAAAAAAAAAGAAAAAGAAGAGAAATGAGAACATAGCTAGAATAGAGGTAGCTTTGTTTTTGTGTATTGATAGAAAAACAGAATGTTGATAAAATTGTCCAACTGAGGCTGTGTGTGGTGGCTCACTCCTGTAATCCCAGCACTTCCGGAGGCCGAGGCAGGCAGATCTCCTGAAGTCTGGAGTTCGAGGCCAGCTTGGCCAACATGGCAAAACCCCGTCTCTAATAAAAATGGAAAAATTAGATGGACATGATGGCGGGAGCCTGTAATCCCAGCTATTCCGGAGGCTGAGACAGGAGAATCACTTGAATCCAGGAGGTGGAGATTGCACTGAACTGAGATCATGCCACTGCATTCCAGCCTGGGAAACAGAGCAAGACTCTGTCTCAAAAAATTAAAAAAGAAATTGTCCACCTGAAAGAGGAGAAAAAAAATTAGAGAGGAGAGATTTGCCTCGGCTGGCGCAGGTTGTAGTGGGCAAGTGGAAACATTGGGTTTCATAAGGAGCTACTAAGAATGCAGTTTTCAGACTTTCCAATCATGTTTTGTGCTATTCTCCTCCTGTTCTTCTCTTTGCCTGAGTCCATTCTGTCTTTCATTGATAGAAGCCCCCATTTTTATCTATTCAGTAAAGTGTTTCCTTTTTATCCCAGCTCATGAATTCATAGAGATCTCTCTTTCCTCTGAATTCATTGCTCTTGTAATCTGTTCCATTAAATTGATTATTAGTCATTTTTTTCTATGCACAGCTGTCTTTTCCATTAAATTGTAAGCCCCTTGATAGTAGAAATCATGCCCTGCCTATGGTAAGTACCCAGTAAAGCTCTCTGACTCTGTCTCTGCCACTTTCACTGTATATGATTTCCTTCCTTATAATCCCCTAAGGAGAAAAGCCTATTATTATTCTCCAGGTAAAGGTCCTTCATGTGTTAAAAAGTACTGTTAGACTGCTGGTTGGTCTCATCTTTTTCATTCTTTATTTTAATTCTCTGTTTTCATCTCTACTTTTTAAATTCTGTTTTTGGTTTCTTTTCTTTGGCACCTCTCCAGATACATGTCTTTTTCTTTTCTTTCTCCTTCTTAAATGTTCCTCCTTTGTTCCTTTATTCCTCTGTGAGTTTAACTGGGGAATCAAAGATCTGTGCAGAAAATGGGAACCCAGAACAGACTGAAGAGTAGCTGCTTTCTACCAGAGTGAGGACAAAGTGTGGGGGCGCTGACCAGATCGTGGAGGGGTGTGTGTGTATGTGTGTGTACGTGTATATATATGTGTATGTGTATGTGTGTGTATATGTGTGTGTGTGTGTATGTATGTGTGTATGTGTGTGTGTGTGTATGTGTGTATGTGTGGACATTCCAGGCAAAGGGAAGAATATGTGAAAAGGTACAGAGATAAAACCATGACATTTTGTCTCATACATAATTAGATATTTATTCTCTTGCCCTCAAATATTTGTTAAATGAATAAATCAATGAGTTAACTACTCTCATAATGATCAATCAATTTTTTTTTCTTTTTTTTTGAGACAGAGTCTCCCTCTGTCGCTCAGGCTGGAGTGCAGTGGTGCAATCTCAGCTCACTGCAACCTCCGCCTCCTGGGCTCAAGTGATTCTCCTGCTTCAGCCTCCCGAGTAGCTGGGATTACAGGCATGTGCCACTGCGGCTGGCTAATTTTTGTATTTTTAGTAGAGACGGGGTTTCACCACGTTGGCCAGGCTGGTCTCGAACTCCTGACCTCAAGTGATCCACCTGCCTCGGCCTCCCAAAGTGCTGGGATTACAGGTGAGAGCCACCATACCTGGCCTCAATCAATTCATTTTGGTTTTTTTTTTTTTTTTTTTGAGATGGAGTCTCGCTCTGTTGCTCAGGCTGGAGTGCAGTGGTGCTATCTTGGCTCACTGCAAGCTCCGCCTCCCGGGTTCACGCCATTCTCCTGCCTCAGCCTCCCGAGTAGCTGGGACTAGAGGCACCCGCCACCACGCCCAGCTAATTTTTTGTATTTTTTAGTAGAGACGGGGTTTCACCGTGTTAGCCAGGATGGTCTGGATTTCCTGACCTCGTGATCCACCCGCCTCGGCCTCCCAAAGTGCTGGGATTACAGGCGTGAGCCACCACGCCCAGCCACCAATCAATTCTTTTCTATCAGTGATGGCTAACCACTAGTTTCTTTCTATGTAAACACAGGCACAGGCTCATCTTTTATTTATTTATTTATTTATTTTTCAAGAAAGCTTTAGGGGATTTGGGATTGAGGGAAGAGAGAGACGCTCTCATATTGTTTTATATTGTTTTATACTCAGTACCTGTTTTAAGAAAAAACAACAAGGAAGTAAAACCAAAGACAGGCAGCCCGGCGTCAGGCCCGAAACCAGGCCTGGGCCTGCCTGGCCTAAACCCAGTAGTTAAAAATCAACTCATAACTTAGAAACCGATGTTATTCATAGATTCCAGACATTGTATAGAAGAACGCTGTGAAACTCCCTGCCCTGTTCTGTTTCTCTCTGACCACCGGTGCATGCAGCCCCTGTCACGTACCACCTGCTTGCTCAAATCAATCACGACCCTTTCATGTGAAATCTTTAGTGTTGTGAGCCCTTAAAAGGGACAGAAATTGTGCATTCGGGGAGCTCGGATTTTAAGGCAGTAGCTTGCCGATGCACCCAGCTGAATAAAGCCCTTCCTTCTACTACTCGGTGTCTGAGAGGTTTTGTCTGCGGCTCTTCCTGCTACAGGATAGCCCTTACTTTTTTTTTTTTTGAGACAAGGTCTTGCTTTGTCACCCAGGCTGGTGTGCAGTGGTGATCCTAGCTCACTGCAATTTCTGCCTCCCTGGTTCAAGCGATTCTCGTGCCTCAGTCTCCTGAGTAGCTGGGATTACAGGCGCACACTACCATGCTTGGCTAATTTTTGTATTTTTAGTACAAATGGGATTTCGCCATGTTGGCCAGGCTGGCCTCGAACTCCTGGCCTCAAGTGATCTGCCTGCCTCGGCCTCCCAAAATGCTGGGATTACAGGCTTGAGCCACTGTGTGCGGCCCAGGTTCATCTTTAGAATATGATTTTAGTTATAATCTGTTCACTACCCTAAATTCCCAAGCAGTAATAGTTAATATTAAGTAAACAAGTATGTGAGACAATAGAGCAGAGTGATAAAAAGTTTATACTCAGGATCCATATGCCAGTTCAAATCTCAACTCTGCCACTTGGCAGCTGGGTAACTTTTGGACAGATCGCTTATCCTCTCACCTGTTTCCTTCCTTGTAAAATGGAATTAATAATCATATATATTTCAGCAGGTGTTTACAAAGGTTCAATGATATAAAGTCTTTTAGTAATCCTAATCTTAAATCTAAATCTAAATTTAAATCAATATAAATCTTAATCTTATCTTCATTTTTAAAAAGATGAGTTAACTGAGGTTTAGAGAAGTTAAATAGCTTCCCCACAGCTATCCAGCTAGTAAACAGTTAGGGTTTGGTTCATCTTTACTACATAGTCTGTCCACTGTGCTGGCAGGAAAGACCCAGACAATAAAATAAGATGTCTCTACTAAGGCTTTTTTTTTTTTTTTTTGATGGAGTTTTGCTCCTGTTGGCCAGGCTGGACTGCAATGGCACGATCTTGGCTCACTGCAACCTCCACCTCCTGGGTTCAAGCGATTCTCCTGCCTCAGCCTCCCAAGTAGCTAGGACTACAGGTGCCCACCAGCACGCCTGACTAATTTTGTGTATTTAGTAGAGACGGTGTTTCGCCATGTTAGTCAGGCTCGTCTCGAACTCACGACCTCAGGTGATCAGCCCGCCTCGACCTCCCAAAGTGCTGGGATTACAGGTATGCGCCACCACGCCCAGCCTAAAGGCCTCTTTTTAACATAAAAAAGCAAAGCTGGAACTGAGGACACATAGCTGGTGGAAGTAAGGTGGTGTTCTTGAGGAAATGACTGTGGGGAGCAAATCTGAGGAGAGAGAAAGTTAATGGAGAAGTAAATAGAATGCCTGAAGGTTGGTGTTCACACAAGCTAAAGAAAAGAGGCAATTGTCAAGAAAGAAGAGGGTGATGAATGTTCCTCCCCTCTGGACTCAACTCACTTCTACTTCCGGAGCTTGTTCTTAGATGCACTGTCGGCTGGGCACGGTGGCTCATGCCTGTAATCCCAGCACTTTGGGAGGCCGAGGTGGGTGGATCACCTGAGGTCAGGAATTCGAGACCAGCCTGGTTAACATGGTGAAACCCGGTTTCTACTAAAATACAAAAAATTAGCCGGACCTGGTGGCGTGCGCCTGTAATCCCAGGTACTCCGGAAGCTGAGGCAGGAGAATTGCTTGAACCCGGGAGGCGGAGGTTGCAGTGAGCCAAGATCTCGCCATTACACTCCAGCCTGGGCAACAGGAGAGAAACTCCATCTCAAAAATAAATAAATAAATAAATAAACAAATAAATAAATAAATAAATGCACTGTCTTGGAAAACCTAAAGACAATATTCCCATTAGAAAATCAAAATTATTTTCAGACTCTCCTTGCCGAGTTACGACTTGGACACTGCATGAGGAAACAGAGCAGGATGGATGGCCTTGTTTCCAAGCCCCGTTTCCAATCTTCATTTCCAAGGATTTATTGCCATCATTTTTCTTGCAAATGAATAAATTATTTAATTATGCTGTCTAAGAATGGCAGAGCTATAAACCTTAATTATTCAACAATTTACCCCTTTAAAGTTGTTACTGGGACAATATTTTGATAATCTTCAGGAGCTATTCTGGTATCTCTACTATTCCTATATTCTTTGTTTTTTTTCTTTCTTTTTGAGATGGAGTCTCACTCTGTCGCCCTGGCTGGAGTGCAGTGGCGCGATCTCAGCTCACTGCAACCTCTGCTTCCCAGGTTCAAGCGATTCTCCTGCTTCAGCCTCCTGAGTAGCTGGAACTACAGGCACACGTCACCACACCTGGCTAATTTTTGTATTTTTAGTGGAGACGGGGTTTCACCATGTTGACCAGGCTGGTCTCAAACTCGTGGCCTCAAGTGATCCGCCCGCCTCGGCCTCCCAAAGTGCTGGGATTACAGGCGTGTGCCACCATGCCCAATGGTGTTTTGCCATGTTGGCCACGCTGGTCTCGAACTCCTGACCTCAAGTGATCTGGCTGCTTCGGCCTCCCAACGTGCTGGGATTACAGGCGTGAGCCACCGCGCCCGGCCTCTATTTCCATATTCTTAACCCTTCATTCATCATAATCCTGAAGGAGGAAGTCTAGAAAGAAAAAAAAATCGGAGGTAAGGTTTTGGGGGCGCGGGCTGCAGCTGTCGCTGGGCGCGTGGTGTGAGCGGTCTGAGCCTCCGGCTTACTTGCTCAGGGCTTTCTTCCCGCGTGTGCTTGGCGCTGCTCACAAACGCGCTCTCCTCTAGCACCGCCTGCTGGGCCGACCACGAGGCGCCTGGGCTCCGTGTAGCGGAAAATGCCGTGTGTTTCTAGGGAGGTGAAAAAGGAGCCCTCCACCGAAAGGCAGAATCAGCCATTTAAAGTTTTGGCAACGAAAACTGTAAGTCATGAGGCATTAGATGCAGGTATCTACAGTGCAATTCCAACAGAAAAAGTGGATGGAACATGTTGTTACGTTGCTACTTACAGAGATACCTTTCGGTTTGATTAGATAGAAAACCTAACAAACAACCTGTTAAAAGGTTTTAAAATTTTCTACATTCAAAAGAAAACTTCAAAGAATTTTCTTGGAATGTTGAGGAGTACTTCAAAGCTACTCCAGAGTGTTGGCTAGCAGCAAAGGAAACAGAAAAATTAAATAGGAATCTGGTCCATGACGAAACATGGACACATTCCTGGTGGGGCACCAGTAGAGAAAAATAACAAATAGCATTACTGGCATTCCTCTGTGGTTAATTATGAATTTGCAATTGATCTGGTACTAAAGCATCATCCTGAGGATCCTAGGCTTTTGGAAATTAGTGCCGTGCCATTATCAGATTTCTTGGAACAAACATTGCAGCTTATAGGAACAAATATCAATGGAAACCCATATGGGTTAGGAAGGAAGAAGCATCCACAATATGTTATACTACACGGACCATTTCAAATAAGAAACCTGCCTATATTGGGCCGAGCGTGGTGGCTCATGCCAGTAATCCCAGCACTTTGGGAGGCTGAGGTCGGCGGATCACCTGAGGTCAGGAGTTCGAGACCAGCCCGGCCAATGTGGTGAAACCCCTTCTCTACTAAAAATACAAAAATTAGCTGAGCGTGGTGGCAGGCGCCTGTAATCCCAGCTACTCAGGAGGCTGAGCCAGGAGAATCGCTTGAGCCCAGGAGGCAGAGGCTGCAGAGAGCAGAGTCGCACCACTGCACCACAGCCTGGGTGACAGAGCGAGACACCGACTCAAAAAAAGAAACCTGCCTATGTTGAAGCACAATGATCTGTTGTCCTGGTTTGAAAGCTGCAGAGTAGGTAAAGTGAAAGGAATAGTATGGGATTGCAGTGATGGCTGTTTAATTAAGGTCCATTACCATCGTCTATCCTCTTTGTTTACACTGGCCAATTGCAGATGTTTACATGAATTCAGAACCAGTAATTACCAATATGAAACTTAACAAATATGACTATGCTTTTGATACTGTTTAACAATTTTTTTAATCAGAAATTTAGTAGGCTTAAAGATGTAATACTTGACATATAAAATGCAAGTGCAATTAAAATTAGTTTTATTTATTTATTTTTTGGAGACAGGGTCACCCACGCTGGAGTGTAGTGGTGTAATCACAGCTCACTGCAACCTCGACTTCCCAGGCTTAAATGATCCTCTCACCTCAGCCTCTTGAGTAGCTGGGACTATAGGATCATGCCACCATGCCTGGCTAATGTTTTTAATTTTTAAATTTTTTTGTAGAGACAGGGTCTCAGTGTGTTGCCTAGTCTGGTCTTGAACTCCTGGACTCAAGTGATCCTCCTGCTTTGGCCTCCCAAAGTGATGGGATTACAGGGGCGAGCCACCTCACCTGGCCAGAATTAGTTTTATTATTAAAAAAAAAAAAGAGAAGACAATCTGCAAAACAGAAAAAAGAATACGTCTGTTAAAAACTACAAAAGATGGCTGGGTGCGGTGAATCGTTTGAGTTCAGGAGTTTAAGACAAGCCTGAGCAACATGGTGAAACCCCATCTCTCCCAAAAATACAAAAATTAGCTGGGCATGTTGGTGCGTTGCCTGTGGTTGCAGCTACTTGGGAGGCTGAGGCTGGAAGATGGCTTGAGCCGGGAAGGTGGAGGTTATAGTGAGCTGAGATCATGCCACTGCACTCCAGCCTGGGCAACACAGTGAGACCTCATCCCAAAAAAAATTACAAAAGACTGGGAGAAAGCAGAAACAAGTATTGGGAAGACTGTGCTATGTGTAGAACACTCCTGTTCCACTAATAAAGGAATGTGACCTTTGATAGATTGAGTATAGGGAACATATAATGGAAGCATTAAAGGGGTGGATCTTCCTTACTTTTTGCCTCCACTCTACACTTTTAGGTCAGACGTTCCCCGAAAGGGGTATTATCAGGCCTAGAGTAGAGACAGATGAGAGGTGGTTGAAATTACTCTATTGTTATTGTATAACATAATTAATATAAGCAGTGACTCTATGGGATCCTTTAAAGCTTTTATTTTCTGGGTAAACATTTGTACCTGGGCCAGTGCTGGAATTAGTGACTGCTTCCCACTCTTTCTGCTTTTCTTCTCTTGATCACCAGTGGCAGGAGGGTGAGGCTAGGTAGGAAGGAAAGCTTGATGTCTGGATGTGCCCAGGGAGGATTTGGGTTGTAGCTGGTCCTCTAATTCCACCTAGAGGTAAGAACTGGATGTGGTCAGGGAGAATCCTCTTGCTACTTCTCTCTTGCTACAAGCTGGCAGGCTCCAGTTTTACTAAGGAACACAAAAGAGTCCAGAATAGGGCGCGCACACACACACACACACACACACACACACACACACACACACGATCATATTTTTTGGTTCATTTAAAAATTTTTTATTGTCATATAATATACACAATAAAGTGTACCAATCTTAAGTGCTCCATGAACTTTTACATATGAAAACACCTTTTAACCACAATTCGGTTAAAATTATCTGAATATATGCAGCAGCCCAGAAGGTAATATGAGGTGTGTTTTCAGTAAATACTGTCATCCAAAGTAACTAATATTTATTTTTCCACCCAAATGTAGATGGACATTGGATTAACTTCTGGTGTGGACTATTATAAATAAAGTTACCTTAAATATTTGTGTGTGTGTGTGTGTGTGTGTGTGTGTATATATATATTTTTTTTTTTTTTTTTTGAGACGGAGTCTTGCCCTGTCGCCCAGGCTGGAGTGCAGTGGCCCGATCTTGGCTCACGGCAATCTCTGCCTCCCAGGTTCAAGTGATTCTCCTGCCTCAGCCTCCCAAATAGTTGGGATTACAGGCATGCGCCACCACACCCAGGTAGTTTTTTTGTATTTTTAGTAGAGACGGGGGTTTCACCATGTTGGCCAGGATGGTCTCGATCTCCTGACCTCGTGATCCGTCCACCTTGGCCTCCCAAAGTGCTGGGATTACAGGCGTGAGCCACTGGGCCTGGCCCACAGTATACATATTTTCCCCCTACTTGCTTTTTAAATTTTTCCATGTGTCATGAATATCATGTCATGGCATACACTGAAAACAAAATTCAGATTCTTGGCATGTACAGAAAAACCTCCTGAACAAAAACCTTTAAGAGTAAAACTTAGAAATCCATATTTTTTAAAAGGACCCCAGGGAATTTCGCTGTAAAAAGTAGATTTGAGGCACAGGCCCCGATTAACTCCTGGAGAGCAGAAACTAGAGTCACACATATTTTAGATGAACGACTCCTGTGTACTCTTAACTTTGTTAAGTGAATTTTAATGGTTCTGCTTTTTCCTCCATATTGATTATCTAGACCAGATTTTATGTTTGACTTCTCTGGAGAAATGAGGAGGAAAATCTTGGTCAAAGATAACTTCACTGATGCCATTTTAAACACAAAAGAACTCAGGGATCAATTGAGTGTCCCTAGAAAATGGGTTGAAACCTTTTTCTCTCCTGCTGTCTTTGTCAGATCATTTAGTTATAAGGTATTAATAACTGAAGCTGGATTGATCAAAACAGAGATATTAGATTTAGTTTTTCACTGTGAAAGCTAAGTGTGTGTCAGGATAGGCACTGTTAAAAAATAAAACCCTCTTATCAGGAAGCTTAAAAAGCACATAGCAAAGAGAATTTCAGTGGCCCAGAAGAGTCTGGAAAGAAGTAAAAGCACTGGCAAAGATTTACTTTGCAATTTATAGTACATATGAAATTTTTTTTTTTTTGAGACAGAGTCTTGCTCTGTTGCCCAGCTGGAAGGCTGGAGTGCAGTGGCGTGATCTTGGCTCACTGCAACCTCTACCTCCTGGGTTCAAGCGATTCTCCTGCTTCAGCCTCCTGAGTAGCTGAGATTACAGGTGCTTGCCAACACACCTGGTTATTTTTGTATTTTTAGTAGAGATGGGGTTTCACCATATTGGCCAGGCTGGTCTCAAACTCCTGACCTCAGATGATCTGCCTACCTTAGCCTGTCAAAGTGCTGGGATTACAGGCGTGAGCTGCTGCCCCGGCCAAATATGGGATGGTCGATGTAACTTATTCTTGAGACCAAATTTCGCTCTTGTTGCCTAGGCTGGAGTACAATGGCACGATCTCAGCTTATCCCAACCTCCGCCTCCCTGGTTCAAGCGATTCTCCTGCCTCAGCCTCCTGAGCAGCTGGAAATACAGGCACGTGCCACCACGCCCAGCTAACTTTGTGTTTTTAGTGGAGATGGGGTTTCGCCATGTTGTTCATGCTAGTCTTGAACTCCCGACCTCAGGTGGTCCGTTCTCCTGGGCCTCCCAAAGTGCTGGGATTACAGGCATGAGCTACCTTGCCCGGCTTGCATTACTTTCTCTGGACTGCTGTAAGAAATTACCACAAGCTCAGCAGCTTAAAGTAATAGAAATTTATTGTCTCACAGTTTTGGAGGTTAGAAGTCTGAAGTCAAGATGTTGGCAGGGGTGGTTCCTCCTGGGGGCTTTGAAAAAGAATCTGTTCCATGCCTCTCTTCTAGCTTCTGGTGGTTGCAGGCAATTCTTGGAACTCCTTGGCTTATAGATGCATCACTCCTATCTCTGCCATTGTCTTCACAAAGCATTCTCCCCATGCGTCTCTGTGTCTCTGTGTCTTTACAGGGTCTTCTTAAAAGGAGACCAGTCATTGGCTTATGGACCACCCTACTCCAGCATGATGTCATCTTAACTAATTACATCTGCAAAAATCCTACTTCCAAACACGGTTACATTCTGAGATTCATGATGGACATGAATTTGGGGGGGGGCATTATTATTGTCATTATTATTTTAGAGATGGGGTCTTACTATGTTGCCCAGTCTGGACTACAGTGGCATGATCATGGGGCACTGCAGCCTTGAACTCCTGGGCTCAAGCCATCCTCCAGTCTAAGCCTCCTGATAGGTGGGACTGCAGGCACATGCCACTGTGCCAGACTGGGTGGACACTATTGAACCCAATACATTACCTACTTTAGCAGACAATCCTACTATAGCTGAACTACAGAAACTGGAGCTGACGTTTCTGTACATTCTTTTTTATTTTATTTTTTTGAGATGGAGTCTCACTCTGTCGCCCAGGCTGGAGTGCAGTGGCGTGATCTCGGCTCACTGCAACCTCTGCCTCCCGGGTTCAAGCGATTCTCCTGTCTCAGCTTCCCAAGTAGCTGGGATTACAGGTGCACACCACCACCACGCCCAGCTAATTTTTTGTATTTTAGTAGAGATGGGGTTTCATCGTGTTGCCCAGACTGGTCTCGAACTCCAGAGCTCAGGCAATCCACCTGCCTCGGCCTTCCAAAGTGCTAGGATTACAGACGTGAGCCACCACGCCCGGCCCGTTTCTGTACATTCTTAGCAGAAGTTTTAAAAAGGGGAGAGAATATTGTTAGATCCTTTCCTTCTTCTTTTTCCAGAAATGAAGCATTTGGGCTTCCCTCTGTCTTTGTTACATTGTTAAGGGAAGAGCAGAAATAGGTGCCTGAGAGACAGCAGCAGCCCTGGCACCGTGTTTCAGGCCTCCACAAGCTCTGTGCTCATAGATTCTAGTGACCCTGTTTGGCTTCTCAGCCATCCCTTCCCTAGAATGCTAACCAATACAATTTCTTGGGGGGCTCCTTTAATTCTCAGTGTGGCCCTGGTAGTGGAGGAAGATAGTATGAATTTTTCTTCTTCCTTAAAGAGTTACAGTTAGTTCCTGTTTTGGCTTTTAATTTTTCTTTTTGGAGTTGTAATCTATATCTTTTCTTTTTTCTTTCCGCTGGTCCCCAAGGCAAATGTCAGGGCAAGAGTAGAGCTCCTCTTGCCAAGGATAGCTTCCAGAAGCTGCTTTTGTTGGCTCCTATATAAGCCGGTTACATAGGTACTTTAAGTTTTTGTTTTTCTCAGCATCATTTCTAGATGTCAGCTTGTTGTTATGTTCCTACTGGGCTGTTGCTAATGGTATTCGTACTATCACACAGATCATCCAAGGACAAACTTCACCAACCTGCCTAACCTTATAGAGTGTCATACACCCAACTGCTCCAGCTAAACAATTCTTGGGAAATTTGGCACCTGTATGTATGAGAGAGAGAGAGAGAGAGAGAGAGAGAGAGAGAGAGAGAGAAGGAGAGAGAGAGTGTGTGTGTGTGTGTGTAAGAGAGAGAAGCAGGGGGCTTGTCTGAGTTTGGGCTGCTATAACAAAATGTCATAGACTGAGTGGTGTTCACAACAGACATTTATTTCTCACAGTTCTGGACGCTGAGAAGTCCAAAATCAAGGTGTTGGCAGATTCGGTTCCTGGTGAGGGCCCTTTTACTGACTTACAAATGGACGCTTGCTCTCTACGTTCTCACATGGTTGAGAAGGAGAAAAAGGGGAAAATCTCTGTTGCTTCTTATAAGGGCATCTCTCCCATCATGAGAACCTACACTCCTTGCCCCACGTAAACCTGATTATGTCACCAAATCGCCATCTCCAAATGGGATCACATTGGGGGTTAGGGCCTCAACACATGGATTTTGAGGGGACACAATTCAGTTCATAGCAGGGCTGTTTAATATAATGTGGTTGTCATCTCCTGGACTCAGAAAACTTGAAGGCAACAATAAATTTAATGTTGATAGAAAATTATTTCAGTCAGCTTTCCTTGTTTCCTTAAAATAAAAGAGACTTTTAGGAGATGTCTAATGTTCTCTTCCTCACATTTTTACTTTTGATGATTTTTAATGAATGGGGAAGAGTTACAGCAACCTTCTCTTTTTTTTCCTCCTGATCCATTGAGAGAGGGCATTTCAATTTTTAAGCCCAGGACAAACATATTTATTTTGTTTTCTTCTCCTGCCCAGATGGTTAAAGATCATTAGCTTTAGGACATTCAAACATTTTCAGTCAGGACTCATTTTTTTTTTTTTTGAGATAAGGTCTCACTCTGTCATCCAGGCTAGTGCAGTGGTGCAGTCTTGGCTCACTGCAACCTCTGTCTCTTGGGCTGAAGTGATTCTCGTGCCTCAGCCTCAATCAAGTAGTGGGGATTACAGGTATGTGCCACCACACCTGGCTAATTTTCCTAATTGTGGTAGAGACGAGATTTTGCCATATTGGCCAGGCTGGTCTCAAACTCTTGGCCTCAAGTGACCCATCCGCCTCAGTCTCCAAAAGTGTTAGGATTACAGGCGTTAGCCACTGCACCCAGCCTAGGACTCATCTTCTAAAAATTGTTGTTATTGTTGTTTTGAGACAGGGTCTTGCTCTGTTGCCTAGGCTGTAGTACAGTGGCACGATCACTGCTCACTGCAGCCTCAACCTCCCCAGGCTCAGGTGATCCTCCCACCTTAGCCTCTTGAGTAGCTGGACTACAGGTGTGAGCCACTACACACAGCTAATTTTTTTTTTTTTTTTTTTTTTTTTTTTTTGAGACGGAGTCTCACTCTGTCACCCAGGCTGGAGTGCAATGGCACCCTGTGGGCTCATTGCAACCTCTGTCTCCTGGATCCAAGCAATTCTCCTGCCTCAGCCTTGCGAATAATTGGGATTACAGGCAACCACCACCATTCCCGGCTAATTTTTATATTTTTAGTAGAGACGGGGTTTCACCATGTTGCCAGGCTGGTCTCCAACTCCTGACCTCAGCTGATCTGCCTGCCTTGGCCTCCCAAAGTGCTGGGATTACAGGCGTGAGCCACCATTCCCGGCCAATTTTTATTTATTTTATTATTTTTTCATTTTATATATATATGTGTATA
The DNA here is from genome assembly GCF_000001405.40 of Homo sapiens. NCBI lineage: Eukaryota > Metazoa > Chordata > Mammalia > Primates > Hominidae > Homo > Homo sapiens. The sequence goes on from NC_000003.12 coordinate 109,404,553, forward strand.
TATATGTGTGTGTGTGTGTGTGTGTGTGTATATATATATACATATATATATATTTTTTTCTTTGAGATGGAGTGTCGCTCTGTCACCCAGGCTGGAGTGCAGTGGCATGATCTCGGCTCACTGCAATCTCTGCCTTCTGGGTTCAAGCGATTCTCCTGCCTCAGCCTCCTGAGTAACTGGGATTACAGGCATATGTCACCATGCCCGGCTAATTTTGTATTTTTAGTAGAGACGGGGTTTCTCCATGTTGGTCAGGCTGATCTTGAACTCCCAATCTCAGGTGATCTGCCTGCCTCGGCCTCCCAAAATTCTGGGATTACAGGTGTAAACCACTGTGCCGGCTTTATTTTTTGTATTTTTTATAGCCATTGTGTTTTATTTTCTGGAAAGTGTTACTCATTTTACTATTAAGTCATAGGTTTATTTTTATTTTATTATACTTTAAGTTCTGGGATACATGTGCAGAACGTGCAGGTTTGTTACATAGGTATACACATGCCATGGTGGTTTGCAGCATCCATCAACCCATCATCTACATTAGGTATTTCTCCTAATGCTATCCATCCCGTTGTCCCCCACCCCCCGACAGGCCTTGGTGTGTGATGTTCCCCTCCCTGTGTCCATGTGTTCTCATTGTTCAACTCCCACTTATAAGTAAGAACATGTGGTGTTTGGTTTTCTGTTCCTGTGTTAGTTTGCTGAGAATGATGGTTTCCAGCTTCATCCATGTGCCTGCAAAGGATCTGAACTCATTCTTTTTTATTGCTGCATAGTATGGTGTATATATGCCACATTTTCTTTATCCAGTCTATCATTGATGGACATTTGGGTTGGTTCCAAGTCTTTGCTATTGTAAATAGTGCTGCTATAAACATACGTGTGCATGTGTCTTTATAGTAGAATGATTTGTAATCCTTTGGGTATATACTCAGTAATGGGACTGCTGGGTCAAATGGTATTTCTGGTTCTAGATCCTTGAGGAATCACCACACTGTCTTCCACAATAGTTTAACTAATTCACACTCCCACCAACAGTGTAAAAGCGTTCCTATTTCTCCACATCGTCTCCAGCATCTGTTGTTTCCTGACTTTTTAATGATCACCATTCTAACTGGTGTGAGATGGTATCTCATTGTGGTTTTGATTTGCATTTCTCTAATGACCAGTAATGATGAGTTTTTTTCCATATGTTTGCTGTCTGCATAAATTTCTTCTTTTGAGAAGTGTCTGTTTATATCCTTTGCCCACTTTTTGATTGGGTTGTTTGTTTTTTTCTTGTAAATTTGTTTAAGTCCCTTGTAGATTCTGGATATTAGCCCTGTGTCAGATGGATAGATTGCAAACATTTTCTCCCATTCTGCAGGTTGCCTGTTCACTCTGATGATAGTTTCTTTTGCCGTGCAGAAGTTCTTTAGTTTAATTAGATCCCATATGTCAATTTTTGCTTTTGTTGCCATTGCTTTTGGTGTTTTAGTCATGAAGTCTTTGCCCCTACCTATGTCCTGAATGGTATTGCCTAGGTTTTCTTCTAGAGGTTTTATGGTTTTAGGTCTTATGTTTAAATCTTTAATCCATCTTGAGTTAATTTTTGTATAAGGTGTAAGGAAGGGGTCCAGTTTCAGTTTTCTGCATATGGCTAGCCAGTTTTCCCAACACCATTTATTAAATAGGAAGTCCTTTCCCCATTGCTTGTTTTTGTCAGGTTTGTCAAAGATCAGATGGTTGTAGCTGTGTGGCATTATTTCTGAGGCTTCTGTTCTGTTCCATTGGCCCATATGTCTGTTTTGGTACCAGTACCAGGCTGTTTTGGTTACTGTAGCCTTGTAGTATAGTTTGAAGTCAGGTAGCGTGATGCCTCCAGCTTTGTTTTTTTTGCTTACGATTGTCTTGGCTATGTGGGCTCTTTTTTGGTTCCATATGAAATTTAAAGTAGTTTTTTCCAATTCTGTGAAGAAAGTCAATGGTAGCTTGATGGGGATAGCATTGATTCTATAAATTACTTTGGGCAGTATGGCCATTTTCATGATATCGATTCTTCCTATCCATGAGCATGGAATGTTTTTCCATTTGTTTGTGTCCTCTCTTATTTCCTTGAGTAGTGGCTTGTAGTTCTCCTTGAAGAGGTCCTTCACATCCCTTATAAGTTGTATTACTGAGTATTTTATTCTCTTTGTAGCAATTCTAAATGGAAGTTCACTCATGATTTGGCTCTCTGTTTGTTATTGGTGTATAGGAATGCTTGTGATTTTTGCACATTGATTTTGTATCCTTAGACTTTGCTGAAGTTGCTCATCAGTTTAAGGAGATGTTGGGCTGAGACGAGTTTTTGGGGTTTTATAAATATACAATCATGTCATCAGCAAACAGAGACAATTTGACTTTCTTTCTATTTGAATACCCTTTATTTCTTTCTCTTGCCTGATTGCCCTGGCCAGAACTTCCAACACTGTGTTGAATAGGAGTGGTGAGAGAGGGCATCCCTGTCTTGTGTCGGTTTTCAAAGGGAATGAGTGCAGCTTTTGCCCATTCGGTATGATACTGGCTGTGGGTCTGTCATAAATAGCTCTTATTATTTTGAAATATGTTCCATCAATACCTAGTTTATTGAGTGTTTTTAGCATGAAGGGGTGTTGAATTTTATCGAAGGCCTTTTCTGCATCTATTGAGATAATCATGTGGTTTTTGTCATTGGTTCTGTTTATGTGATGGATTACTTTTGTTGATTTGCATATGTCAAACCAGCCTTGCATCCCAGGGATGAAGCCGACTTGATCGTGGTGGATAAGCTTTTTGATGTGCTGCTGGATTTGGTTTGCCAGTATTTTATTGAGGATTTTCGCATTGATATTCATCAGGGATATTGGCTTCAAGTTTTCTTTTTTTGTTGTGTCTCTGCCAGGCTTTGGTATCAGGATGATGCTGGCCTCATAAAATGAGTTAGAGAGGATTCCCTCTTTTTCTTTTGTTTGGAATAGTTTCAGAAGGAATGGTACCAGCTCCTCTTTGTACCTCTGGTAGAATTCGGCTGTGAATCTGTCTAGTCCTGGACTTTTTTTGGTTGGTAGGCTATTAATTACTGCCTGAATTTCAGAACTTGTTATTGGTCTATTCAGGGATTCGACTTCTTCCTGGTTTAGTCTTGGGAGGGTGTATGTGTCCAGGAACTTATCCATTTCTTCTGGATTTTCTAGTTTATTTGCATAGAGGTGTTTATAGTAGTCTCTGATGGTAGTTTGTATTTCTGTGGGATCAGTGGTGATATCCCCTTTATCATTTTTTATTGTCTCTATTTGATTCTTCTCTCTTTCCTTATTAGTCTCACTCTGTCGCCCAGTCTGGAGTACAGTGGCGTGATCTTGGCTCACTGCAAGCTCCACCTCCCGGGTTCACGCCATTCTGTCTCAGCCTCCCGAGTAGCTGGGACTACAGGTGCCTGCCACCACGCCCGACTAATTTTTTTGTATTTTTAGTAGAGACGGGGTTTCACAACATTAGCCAGGATGGTCTCGATCTCCTGACCTCGTGATCTAACTGCCTCAGCCTCCCAAAGTGCTGGGATTACAGGCGTGAGCCACTGCACCCAGCCATGGATTCACTGATTTTTTGAAGGGTTTTTCATGTCTCTGTCTCCTTCAGTTCTGCTCTGTTCTTAGTTATTTCTTGTCTTCTGCTAGCTTTTGAATTTGTTTGCTCTTGCTTCTCTAGTTCTTTTAATTGTGGTGTTAGGGTGTTGATTTTAGATCTTTCCTGCTTTCTCCTGTGGGCTTTTAGTGCTATAAATTTCCCTCTAAACACTGCATTAGCTGTGTTCCAGAGATTCTGGTATGTTGTGTCTTTGTTCTCATTGGTTTCAAAGAACTTATTTATTTCTGCCTTAATTTTGTTATTTATTCAGTAGTCATTCAGGAGTAGGTTGTTCAGTTTACGTGTAGTTTTGTAGTTTTGAATAAGTTTCTTTTTTTAATAGTTTAATATATTTTAATAGCATACTTACAGGAACAGCACAGCAGACAGACAACATTAAAAACATGTACTTGCCTGGGTGCAGTGACTCAGGCCTGTAATCCCAGCACTTTGGGAGGCTGAGGTGGGCAGATCACGTGGTCAGGAGATGGAGACCATCCTGGCCAACACGGTGAAACCCCATCTGTACTAAAAATATGAAAAATTAGCCAGTGTGGTGGCACATGCCTTTAGTCACAGCTACTCTGGAGGCTGAGGCAGGAGAATTGCTTGAACCTGGGAGGTGGAGGTTGCAGTGAGCCAAGATCTTGCCACTGCACTCCAGCCTGGGCGACAGAGCAAGACTCCATCTCCAAAAAAAAAAAAAAAAAAAAAAGAAAACAAACAAACACGTACTTGCATGTAGGACAACTCAGTTAGAAAAACATAGTGAATGGATGGAATCTACTGTGTGATAAAAATGCTACAAACACCATTTAGTTGCTGTCAATAAGAAATTTACTTGTTTTTAAAAAAATGCTAATGCTGGCATTGTCTAGAAAAATTTAACAGGTTTATTTATAATTATTATAAAGTTGAACTGCTGAAACCTGTTCACTGAAACATTTTAACTTGCATTAATGCTTTACATCTCCACATTTATATTAAAAATTTACACACAAATGAAAATTGAAAAAATGCCATTACCTGATTTCTATCCCCTATTTTTCCACTTGCAATCATACACTTAGGTATCTTTTGACCCCATGGAAAAAAATATCTAACCTTCATAACCACCAATAACAGGAAGAAGAGAATTTTTTTCTTTTTCTTTTTTTTTTTCTTTTTTTCTGAGATGGAGTCTCACCTATCGCCCAGGCTGGAGTGCAGTGGCACGATCTCGGCTCACTGCAAGCTCCACCTCCTGGGTTCACACCATTCTCCCGCCTCAGTCTCCCGAGTAGCTGGGACTACAGGTGTCCGCCACCACGCCCGGCTAATTTTTTGTATTTTTAGTAGAGACGGGGTTTCACTGTGTTAGCCAGGATGGTCTCGATCTCCTGACCTCGTCATCCGCCCGCCTTGGCCTCCCAAAGTGCTGGGATTACAGGCGTGAGCCACCGCGCCCGGTCGAGAATTTTTTTCTTTTTGAGAATGAAATGTTTCCCATCATAGTGGATTCTTAAGCACGTTTTCCTTGTATGCGGCGTGCTAGCTGGATTTCTTTTGGCATAATAGTTAGCCGTTTGGCATGGATAGCACACAGGTTGCTGTCTTCAAAAAGGCCAACCAGGTAGGCCTCACTTGCCTCCTGCAAAGCTCCAATAGCTGCACTCTGGAAGCGTAGATCTGTTTTCAAGTCCTGAGCAATTTCTTGCACCAGACGCTGAAAGCGAAGTTTGCGAATCAGAAGTTCAGTGGCCTTCTGATAACGTCTGATTTCACGGAGTGCCACAGTACCAGGCCTGTAATGATGAGGTTTCTTCACCCCTCCAGTAGAGGGCGCACTCTTGTGAGCGGCTTTTGTACCCAGTTGCTTCCTGGCTGCTTTACGGTCGATTTGCAGGCAGTCCGCTTTGTACAAGCCATGGTATAGAGGCTTCCTTATTTACCTCCCTTATCCTTCAGCTGGAGCTCTGCGAGCCAGAGGCAGCGCTGGCGTTGGAGAGTGATGGCGGCATGGCGGTGCGGCGGCGGCTGCGAACACCTTGAGTGAGTTTCTTAATCCTCAGTTCTAATTTGATTGTACTGTGGTCTGAGAAACTTTGTTATGATTTCCGTTCTTTTGCATTTGCTGAGGAGTGTTTTACTTCCAATTATGTGGTCAATTTTATTTTTTATTTATTTGTTTATTTATTTTTGAGACGGAGTCTCGCTTTGTCTCCCAGGCTGGGGTGCAGTGGCGCCATCTCGGCTCACTGCAAGCTCCGCCTCCCGGGTTCACGCCATTCTGCTGCCTCAGCCTCCGGAGTAGCTAGCATTACAGGCGCCTGCCACCACGCCCGGCTAATTTTTTTGTATTTTTTTAGTAGAGACGGTGTTTCACCGTGTTAGCTAGGATGGTCTCGATCTCCTGACCTCGTGATCCCCCCGCCTCGGCCTCCCAAAGTGCTGGGATTACAGGCGTGAGCCACCGCGGCCGGCCTATGTGGTTCATTTTAGAATAAGTTCTATGTGGTGCTGAGAAGAACGTACATTCTGTTGATTTGGGGTGGAGAGTTCTGTTGATGTCTATTAGGTTTATTTGGTCCAGAGCTGAGTTCAAGTCCTGAATATCTTTGTTAATTTTTTGTCTCGTTGAAATGTCTAACATTGACAGTGGGGTTTTAAAGTCTCTCACTATTATTGTGTGGGAGTCTAAGTCTCTTTGTAGGTCTCAAAGACCTTGCTTTATGAATCTGGGTGCTCTTGTATTCTTTAATTTTATTTATTTATTTTTTGAGACGGAGTCTCGCTCTGTCGCCCAGTCTGAAGTGCAATGGTGGGATCTTGACTCACTGCAACCTGTGCCTACCGGTTGCGAGCGATTCTGCCACCTCAGCCTCCCAAGTAGCTGGGACTACAGACGTGCGCCACCATGCCGGCTATTTTTTTTTTTTTTTTTTAGAGACAGGGTTTCATCATGTTGGCCAGGCTGGTCTTGAACTCCTGACCTCAAGTGATTCGCCCACCTCAGCCTCCCAAAGTGCTAGGATTACAGGCGTGAGCCACTGCGCCCAGCCTAATTTTTATATTTTTTTCTAGAGAAGGGGTTTAACTATGTTGCCCAGGCTGAGGACTTATCTTTTAAGGAAGTACAGCTATTTGTTTCTGATTAAATATTTTGAATTAAAAGGTTACTTTTTTTTATATCAATGGTTTTTTGTAAATCCATGCCTCTATTTAACGAAGAGGACAGTACTAAGAGTTCATACTAAATTATAAACGGGCCGGGTGCAATGGCTAACACCTGTACTCCTAGCACTTTGGAAGGCCGAGAGGGGAGGATTGCTTTTGTCAAGGAGTTTGAGACCAATTTGTACAACACAGGGAGACCCCATCACTACAAAAAATAAAAACAAAATTAGCTGGGCTTGGTGGCGTGTGCCTGTGGTCCCAGCTACTCAGGAGGCTGAGCTGGGAGCCCAGGAAGTTGAGGCTTCTATGAGCCGTGATCAAGCCACTGCACTGCAGCCTGGGTGACAGAGTGAGAACCTGTCTCAAAAAATATATATTAATATATAATAAGATATATTAAATATTAAACAATATATTATATAATAAATAATAAATAATAATATATAATATGTATATTTATATAATATATATATAAATGAAGAAAAATAAGACTATACAGCTCCAATTTCCTGACACATATCTCACTCTGGGTCACTTTTAGATAGCTTTGGATGGTCTCAGGGTTAGGCGTTTCTGGGATTCAAAAAGATCACTTTTTTCTGTTATTTGTCATATTTACAATTTTAATAGTAACATGATCATTACTACTGTTTTCTGCATGTTAGATTCTAGGTTCTGAATTTGAGGTTATAAGCGACCTAGAAAATGATAATATTTAGAGTCGATATAATAATCAGCTTTTGTGTATTTTGTACATTGGGGAGTAAAATCTTGAGTTAGCCATAACCTAGAGTCTAGGACTACCAGTTTTGTCATCATTTTCTGATTCTTCTCAGTTCTCTTTGTTTTGCTACACTAGTGTAAATGTATTCCCTTGTTTCAATATAATAACCCCACATGTACATAGGCCCCTCCAAAACAGACAACATGCAAAAATGTAGAGTTTACGATTCTAAAGTGTTTAAGATTTCTACTCAGATGCTTTGATTTGCTTCCACAATCAGATACTGAATGTATCTTCTGTTTAAAGAATAGAGATGAGGAAAATAGCACTGTCTGTGTGTGTATGTGTGTGTGTGTGGTGTGTGCGTGTGTGTGTGAAATAGACTGATGTGATGCATTGTGACAACAGGTTGGGTTAATGACATCCTCTTTTTATAAGGACACCAGTCATATTGAATTAAGGCCCATTCTAATGACATTATTTTAACTTAATTCTTAAAGACCCAATCTCCAAATACAGTTACCTTGTGAGGTACTGGGGGTTAGAAATTCAACATATGAATTTTGAGGGAACACAACTCAGCCCATGACGCACCCATAAAGGTGGAGAAGCAAAGGGAAGAATTTGAAATTACCACCCATTAAAGGCTTACAATAAGGGCCCTACAGATCTAATACTCAGACCTTTGAGAAAAAGGGGGAGTTGGTCTGGTGCTTATATCTCAGAGCTCAAAAACCTATACCACAGCACAAATTTAAGATGCAAATATCTTACTACCAAGATGGAATAAGAATTACTGGAGTTTACAGTCTTCTCTGAAAAAACATAGAAAAAAACCAAATAATAGACAAAAAATATATAAAACCAATTTTTAAGACATCAAGCAATGAAGGGCAGTAATGTTGGAAAATGGGAAACAAATGAGCCCTGTGATTACACAGCCTCCTGAACTGAGAGAGATCCCAGGTTGTGACAAAGAGAGGGGGACCCCAGGCAGGGTCTGGTAGAACTCTGTATGTTGAGGAGACAGAGTTGAGAGTCTGGGGAAACGGAGGCAGCTAGCATTTTCAGGACAGAGTGCCAGAAGTGAAGGAGCTGCCCCAGAGAGAATTCTGGAGATCTGTAGAGGGTGCCCCTTAGTATTCAGGAGAAAGCTGGTCAGCACATCCATGAGAGGAAATGACTCAAAGCCGGGGAAAAACCACTGAGAGGATTAGAGAGAAGAGCATATAACACTCACACAAGGCCAGAGAAACTGCCATCTTACTAGCTAGACTGGAGAAGCTCACAATTCACAGGACGCTGGGGACAATACTGAGAAGGGCCTTGACTCAGTAGTGTGCAATAGTTAAGTTAACCCAAGACTAATCGTGGCTCTGGTCATTCCTAATTTTTTTTTTTTTTTGAGGCAGAGTCTCGCTCTGTCACCCAGGCTGGAGTGCAGTGGCACGATCTTGGCTCACTGCAAGCTCCACCTCCCGGGTTCACGCCATTCTTCTGCCTCAGCCTCCTGAGTAGCTGGGACTGCAGGTGCCTGCCACCATGTCCGGCTAATTTTTTGTATTTTTAGTAGAGATGGGGTTTCACCGTGTTAGCCAGGATGGTCTCGATCTCCGGACCTTGTGATCCGCCCGCCTCGGCCTCCTAAAGTGCTGGGATTACAGGTGTGAGCCACTGTGCCCGGCCCCCCCCCCCGCCTTTTTTTTTTTTTTTGGAGCCTTACTCTGTTGCCCAGGCTTGTGTGCAGTGGTGGGATCTCAGCTCATTGCAGCCTCCACCTCTTGGGTTCAAGTGATTCTTGTGCCTCAGCCTGTCCAGTAGCTGGGATTACAGGCATGTACCACCACGCCTGTCTAATTTTTGTATTTTTAGTAGAGTTGGGGTTTCACTATGTTGGCCAGTCTGGTCTCGAACCCTTGACCTCAAGTGATCTGCCCACCTTGTCCTCCCAAAGTGCTGGAATTACAGGCATGAGCCGCCACACCCGGCCCATTCCTAATAAGTCTCAAAAGCAAGACCAAAAGAGGATCCAACCATTTCCAAGTAACTTAACTATATCTGAGAACAAAGCTCAAGAATATTTATTGAGATACAGAAAAGATGCAGAACTCATCAAGGTGAAATTCACAATTTTACTAGGCATGAAAAAAGGCAAAAAACAACAACAACAACAAAAACTGATGCATAATGAAGAGAAAAATCAATCAATTGAATTGGATCAAGAAGTGATACAGAGGCTGGGCACGGTGGCTTATGCCTATAATCTCAGCACTTTGGCAGGCCGAGGTAAGTGGATCATCTGAAGTCAGGAGTTTGAGAGCAGCCTGGCCAACATGGTGAAACGCTGTCTCTACTAAAAATACAAAAATTAGTACCGGGCATGGTGGTGGGTGCCTGTAATCCCAGCTACTCGGGAGGCTGAGGCAGGAGGATCACTTGAACCTGGGAGGCGGAGGTTGCAGTGAGTGGCGGTCACACCATTGCACTCCACTCCAGCCTGGTGACAAGAGTGAAACTCTGTAAAAAAAAAAAAAAAAGAAGAAGTAAAGGACATTAAAGCCAGTTACTATAACTCTATTTCATATGCTCAAAAAGATTTTTTTTTGTAAAGACCTAAAGTGAGTTTCTACAGGTAAAAATGACAATGCCATCAAAACAGCTTTATTTGTAATAGCCAAAAAAATGGGAAATAATCCATATGCCATGAACAGGTGAATGGTAAACCGTGGTGTATCTGTACAATGAAATACTACTCAGCAATAAAAGGGGCAAAGTATTGATACACACAACAATGTGGATGAGTCTCAAAATAATTATGCTAAGTGAAAGAAACCGAGCAAAAGGAGAACACACAAAATGTGAATTCACCTACAGTGATAGAAAGTAGATTAGTAGTTGCCTGGAGATGGGAGTGGGTAGGGATTACAAAAGGTTATGAGAAACTTTTCAGGGGATGGTTGGACTTGTTCATTATCTGGATTGTGATGATGGTTTCATGAATATACATACATCTGTCAAAACTTATAAAATTGTACACTTTGAATATGTGATGTGCAGCTTATGGCAAGTTAATTGGTAAAGCTGTATTTTTTTTTTAAATAATGATTGACAGGAGTGTTTAAGGTCTGTCTCAAAACTTATCTCTTCTGGAGGCTGCTACACACCAACCTGTACTTGTACTTTATACTCAGAAACACTAATGTGCAGTTGCCCTATCAGTAACTTGCTTTGATGGGTAGTTCTACCCACAGACTCTTAGTAGGAACATTAGCAGCTAGCATTTGCCTTCAGCTTTGCTTCCAGTGACTCTTCTCTTCCTAACAGGATTTTTGCAGCCCCAATAACCTCATATGATATTTAGAGGGTGAGATATTTAGTATTAATTCACAGCATTCTCACTAACTGGGTCAATGGAAAGAAGTATGGACAAGGAATACAGTCTTGCTGAAATTGTGCTGCCGCTAAGTAGACACACATAGAGGTAAAGCGCTCACTGCATGGTAATGGTCTGTTCTCAGCTTTCTAGTATTGCATTGTCTTCTGTAATTGTGCAGTATCTTCTGCCTGGAAATCTTCCAACTCTCCCACAAGATATTTTATTTTACAACATCCATGTAAAGAAAAGTTAAAATAGTCATGACTTGCTAACCTCAATAAGGTCAACAACAGGTTTTTAAAATCTTTCTTTCTCTTTCCTTATCTCTGCCATTGTTAAATAATTCAGGAAATACCTAGCGAGGGCTTAGTGCGGGGCACACTTAGCTGTCATGTACGTCTACAGCCTTGTTATTCAAAGGGTATTTAGTGGAGGACAGTCTCTGCATCGGCTGGGAGCTTATTAGAAATGCAGAGTCTTAGTTCTCCTCCAGACATACAGGATCAGTTTCTGCATTTTAACAAGATCCCTTGGTGATTTGTATGTACATTTAAGAAGCTGTGTTCTGGAGAATTCTTCTTAGCTCTACCACTTAAATACTGCCATGACTTTGAGAAAGAGACTTCACTTCTTTAAGTCATTAACAAATGAGGGGTGTGGGAGTAATAGTAGAACCCACCTCATATTTGTTGGGAGGATTTAGTGAGACAAACCTTCTAAAATCCTTAACATACTAGCTACTAAGTGCTTTTAAAAAATTACCCTTTATTATTATTATTATTTTGTAGTTGAAAGAAAAAACACTTTTTTAATAAAACATCGATCATAGGCACTTCCTCTCTAGTTTATTTATGTGTTCATAATGACGGCAGAGAGACATTATTGCAACAAACATGAAAAATAAATATGACACTTGATCCCGAATTAGAACTTGAAGAAGAAAGGAAATGAGGGAAAGGGAATGTCTTAGCTTGAACTCTTATAACAAAATACCACATACTGGGTGGCTTAAACAACAGATGTGTATTTTATTTAATTATTTTTTTTGAGATGGAGTCTCGCTCTGTTGCCCAGGCTGAAGTGCAGTGACACGATCTCGGCTCACTGCAACCTCCACCTCTTGGGTTCAAGCAATTCTCCTATCTCAGCCTCCCGAGTAGCTGGGACTACGGGCACACGCCATGACGCATGGCTAATTTTTGTATTTTCAGTAGAGACAGGGTTTCACCATATTGGTCAGGCTGGTCTCGAATTCTTGACCTCAGGTGATCCGCCTGCCTCGGCCTCCTGAAGTGCTGGAATTACAGGCAGGAGCCACTGCGCCCGGCCTCAGAAATGTATTTTCTTACAGTTCTGGAGGTTGTGGTGCCCGCATGGCTAGGTTTTGGTGAGGATGCTCCTCCTGGCATGCAGATAACTGCCTTCTCATTGTGTCTTCACATGCCCTTTACTCCACAGTTGCACCTGGAGGGGGAGAGAGATTGTTCTTTCTCCTTTCTCTCTCTGTTTTTTTTTTTTTTTTTTTTTTTGACGTGGAGTCTCACTCCGTCGTCCAGGCTGGAGCGCAGTGGCGCGATCCTTGGGTCACTGCAACCTCCACCTCCCTGGTTCGAGTGATTCTCCTGCCTCAGCCTCCGGAGTAGCTGGGACTACAGGCACGTGCCACCACGCCCGGCTAATTTTTGTATTTTTAGTAGAGATGGGGTTTCATCATGTTGGTCAGGCTGGTCTCAAACTCCTGACCTCAAGTGACCCGCCCGCCTTGGCCTCCTAAAGTCCTGGGATTACAGACATGAGCCGCTGTGCCTGGCCTCTTCCTGTCCTTATAAAGCCACTAATCCCATCAGGAGGGCCCTACCCTCAACCATAATTACCCTCAGAGGCCTCATCTCCAAATACCATCACATTGGGGGTTAGAATTTCAACATAGAAATTTTGGGGGGATACAAACATTCAGTCCATAGCAGGGAATATGTTTGTTGATGCTGTTGTTATTCTTCCTGTAAGTGACACTATTGGACATTTGAATTTAAGTGATATAGAATTTGATAATGATGAATCTCTTCCAGGTGAAAAGCTGAACAAAAACTTTCAGAAGAGGACTGGATGTATTTAAGGGCTTTAAACAATAATAATGTTGCTATCCAGAGACTGCTGTTGCTGATACCCCCTTCCTTTTGCTCAGTTTCCTCAAGAAAGGGTCTCTGGGTGGCTGGCTACCTTGGACCCCCTAACTAATAAGCTCCAGGTTATACTTGTTCCACTCAAGTCTATTTATTTTATTATTATTCTTTCCTTAGGGACGGGTCGCATTATGTTGCCCAGGCTGGACTTGAACTTCTGGGCTCGAGCAATTCTCCCACCTCAGCCTACCAAGCAGCTGGGACTACAGGTCTGCACCACTGCACCCCACCCATTCAAGTCCACATCCCCAGAAACGAGGATAATGCTTGGCACAAGGTAGGCATTTAATACATATATGTTGAATGTATGAATAAATATACTGGCTCTTTCTCAAGGCCAGAGAAGCCTCTCTTCATCTTCCCAGGACTTCCATTACCTACTTTTTTTCTGGAGGGCGGGGGGGAATAATTTCAACCTACAGAAAAGATGCAGATGCAAGAATAATGAAAGGAACTCTTAGATACCCTTTAACCAAATTCACCAATAATGTTTTAGTTTGTAAAATCTAATTTGAAATAATTTTTTTAAAAATTTATTTTCTCCTCAAATTTCTTTTTCTTTTTCTTTGGCTTAAGAATCTTCATGTTTTTATTTATTTATTTATTTATTTTTTGTTTTTGTTTTTTTGAGACAGAGTCTCACTCTGTTGCCCAGCCTGGAGTGCAGTGGCATTATCTAGACTCACTGCAACCTCCACCTCCTGTGTTCAAGTGATTCTTGTGCCTCAGCCTCCTGAGTAGCTGGGATTACCAGTGCACGCCACCACGCCAGGCTACTTTTTGTATTTTTAGTAGAGACAGGGTTTCGCCATGTTGGCCAGCCTGGTCTCGAACTCCTGACCTCAGGTGATCTGCCTGCCATGGCCTCCCAAAGTGCTGGGATTACAGGCTCATGCCTGTAATCACTGCACCCAGCCTCAAATTCCTTTTTTACCATGAAATAATTTCAAATTTATAGATTTGCAAGAAAAACACAAATAATACAAAGAACTACCTTATACCCTTCACCCAGATTTCCTGATTATTAATCATTTACATTTGTCTGTTTTTCTTTCATGTACCATTATTTTATTCCTGATACATTTGAGATTAAGTTGCAGACATGTTGACAAATTACCCCTAAATACTTCAGTGTGTATTTCCAAAAACAAGGATACTTTTCCATAGAACCTCAATACTCTCATCAAAATCAGGGTATTAACATTGCTACAATACTTTAATCCACAAATTCCACTTAAATTTCAACAATTGCAGGGATAGCATTAGGAGAAATACCTAATGTAGATGACAGGTTGATGGGTGCAGCAAACCACCATGGCATGTCTATACCTATGTAACAAACCTGCACGTTCTGCACGTGTATCCCAGAACTTAAAGTATAATAAAAAAATTTTCAACAATTGTTCAATAATGTCACTTATTGAAAGGAAGAGCAACAGCATCATCAACAAAACTTTTCCGCCTTTCCTTTCTGTTTCAAGATTCAATTCAGGATCATGCATTGTATTTAGTTGTCATGTCTCTCTCTCTCTCTTTTTTTTTTTTTTGAGACAGGGTCTTGCTCTGTTGCCCTGGCTGGAGTGCGGTGGCATGATCTTGGCTTACTGCAACCTTCGCCTCCTGGGTTCAAGTGATTCTCCTGCCTCAGCCTCCCGAGTAGCTGGGATTACAGGCATGTGCCATCATGCCATCACCCCTGGCTAATTTTTGTATTTTTAGTAGAGATAGGGTCTCACCATGTTGGCCAGGCTGGTGTCATGTCTCTTTAGTTTCCTTCAATGCTTAGTTTTTTCCTCATTTTTCATGATCTTGCCATTTTTGAAAAGGATAGGTCAGTTATTTTATAGTATTTCCCTCAATTTGGGTTTGTCTGATGTTTCTTCATGTCTAGATTCAGAGTATGGATTTTTGGTAAGAATGCTATAGAAGCAATACGATTTTCCTCTCAATGCCTCACATTAGGAAGCACAAAATACCAATTTTCCTCATTAATAATGATAGTAACTTTTTTCACACTGTTAAGATGATGTTTATATTTCTCCACTGTAGAGTTCATTAATAACAGATATTTTATTGAGCTTTACTTTTAAATTTTATACATATGTATCTTTTTTTCATCAAAATTTTAATGAGCTTAACATCTATGGATAATTCTTGTCTGAATAATTTATTACAGCAGTGGTTGCTGAGTGTTATTTTCTAATTCTTTTTTTTCCTTTTTTGAGATGGAGTCTCACTGTGATGCCGAGGGTGGAGTGCAGTGGCACAATCTCAGCTCACTGCAACCTCCGTTTCCTGGGTTCGAGTGATTCTCCTGCCTCAGCCTCCTGAATAGCTGGGATTACAGGCACCTGTCACCATGCCTGGCTAATTTTTGTATTTTTAGTAGAGATGGAGTTTTACTATGTTGGCCAGGCTTGTCTCAAACTCCTGGCCTTAAGTGATCTGCCCATCTCAGCGACCCAAAGTGCTGGGATTACAGGTGTGAGCCACCATGCCCGGCCTTGTTATTTTCTAATTTGATCATTTCTTGTACATTTATTAGTTGGCATTGTACTATAAGATAGATCTTTTCTTTGAATATCAGTATGGGCTTATGGATTCTTATTTTATTGAATCAGTTATGCTCTATTATTATCCTTAACTATTACTTATTACAGCTTTATTGATGTATATTTGACATACAAGAAATTGCATATACATAAAGTGAAAAGTTTGAAGAATTTTGTGTACCTATAAAGTGAATAAACTGTTACACTAATCAGTGAAATAAATATTTTCATTAATCCCTAAAAGTTTCCTTGTCCTTCTTAGTAATCCAATCTCCCTTCCTCTCTCTCCATCCTCAGGAAAGCACTAATTTGATTTCTGACACTGTAGATTAATTTCCATTTTTTCTAGAATTTCATGTAAATGGAATTCTACAGTATGCATTTTTGGAGTGAGGGTTCTGGCTTCTTTCACGTGGTGTAATTATTCTGAGATTAATCCATGTTGTTGAATCTATCAGTGGTTTCTTATTTTTATTGGTGAGTAGTATTCCATTGTATTGATTTACCAAAGTATGTTCACCCATTCACTTATTCTTGGGTATTTATTTTTTTTCTAGTTTGTGACTCTTACTAATGAAATTGCTATGAGCAAGTAAGAAGTCTCTGTACAAGTCTATGTCTGTGTCTGTATGGATATATTCTTTGATTTTCTTGGTAAAATATCTAGAGTTGGAATGGCTGGATTATACAGTAGATCTATGTTGAACTTCTATGAAACTGCTAAGTTATCAAAGTATTTGTACCACTTTACAGTCTCCTCAGCAATATATGAACACATTCATTGTTTGATGTCTGCACCAATACTTGGTATGGTCATTCTCTTTAATTTTATCCATTACACAATGGGTATACTGGTACTACTTTATGGTTTTGATTTTCATTTTCCCAGTAACTACTGATGTTAAACATTTTTAAATGTACTTATTTACCATTCTTGTATCTTCTTCAGTGAAGTGTCTGTTCAAATCTTCTGCCCATTTTTACTGGGTCATTTGTCTTCTTCTTCTTGAGTTGTAAGAATTTCTTTTTCTTTTTTTTTTTTTTTGAGACAGAGTCTTGCTCTGTCGCCCAGGCTGGAGTAGCTGGGACTACAGGCGCCCGTCACCATGCCTGGTTATTTTTTTGTATTTTTAGTAGAGACGGGGTTTCACTGTGTTGGCCAGGATGGTCTTGATCTCCTGACCTTGTGATCCGCCCGCCTCGGCCTCCCAAAGTGCTGGGATTACAGGCATGAGCCACCGTGCCCGGCCTGAGTTGTAAGAATTTTTCATATATTCTAGAAGTAATTTATCAGATTGTATGTTTTGCAAATATTTTCTCCACTCCTGCCTTTTCATTTTCTTTTCTTTCTTTCTCTCTCTTTTTTTTTTTTTTTTTTTTGAGGCAGAATTTCACTCTTGTTGCCCAGGCTGGAGTGCAATGGCATGATCTCAGCTCACTACAACCTCTGCCTCCCGGGTTCAAGAAATTCTCCTACCTCAGCCTCCCGAGTAGCTGGGATTACAGGCATGCACCACCACACCCGCCTAATTTTGTATTTTTAGTAGAGATGGGGTTTCTTAATAGTGTTATTGGAAGAGCAAAGGTTTTTGATTTTCATGAAGTCAGCTTGGAAGTAGATCCTCCAATCGCAGATGACTACATCCCAGGCCAACAGTTTGCCTGAAACCCTATGAGAAACCCTGAGCCAAAACCACCCAGCTAAGCTACTCCTGGCTTCCTGACCCTCAGAAACTATGTGGAATCATAAATGTTTGTTGTTTTTAGTTACTAAGTTTTGGATAAAATGATATGCTGTGATAGATAACTAATATACACTGGCTTAAAGTGAATATGCCTTGTAATTTTCTTCATATATAAATTTTTAATAATTTCAACTATTATTTTATATTCAGAGGGTACATGTGTAGGTTTGTTACCTGGGTATATCGCATGATGCTGAGGTTTGAGGTATGTATGATTGATTCCATCACCCAGGTACTGAGCGTAGTACCCAATAATTAAATTTTCAACCCTCCCCTCCAATAGTCCCTAGTGTGTATTGTTACCGTCTTTATGTCCGTGAGTACCCATCGTTTAGCACCCACTTACAAGTGATAACATGCTGTATTTGGCTTTCGTGTTTCTGTGTTAATTCACTTAGTGTAAGGCCTCCAGATGCATCCATGTTGCTGCAAGGGAAATTATTTTATTCTTTATTATGGCTGTGTAGTATTCCATGGTGTATGTATGCCACATTTTCTTATTCCAGTCCATGATTGATGGGAACCTAGGTTGATTCCATGTCTTCACTATTGTGAATAGTGCTGCAATTAACATACAAGTGCATGTGTCTTTTTGGTAGAATTAATTATTTTCTTTTGGGTATATACCTAGTAATGGGAGTGCTGTGTTGGCTGGTATAGTTCTAAGTTCTTTGAGAAATCTACAAACTGCTTTCCACAGTGGCTGAACTAGTTTATATTCCCACCAACAGTGCATAAGCTTTCTCTTTTCACTGTAGCCTCACCAGCATCTGTTATTTTTTGATATTTTAGTAATAGCCATTCTGACTGGTATGAGATGGTATCTGGTGTGGTTTTGATTTGTATCGATTTGTATTTCTCTGATGACTAGTGATGTCGATCATTTTTCATTAGTGACGGTGAGCATTTTTAGTTATTTCAGTATATATATGTTATATAAAATATATATTTTTTGTTTGGTGTTCATTGAGCTCCTTTGATCTGTGGGTCTTTTTTTTTTTTCTATTGCTTTCTTCAAGTTCACTAACTTTTTCTTCTGCAGTGTCTGGTGTTAATTTAATCTGGCACATTTTTTCCAGAGACTGCATTTATTATCTCTTGAAATCAGTTTGTGCCTTTTAAGTATTTTAGCATGCTTACCATTTACCATACTCTTTACCATGCTTACCATTTACATTCTTTTATATGGAGTATGTTTACAGTAGCTGTTTTAATAACTATTAATTTTATTGTCTGTGTCATTTCTGTGTCTATTTCCGATCATTAATTTTATCTTTATTATAAATCACATTTTCTTGCTTTTTTGCATGCCTTTTAAATTTTATTGGATGCCAGATATTTTGAATTTTATGTTGTTGGCTGGGGTTGTTTGCATTCCTTTAAATAGTTTTGGTCTTTTTTTTTTTTGGCAGGCAGTTATCTGGAAACAATTTTATTTTTTTAAGGTTTGCTTTTAATTTGTTAGGTGGGTCCTAGGGCTAATTCGGCTCTAATACTGAGGCAACACCTTCTGAAAATTCTGCTTGATGCACCATGTGTTAACAGGCCTTCCCACACTGGCTAGTGGCAATATGAACTCCTGACCTGTGTGAGCTCTGGTGATTGTTTCACTTGATTCTTTCTGATGTTCTCTCCCTGGCCCTGGGACGTTTCCTCAAACACATGTGCTAATCAGTGGGCAGCTAAAGAATCAAGGGCAATCCTCTATAGATCTCCGGAGCCTTTGCTCTATCAGCTCTCTCTTCTCTGGTAATCTGGTCTTTAAATTCTAGCTGTCTTGGTGTCCCCAAGCTCTAAACTTTGTTTCCTCACCTCAGGGAACCCTTGTGGATTCCCTTTAGGGGCTTCCTTCCTGAGCTGCACCCTGTAAGCTCTCTCTAGGCCGTGAAGCAATTTTAGGGCTCACATTGTTTGCTTTCTTTCAAGAATCACATCCCTGTGCCATTTTCACATATCTGAAAACCATTGTTTCATATATTTCTCATTTTTAAATACTATATATTTATTTATTTATTTGTTTTTATTTTTTAAGACAGAGTCTCACTTTGTCACCCAGGCTAGAGTGCAGTGGTGTGATCTCGGCTCACTGCATCCGCAGCCTCCCGGGTTCAAGCGATTCTCCTGCCTCAGCCTCATGAGTAGCTGGGATTACAGGCACCAGCCACCACACCTGGCTAATTTTTGTATTTTTAGTAGAGACGGGGTTTTACCATGTTGGCTAGGCTGGTCTCGAACACCTGGCCTCTAGTGATCCACCCTCCTTGGCCTCCCAAAGTGCTGAGATTACAGGTGTGAGCCACCGTGCCTGGCTCAGATTTTACTTTTCATAGCAGTTTTAGAATTTCAGAACAATTAAGAAAGTAGTACAGAGTTCCTATATACCCCACATCCAGTTTTCCCTCTTATTGTTTTACATTTGTATGATACATGTCATAATTAATGAACCAACATTTACACATTATTATTAGCTAAAGTCCGTAGTTCTTTTTATTTCCTTAGTTTTTACCTATTTTTTTTCTTCTTTTCTTTTCTTTCTTTTATTTTTTTGAGACGGGTCTTGCTCTGTCACCCAGGCTGGAGTGCAGTGGTGTGATGATGGCTCACTGCAGCCTTGACCTCCCAGGTTCAAGTGATCCTCCCACCTCATCCTCCTGAGTAGCTGGGACCATAGGCACACACCACCACACCTAACTAATTTTTAAATTTTTAGTAGGGACAGGGTTTTGCCATATTGCACAGGCCAGTCTTGAACTCCTGGGCTCAAGCGATCCACCCATCTTGGATTCCCAAAGTGCTGGGGTTACGGGCGTGAGCCACCATGCCCAGCCCCTAATGCTCGTTTTCTACCTTAGAATCCCATCCAGGATACTGCATCACTTTTAGTTGTTGTATCTCTCTAGGCTTCTCCTGGCTGTGACAGTTTTTCAGACTTTCCTATGGTTCTGATGACCTTTACAGTTTTGAGAAATACTAGTCACGTGTTTTACAGGATGTCCTGCTATTTGACATACAGACCAATGGAATAAAATGGAGAATGCAGAAATTAATCCATATATTTATAGCTAACTGTTATTTTTTATTTCCGTAGGTTATGGGGAACAGGTGGTGTTTGGTTACATGAGTAAGTTCTTTAGTGGTAATTTGTGAAATTTTGGTGCACCCATCACCCAAACAGTATATACTCTACCCTATTTGTAGTCTTTTTACCCTCACCCCCTCCACCCCTTACCCCAGAGCCCCCAAAGTCCATTATGTAATTCTTATGCCTTTGCATCCTCATAGCTTAGCTCCCACTTATGAATGAGAAGATACGATGTTTGGTTTTCCATTCCTGAGTTACTTCACTTAGAATAATAGTCTCCAGTCTCATCCAGGTTGTTGCAAATGCCATCAACTCATTCTTTTTTATGGCTGAGTAGTATTCCATCATATATATATTGTGAGATATATACATCACAATTCTTTCTATATATACCATATATACCACAATTTCATATATATATACACATGCATACACACACACACACACACACACACACACACACATACCACAATTTCTTTATCTACTCGTTGTTTGATGGGTATTTGGGTTGGTTCCACATTTTTGCAATTGCGAATTGTGCTGCTATAAACAGGTGTGTGCAAGTATCGTTTTTGTATAATGACTGGGTAGGTAGCCAGTAATGGGGTTGCTGGATCAAATGATAGTTCTACTTTTAGTTCTTTAAGGAACCTCCACACTGTTTTCCATAATGGTTGTACTAGCTTACATTACCATTAGCATTGTAGAGGTTTTCCTTGTTCACCACATCCACACCAACATCTATTATTTTTTGATTTTTTTGATTATGGCCATTCTTGCAGAAGTAAGGTGGTATTGCATTGTGGTTTTGATTTGCACTTCCCTGATAACTAATGATGTTGAGCATTTTTTCATATGTTTCTTGGCCATTTGTATATCTTCTTTTGAGAATTGTCTATGTATGTCCTTGGCCCACTTTTTGGTGGGATTGTTTGATTTTTTTCTTGCTAATTTGTTTGAGATTGTCGTAGATTCTGGATATTAGTCCTTTGTCGGATGTATAGATTGGGAAGATTTTCTTCCACTCTGTGGGTTGTGTGTTTACTCTGCTGACTGTTCCTTCTGCTGTGCAAAAGCTCTTTAGTTTAATTAAGTCCCAGCAATTTATCTTTGATTTATTGCATTTGCTTTTGTGTTCTTGGTCATGAAATCCTTGCCTAAGCCAATGTCTGGAGGGGTTTTTCTGATGCTATCTTCTATAATTTTTATAGTTTGAGGTTTTAGATTTAAGTCCTTGATCCATCTTGAGTTAGTTTTTGTATAAGGTGAGAGACGAGGATCCAGTTTCATTCTCCTACATGTGGCTTGCCAATTATCCCAGCACCATTGTTGAATACAGTGTCATTTCCCCATTTTATGTTTTTGTTTACTTTGTCAAAAATCAGTTGGCTGTAAGTATTTGGCTTTATTTCTGGGTTCTCTATTCTGTTCCATTGGTCTATGTGCCTATTTTTATACCAATACCATGATGTTTTGGTGACTATGTCTTTATAGTGTAGTTTGAAATCAGGTAATGTGATGCCTCCAGATTTGTTCTTTTTGCTTAGTCTTACTTTGGCTATGCGGGCTTGTTTTTTGTTCCAAATGAATTTTAGGATTGTTTTTTTCTAGTTCTGTGAAGAATGATGGTGGTATTTTGAGGGAAATTGCATTGAATATGTAGATTGCTTTTGGCAGTATGGTCATTTTCATAATATTGATTCTACCCATCCATGAGCATGGGCTGTGTTTCCATTTGTTCATGTTGTCTATGATTTCTTTCAACAGTGTTTTGTAGTTTTCGTTGTAGATGTCTTTTACCTTCTTGGTTAGGTATGTTCTTGAGTATTTTATTTTATTTTATTTTATTTTATGTTATGTTATGTTATGTTATGTTATGTTATGTTATGTTATGTTATGTTATGTTATGTTATGTTATTTTATTTTTACAGCTATTGTAAAAGGGGTTGAGTTCTTGATTTGATTCCCAGCTTGGTTGCTGTTGGTGTATAGCAGAACTACTGATTTGTGTACATTAATTTTGTATTCGGATACTTTGCTGAGTTCTTTTAACAGTTCTAGGAGCTTTTTTGAAGAGTCTTTAGGGTTTTCTAGATGTACAATCATATAAGCAGCAAACAGTGACAGTTTGACTTCCTCTTTACCGATTTGGATGCTCTTTATTTCTTTATCTTGTCTGATTGCTCTGGCTAGGACTTCCAGTACTATGTTGAAGAGGAGTGGTGAGAGTGGGCATCCTTGTCTTGTTCCAGTTCTCAGAGGGAATGCTTTCAACTTTTCCCCATTCAGTATTATGTTGGCTGTGGGTTTGTCATAGATGGCTTTTATTATATTGAGGTATGTCCCTTGTATGTTGATTTTGCTGAGAGTTTTAATCATAAAGGGAAGCTGGATTTTGTTGAATGCTTTTTCTGCATCTATTGAGATGATCATGTAATATTTTTGTTTTTAATTATGTTTATGTGGTGTATCACATTTATTGATTTGCATATGTTAATCCTGCATCCCTGGTATGAAACCCACTTGATCATGGTATATTACATTTCGATATCTTATTGGATTAGGTTAGCTAGTATTTTGTTAAGGATTTTAGCATCTATGTTCATCAGGGATATTGGTCTGTAGTTTCTTTTTTAGTTATGTCCTTTCCTGGCTTTGGTATTAGGGTGATACTGGCTTCATAGAATGATTTAGGAAGGGGTCCTTCTTTCTCTATCTTGTGGAATAGTGTCAAAAGGATTAGTACCAATTCTTCTTTGGATGTCTGGTAAAATTCAGCTGTGAATTTATCTGGTCCTGGCCTTTTTTTCTTGGTAATTTTTAAGTTACCATTTCAATTTTGCTGCTTGTTACTGGTCTGTTCATGGTATCTAATTCTTCCTGATTTAAACTAGGAGGGTTGTATCTTTCCAAGAATTTACCCATCTCCTCTAGGTTTTGTTGTTTATGTGCATAAAAGTGTTCATAGTAGTCTTGAATAATCTTTTCTATTTATGTGTTCTCAGTTGTAATATCTCCCATTTCATTTCTAATTGAGCTTATTTGGATTTTCTCTCTTGGTTAATCCTGCTAATGGTCTATCAATTTTATTTATCTTTTCAAAGAACCAGCTTTTTATTTCATTTA
Source organism: Homo sapiens (assembly GCF_000001405.40). Taxonomy (NCBI): domain Eukaryota; kingdom Metazoa; phylum Chordata; class Mammalia; order Primates; family Hominidae; genus Homo; species Homo sapiens. The sequence goes on from NC_000003.12 coordinate 109,428,121, forward strand.
TCTTTTCTATTTTTTTTTTTTGTTTCAATTTCATTTAGTTCTGCTCTGACCTTGGTTATTTCCTTTCTTCTGCTAGGGTTGGGTTTGGTTTGTTCTTGTTTCTCTAGTTCTTGAGGTGTGACTTTAGATTGTCTGTCTGTGGTCTTTCAGATTTTTTGATGTAGGCATTTAGAGTTATGAACTTTCCTCTTAGCATCACCTTTGTGGTATCCCAGAGGTTTTGATAGGTTATGTGACTATTATCATTCAGTTCAAAGAATTTTTCAATTTCCCGCTGGGCGCAGTGGCTCACGCCTGTAATCCCAGCAGTTTGGGAGGCCAAGACAGGCAGATCACCTGAGGTCAGGAGTTCAAGATCAGCCTGGCCAACATGACGAAACCCTGTCTCTACTAAAACTACGAAAATTAGCCAGGCATGGTGGCGGGCGCCTGTAATCCCAGCTACCTGGGAGGCTGAGGCAGGGAGAATTGCTTGAACCTGTGAGGCGGAGGTTGCAGTGAGCCAAGATCATGCCACTGCACTCCAGCTTGGGCAACAGAGTGAGACTCCATCTCAAAAAAAAAAAAAAGAATTTTTAAATTTCTGTCTTGATTTCATTGTTGACCCAATGATCGTTCAAAAGCAGGTTATTTAATTTCCATGTATTTGCATGGTTTTGAAGGTTTCTTTTGGCGTTGATTTCCAGTTTTAGTTCCTGTGGTGTGAGAGAGTGCTTGACATAATTTCAGTTTTCTTAAATTTATTAAGGCTTGTTTTGTGGCCTATCATATGGTCTATCTTGGAGAAAGTTCCATGAGCTGTTGAATAGAATGTATATTCTGTGGTTGTTGGCTAGAATATTCTGTTAATATCTGTTAAGTACATTTGTTCTAGGGTATAGTTTAAATCCATTGTTTCTTTGTTGACTTTCTGTCTTGATGACCTGTCTAGTGCTGTCAGTGAGGTATTGAAGTCCCCCACTATTATTGTGTTGTTGTCTATCTCATTTCTTAGGTCTAGTAGTAATTGTTTTATAAATTTGGGAGCTCCAGTGTTAGGTGCATATATATTTAGGATAGTGATATTTTCCTGTTGGACAAGGCCTTTTTATCATTATATAATGCCCCTCTTTGTTTTTTTAACTGCTGTTGCTTTAAAGTTTGTTCTGTCTGATATAAAAATAGCAAATCCTGCTTGCTTTTGATGTCCATTTGCATGGAATGTCTTTTTCCACCCTTTTACCTTAAGTTTATGTGAGTCCTTATGTGTTAGATTAGTCTCTTGAAGGCAGCAGATGGTTAGTGAATTCTTATCCATTCTGCAATTCTGTATCTTTTAAGTGTAGCACTTAGGCCATTTACATTCAATGTTAGTATTAAGATATGAGGTACTATTCCATTCATCATGCTATTTGTTGCCTGTATACCTTTTTTTTTTTAAATTGTATTTTTGTTTTATAGGTCCTGGGAGGCTTATGCTTTAAAGAGGTTCTGTTTTGATATGTTTCAGGATTCATTTCAAGATTTAGAGCTTTTAGTAGTTGTTGTAGTGTTGGCTTGGTAGTGGTGAATTCTCTTAGCATCTGTTTGTTTGAAAAAGACTGTATCTTTCCTTCATTTATTAAGCTTTGTTTAGCTGGCTATGAAATTCTTGGCTGATAATTGTTTTGTTTGAGGAGGCTGATGATAGGGCCCCAATCCCTTCTAGCTTGCGGGGTTTCTGCGGAGAAATCTGCTGTTAATCTGATAGGTTTTAGTTTATAGGTTACCTGGTGCTATTGACTCACAGTTTTTAAGATTCTTTCCTTCATCTTAACTTTAGATAACCTGGTGACAGTGTGCCTAGGCGATGATTTTTTTGAGATGAGTTTCCCAGGTGTTCTTTGTGCCTCTTGTATTTGGATGTCTAGGTCTCTAGCAAGGCTCGGAAAGTTCTCCTTGATTATTCCCCCAAATATGTTTTCCAAACTTTTAGATTTCTCTTCTTTCTCAGGAACTCTGATTATTCTTAAGTTTGGTTGTTTAACATAATCCCAGACTTCTTGGAGGCTTTGTTCATATTTTCTTTTTTTCTTTGTCTTTGTTGGATTAGATTAATTTGAAAACCTTGTCTTCAAGCTCTGAAGTTCTTTCTTCTGCTTATTCGATTCTATTGCTGAGACTTTCCAGGGCATTTTGCATTTCTATAAGTGTGTCCATTGTTTCCTGAAGCTTTGATTGTTTTTTATTTATGCTATCTATTTCCTTGAAGATTTCCCCTCTCATTTCTTGTATCATTTAAAAAAATTTCCTTACATTGGGCTTTGCCTTTCTCTGGTGCCTCCTTGATTAGCTTAATGATTGCCCTTCTGAATTTTTTTTTGGGTAAATCAGGGATTTTCTTCTTGGTTTGGATCCATTGTTGGTGAGCTAGTGTGATTTTTTTTGGGTGTTAATGAACCTTGTTTTGTCATATTACCAGAGTTGGTTTTCTGGTTTCTTCTCATTTTGGTAGGCTCTGTCAGATGGCTGAAGGCTGTTGTTCAGATTCTTTTGTCCCATGGGTGTTCCCTTGATATAGTACTCTCCCTCTTTTCCTAGGGATGTGGCTTCCTGGGAGCCAAGCTATAGTGATTGTCATCTCTCTTCTGGATCTAGCCACCCAGCAGGTCTACCAGGCTCTGGGCTGGTACTGGGGGTTGCCTGTACAGAGTCCTGTGATAAGAACCATCTATGGGTCTCTCAGCTGTGGATACCAGCACCTGCTCTGGTGGAAGTGACAGGGGGGTGAAATGGACTCTGTGAAGGTCCTTAGTTTTGGCTGTTTAATTCACTATTTTTGTACTGGTGGACCTCCTGCCAGGAGGTGGTGCATTCAACAGAGCATTAGCTGTGGTAGTATGGGGAGGATCAGGTGGTGGGCGGAGCCCTAGAACTCCCAAGAGTATATGCCCTTTGTCTTCAGCTACTAAGGTGGGTAGGGGAGGACTATCAGGTGGGGGCAGGGCGAGGCATATCTGAGCTCAGACTCTCCTTGAGCGGGTCTTGCTTGGGCTGCTGTGTGGGATGAGGGTGTGGTTCCCAGGTCAATGCAGTTATGTTCCCAAGAGGCTTATGGCTGGCTCTGCTGTGTCATTCAGGTTGTCATGGAAGTGGGGGAAAGCCAGCAGTCACAGGCCTTACCCTGTTCCCTTGCAACCAAAAAGGCTGGTCTCACTTCCACTCTTCCCCTGTATCCCCACAATAGCACTGAGTTTGTTTCCAGGCAGTGGGCAAGCAGAGCTGAGAACTTGCCCCAGGCTACCAGTCTCCCAGCTGCAAAAGCATGCAGGGCTTTCGTACTTTCCGCCTGTGGAGTCTGCACACCAGATTCACACCCTGCCCTGAGTTCTGGCCGGGAGACTTCTCATTTGGTTGAAATTGTTACAAAGTTCAGCTGGAGGTTTCCTTCTCCCTGTGGCCTTTTCCAAGTACCCCCAGGCAGCCTGCTCCAGGGACCCCTGTGAGGCAAGGCAGAAATGGTTTCTTAGGAGACCCAGAGAGCCCACAGGGCTTTTCCTGCTGCTGTTTCTACCACTGTGTTTTGTTCTGCTCTCTAAATTGATTCAGCTCCAGGTGAGGTTAGAATCTTCTCCCATTCGCTAGACCTTGAGATTCCCCATTGAGGGTGTATGTTCGAGGGCAGACAATCCCCCTTTCCCATTTTCACCGTTTGGGCACTCACAGTATTTGTGGTGTCTCCCGGGTCGTGCAGGAGCAATTTGCCTCCTTCAGTGGGTCTGTGGGTTCTCTCAGCTTTCCTGATTTATTCCTGCAGTAGTTCTAGAGCAAAAGTTCATGAAGTGAGCCTCCACATGCTGCTCTGTCCGTCCGCGTGGGAGCTGCAATCCAGTCCTGCCTCCCGTCCACCGTGATCCTCTCTAGTCCCCACTATTTGAATTTAACTGATGTTTTCCTCATGATAAGACAGGTTTGTGAGTTATTGGGAGGAAGACCACAGAGGTAAAGTGCCATTTTCATCTCGTCATATCAAGGATACGTATTATAAACACAGTTTATGGTTGCTGATGTTCACCAAAATCTCCTTATTTATGTTTGCAGGGACTAGGATATTTATTTTATACTTTGAGTTATAATCCAATACTACTTTATTTATTTTTTTGCTTAATTCCTTCCATTTTTGGCTACTGAGAGCTCTTTCAGTGGCTCCTGTTGTTATAGAACTGAACTGGGGTCCACTTGTCTGGCACAGTAAAAACAGATGCCTACACTGAGGTTTTTGCAGTGCTAGAAAGGAAGATGTTTATTGCATAGTACTACACAAGGAAGATCAGACAGCTAAATGCCCAAGTCTAGACTCCCCAATGAGTTTTTTAAGGCAAGGGTAAATTTCAGAAAAGCAGAAGTTATAGGTAAAATAATAAATCAATATGGTGGTTACATGTTGGTTTGAGCTTAAAAGGGCAGGATATCTTGCAGTGGTGGTTTACAGGTTGTAGATAGATTCAAGAACTTCTGATTTGCCATTGGTTAAGAAGAGAAGCTTTGTTTAAAAATTTGGGGTCCGTGGAAAAATGTTAACTGGCCTGGCTAGGGGAACTTTTTTTCTCCAAGCCCCTCAGAAAGAAACAGAATAAAGGGTGAATAAAGTTTAGTCTTCACGTCCTCTTTATTGGGGGTATACGTGCCAATGGATCCATTTGTGGGGGTCCTAAGTGGGAGTACAAGCTCATGAAAGACAACTCAGTGACATACGTTTTTATTCTTAGTTTCTATAGGGAAAGCAAAAATCTCTGGAACTGTAATTTCCTTGGCTTTTGTTTTAGGCTACGATTTCCTTCTTGCTTAACAAGTTACTTAAATTCACTTCTGGGGCTAACTAGATGCCTGGAATTTCGCTTGAAGGAATTTCAGGATTTTCCTTTGTGTTCATGCTTGAGATTTACAGGATCCCCAAAAGGGACCCCCTGCTGTGTCTCACAGTGTCTATAGCAATGTGGCTTTTTGTTTTTATTTTCAGCTCTTCCTTACTTTTTGACACAAGATGCTCCAGGCTTATCTTGTATATTTCCTCCCCCAGGCTTAAACTAGCCATTTCTTTGAGGATCCCTTATTCCTTTTGTTGGAAATGGTTGGTGCTTGCCTGTAATCCCAGCTACTTGGGAGGCTGAGACGGGAGAATCGCCTGAACCCGGGAGGCGGAGGTTGCAGTGAGTCAAGATTGTGCCATTGGACTCCTGCCTGAGCAACAGAGCAAGATTCCGTCTCAAAAAAAAAAAAAAAAGAAAAAAAAAAGAAACCAAGTTCTGGGACCTAATGAGTTTTTGTTGCTACTTCTTTAGGCCTTCTCAGCTTCAGAGAAAAACTATATGTGCATTTACTAGCCCATGCATACATAGGTATCTATACATATCTGTATCTATATTAAGCTAAGCATGAATTTAGATTGATACATAGAACTGAAATCCATTATTACTACCCAGGTTACTCTTGATTTTTTTCTAGTTTTATTGAAATATAACTGCAAATAAAAATGTATATATTCAATATTTCCAACATGATAATTCGATGTATGTATACATTGTGAAATAATTGCTACAACCAAATTAACACATTTATCATCATCCATAGTTACTATTTTCTATGTAAGTGCTGTGTGTGTGTGTGTTTGTATGGAGAAGACACTGAAAAACTGTTCTTTTATCAAATTTTAAGTAAACAACACAGTATTATTAACCATGGTCACTTTCTTGTACATTAGATCCTCAGAACTTATTCACTTTATAACTGAAAATTTGTACCCATTGACCAGTATCTCTTCAGCTCCTCCACCCCCAAGCCCTTGGCAGCCACCGTTCTAGTCTCTGCTTCTATAAGTTTGACTTTTTGGGAAATGAAATCAGTGTCTCAAAGAGATATCTGGCTGGGCGCGGTGGCTCATGCCTGTAAACCCAGCACTCTGGGAGGCCGAGGCGGGTGAATTGCTTGAGTCCAGGAGTTTGAGACAAGCCTAGGCAACATAGCGAAACTCTGTCTTTACTGAAAATACAAAATGTTAGCCTGACATGGAGGCACGTGCCTGTAATCCCAGTTACTCCGGAGGCTGAGGTAGGAGAATCACTTGAGCCCAGGAGGTTGAGGCTGCAGTGAGCTGAGATCACGCCACTGCATTCTAACTTAGGTGAGAGAGTGAAACACTGTCTCAAAAAAAAAAAAAAAAAAAAAAAAAAAGAGCTGTCTGGGTTTTCATTGCAGCATTATTCACAGTAGCCTAGATATGGAAACAACCTAAGTGTCTATGAACAGATGAATATTTATAGAAAATGTGCTATGTAGATACAATGGAGTATCATTTAGCTCTGAAACAAGGAAATCCTGCCATTTGTAACAACATGGATGAAACTGGAGGAAATTATGTTAAATGAAATAAGACAGACACAGAAAAATGGGTACTATATGATCTCACTTATATGTAGAATCTAGAAAATTATCTTTAAAAATTAAATTTTATTTATTTCTTTGATCAGTTAATCTAGTTACATGGCTAAAAAAGTAAAAGGGGCATGTAGTGAAAATTCTCCCTTCCTTTCCTTTCCTACAATCACAGACTGCCTTCTGAAAGTGACTAACGTTACCACTTTCTACAGGGGAATTGAGATGAGAAGATCATCTTTCTTTCTTTGTTTTTTTAGAGATAAACTCTCACTCTGTTGTCCAGGCTGGAGTGCAGTGTTGCGATCCTAACTTATTGCAGCTTTATACTCCTGGGCTCAAGCAATCCTCTTGCCCTAGCCTCCCAGGAAGCTCACTACAGGTGCGTGCACCATGCCTGGCTAATTAAATTTTTTTTTTTTTTGTAGAGATGGTGTCTTGCTATGTTGCTCAGGCTGGTCTCGAATTCCTGGCCTCAAGTGATCCTCTCACCTCAGCCTTCCAAAGTGCTGGGTTCACAGGCTTAAGCCACTGCACCCTCTACTTTAATTTTATCTTACAACAACAATGTTGAAGATAGTACCAGTTGAAGAAGATAGTACCAATACCATTTTAAAAGTAAGGAGAATGGGAAATAAAAATTTGTTTTTCTTTTAAATGAGAAAATTGTATAAATTCATAATGTAGACAATTTGAGAAGCACTACGGAAACACTCAAAGTTTAGAGTCAGGATTTGACTGTGGTATAAATCTGATCTCTGCTGGTTCATAGCTATTTAAACCTGACATATCTTTTAAGCAATCTGAGTCTCAATATTTTCATCTGAACATTGGACTAATAATACCTATTTAATAGAGTTGTTAATTATATTTGTAATGTGCTGAAGCCAGTGCCTGCCACAAACAAATCGCTCAAAGAATGGTAACTATTATAATTTTAAGTTGTTTTAGTGGTTGAGCATAAAAACAATTGTTTTATTGTATGTCAGTAATATTTATGTAAGTTAGCCTCAGATATTGGATGGAGAGATTGCTAGCTATTATTTTCCTTAGCCATCTAGCCAGGTCCATTGCTGGAAAGTGGCATGTTCCTTATTTTAACAGCAAATCTTTGAAGGAAAATTCTGGCTTCCTCCTCTCCATAGAAATGCAAAGTCAAATTTTTGGAAAATAAATGCTAAAATTGTCTTTTTTTCCTCCAGTAACTATATATTGGAGCTCTCTTCAAGTATATAAAGCATTTTTGGGAATGCCTTTATAAAACAGATAATTCATACCCTGAGAGAAAAACCTTAAACATGGATAAGATTCTAAATAAGTCTAAGGGGCAGTTTGGCAGTAAGAGAGGGCATTTCTGTCTACCTAAGTTGCTCTTGACAATGGATGTTTAAGCAGGGTAATCAAATGTGACTTCTATCATCAAAATTAGTAGGGCATGAAAAACTTTTATGAGCTCATTCATTACATTGCCTGTTTGAAAATATGATCTCATGTGCCTTCTTAAGAGTGGTCACTTTGGGCTCCCTCTGCAAAGCGAGGGTTTCAGATTTTCAGGATGTTGCTAAGCAGACCAGGATTTGCTAATCCTTATGAAAGTCATTTAATGTTTTTTATTTGTTTTGTTTTTTTGAGACAGGGTCTCACTCTGCTGCCCAGGCTGGAGTGCAGGGGTGCCATCAAAGCTCACTGCAGCCTCTAACTCCTGGTCTCAGTTGGTCCTCCCATCCCAGTCTCTTGAGTAGCTGGGACTACAGCTGTGCACCACCATGCTTGGCTAATTTTTGTATTTTTTTGTAGAGATGGGGTTTCACCATGTTGTCCAGGCTGGGCTCAGACTCCCCAGCTCAAGCAGTCTGCCCATCTTGGCTTCCCAAAGTGTTGGGATTACAGGTGTGAGCCATCATGCCTGGCAATGTTTGTGTTTTTGAAGGAGCAATAGACTTCTTGTATTTGGGTAGTCCCATTGTTAGAACTCTTTCTCTTTTACTCTTTTTCACTTGGGCAGTTGGTAAATAATTAGTGCTATTTTCACCAAAGGTCATATTCTTTTCCAAGTTTATCTTCTTGGTTTTATATTACTCCTATCTAGAAGAAGGAAGTCTCTAATTTAGTAGGAGTAAGTTAAGTAAGACAAAGAATGTATGCAAGTATTTCCAAATTTATTCATATCTAATTTTTTTTGTATTCAACAAATATAGCCATCAAATCGTAGATGTTGTAGCACACCTAGGGACACATATATAATATTAATAACACACATGCATTTGCTTTATTTTTCATCCTCAGGAATTTTCACTTCAACCTCTAATTTGGTCAAAAAGTCATTCATTTTTCTAATTACTCATCATGCAATGGTGTTTTCCCTGTTTATGTCTTATTTTAAACAATAATTTAGCAAGGGATTTCTAGCTAAATAAACCTCAATGAGCTTGTTTTTGATTTAGAACATGCAGATTTTATTTAATTGGTGAATCAATCTTTGTCTATTAGATATCCTCCTGAAGTGCAAAGTCTAGGGAACAATTTAATACCAGAGACTTGTCAGTTTGGATACACATGCTTCTATGGACCTTTAGAAATAAGATGCATATTTATCTGGCTAATTATGGCTTGGCAGATGTGTTGCTGAGGTCTGGTACATAGTCAGTTCTAAAGGTGAATTGTCAGCTAGAGGCAAGACTTCAACCAGTGCCCATCAGAGGAATGCACAAGTCCACAAATGCCAGGAATTAGCAGATATAACTTGAAGAGATAGTCTCAGGCTTTGAAGGACTAAATAAAAAGAAGTGGCTGATGATGTCAAATGGTGTTGGGGTTTCTCAATCGTTGCTAGACTTTAAAAACGCACAATTATCTGTATTAAATAAATGAAAATATTTGAGAGAAAGTGAAATCAGAGAAAATACTGATTTGGTCACTGTAGATACTGGGTTGATATGGAGCACTTTATATAACTTTGTATGTGTGTGAGCTTGTGTCTTATTTCTCTAACTTGTAAAATTCTGGCTGCTTCTATGTTATAATGCATCATGGTATGGACCAGAACCATAAAATAGGATTTTCCATGATGATGGTCATGTTCTACATCTGCACTGCCTAATATATAGCCACTAGACTCATGTGGCTGTTGAACGCTTGAAATGTGGCTAATGCAAATGAGTTATATAATTTTAAATTTAATTTCAATGAAAAGAACCACATATGGCAAGTGGCTACTGTATTGGACAGTGCAGTTCTAGTCATTGACATACAATAAATACTCCTTTTCTAAGCCCAAGTGAAAAAAATTGCTAGTTTCACATGCATTGTAGAGGAGTAGCTACTAAATACTTGTATTTCAAATGTAAAACCACAGAATTTTCTCCTCTTTTACACCAGAGTAAACTGTATCACTGATCTGAGCTGTATCACGTATTTGATTAGTATCATGTGTTTTTTCAGGTCTTTCTTTTTCTATGTCTTTTCTCCATGACAAAAATTAATAGCCCATGGTTTCTTTGTATTTCTCCTTGATTTAACACATGTTTATTTAGCATCTACTATGTGTCAGGCACTGTCTTGATGCTGGATATGCAGCAGAGAATAAGACTGATCTCAATGAAATTACTTTAACACACAATTATGTAAAAATTATTTGAGAACAATTATGGTAAGGTTTTAGTGTATTTATCTAGAAATAACTAAAAAATTGTTGATTGATTGAGAATTGTCACTGTCTACAAACTCTGTTTCTATTAGGCATTGACCTTGACTACTTTTTTTTTTTTTTTTTTTTTTGAGACGGAATCTCGCTCTGTCGCCAGCCTGGAATACAGTGGTGTGATCTCGGCTCACTGCAACCTCTGCCTCCTAGGTTCAAGTGATTCTCCTGCCTCAGCCTCCTGAGTAGCTGGGACTACAGGCGTGCCCCACCACGCCCAGCTAATTTTTGCACTTTTAGTAGAGACAGAGTTTCACCATATTGGCCAGGTGACCTTGACTACTTTAAAAGGGCTCTCAGTTTATTATTTTTGTTTTAGAGATGAGGTCCTGCTTTGTCACCCAGGCTGGAGTGCAGTGGTTTGATTATAGATCACTGCAGCCTTGAACATCGGGGCTCAAATGGTCTTCTTGTCTCAGCCTCTTGGTAGCTGGGGCTCCTCAGTTTAAATTAGGTATGTAGGAGTGGGGAAAAGATGAATGGTAGAGCAGGGGGAGAGAAAAAAGGAATAACATTTCTTCTTTAGTTCTATGTAACTCCAGTTGAATATAACCTCCTTGCAGGAGGAATTATCCTGTTCCCTTCCACAATCCTCCACTAGCCTGTGTCCCCAGCACCTGAGCTAGCGTCTAGTGAGCATTATAAAACAAAACCAAACACCACATAAAATCTTTCTGGATTTTCCTTTTAGATTGTTTCTAATTTTGTGAGGAATTTAATGATTTTTGAAATCGTTCTTCTACAGTCATTTTTGTTTTGTTGCCTTTTTTCCTTCAACCGATTAAATGCTTCAGGTGTCCAAACTGGAGTGGCTGAAAATTATTATAGAGCTGCCCCTTTCATCATCCCATTCCCTTCTTTCTTCCCCTTTTGGTCTTTGCTATGGTGTGAATGTTGGAGTCCTTCAAAAATTCCTATGTTGGAACCTAATATCCAGTGTGATAGTATTAAGAGGTGGGTCCTTTTGGGAAGCGATGAAGTAGTAAAGCCTCAGCTCTCATGAATGGGATTGGTACCCTTATAAAAGAGTTAATAGGGAATTGCCTTGCCCCTTCTGCCATGTATGGACACAGCAAGAGGTGCAATCTGTGAGGAATAGGCAGGCTCTCACCTGACATCAAATCTTTGGCACCTTGATCTTGGACTTCCCAGCCTTAAGAACTATGAAAAATAAATTTCTGTTGTTTACAAATTACCCAGTCTAAGGTATTTTGTTATAGTAGGCTGAACAGGCTGAGACAGTCTTTTTTCTTATTTTCCCCATTAATTTTGAGGTAGGAGATGAGGAAGGAAACAGATAGATGGTCAGGGTTCTGAAGTTTATAATTCCAGTTCTTTTTTCTTTAATTTCCTTTCTCTTCCCATCAAGCTATGAATCCACAGCTGACTTTTCCCTTCATTTGCATTTCTTACATTTTAAGGCTATTTCCAAATTCTCAATATTTATCTCCTTCTACTCTAAAATTTTGGCACACTTTTCTTTGAAGAGCAGGTCAACATAAAAGAAAACTAAAAGTCAATCTTGATGTCATTGGTTGCAAAGTGTATGTCCTGCTTGATTCACATCATATTCTTATCACATTCTTTTAATCAGCTTAACATTTTGGGGAAATGTCCCTATAGGAATTTTCTTCTGTACTTTTCAGCTTTGTGGTAATTATCAATGTAGACATTAAACTAGATTTACAGAAAATCTATATTTATTCCAATAAGAACACCTCTATTTTGTTTGGATAAGCCATTGCTCTCTGGTGTTAAAATATACTCAAAGTAATTACACCATTAAAAGTTAATTTTGGCTCCACTTTAGAATCAAATCTGAGATTGGATTCATGTTTTCAATAACTTCAGTCCTGAAGCTTTGCATTTTTTAGTAAGTGTGGAGATGCATTTAGGAGGTTGAGCTTCTTGTTCATAACTGGTTTTGAATTGTTCATGGGCACAATAATCATTAGGAACAATAATCATAAGCAGTTATAAGTGCCAGAATGATAACTGCTTCCTTTCCTACTGCTGTTGTAACAAAATATTATGAACTGAGTTGCTCAATGCCACACAATTTTTTTCTGTTACAATTCTGGAGTCAAAAGTCCAAAAATCAAACTGGGTAGGCTAAAGTCAGCAGGGCCATGTTCCTTTTTGAGGCTCTGGGGGAGAATTTGTTTCCTTGTCTTTTCTATCTTTTATTGGCTGCCCGTATCCCTTGACTCCTGCCCCTTTCCCTGCATCACTCTGACCTCTATTTTTGTTGTCACTTCTTATCTCTGACTTCGATCTCTTTCCTCTGTCTTTTAAGAATCCTTGTGATTACATTGGGCCGCCTGGATAATCCAGGATAATCTCTCCCTGCCAAGATGCTTAGCTAAATCACATCTGCACAGTTCCGCACAGTTCCTTTTGCCGTGTAAGGTAACATTCATAGGTTCTGGGGATGTGGGCACCTTCGGGGACCATTATTATGCCTAGCCACACCAACTCTAAGTTAAACAAGAAAATAGCACATCGAGTTCAGAGCCCCATGTGATGTCACTAAGGCTCCCTCTCTCTCATTTATGTTCTTTTGTGTTGGTCTCCTGTTCAGGCAAGATCTTCCTATAAAGTGAAAAAAAATGGTCACTAGAAAACATGACCTAAAATTCTATCAGTGTCTCATTCTCAAAAGTTTCAGGGATGACTTTGTCAGAGTTTATATTTTCATGTTCCTTCTGTAGACAATCTGCAATCTCTGATTCTTATTTGGCGGCCTTAATTGAGGAGAGGAGCAAGTTTATCCTTACTTAAGCCTCATGAACTTAACTGTGAAGAAAGGGTGGTTTGCCTAATGAAAATTGATCTGCTTTTACCAGAAGAAGAGAAAATGGGATATTGTGTAGAAAAACTAATATTCATTCAGTACATACTCCTTAGGATGCAGGAATCTATGTGTTTTCTTTGAAAGGTTTATGATTCACAGAACACTTTAAAGCCCAAGAAACTTTATTATCAGGCTCACAAAGTTGATCTAATTCCTCTAGAAAGACCCAGCATTGATTCCTCTGGGTGAAAGGCACTAATTCATTATCAATCATCATTATCAGGGTGTACACATGATTTAGGTGCTTTGCCATTCCCCTTCTAGGCAGTAATGAAAGTAGCTAAACATGGGAATTTCTCTATGCCTTGTCTATAAAGCATTGCTCAGAAGAGAAGGGTTACTTCAAAAAAGATTTCTTCTTATTCACAGTAACAAAAATGAATTCCCCTCACACCTCCCCCATATAAAAAGTGAAAAATAAAATAAAACTTTATAGATAAGGCTAAATTTCAATAGATAACCCTCTCCTACTTCATAGTGTTCCCCTTCTGATTCCACAGCCATCAGCTGGGTTTTCAGACATTGTTCTGAACATATAAAGTAGGTTATATATAGGTTACTTTGAAAGCCTTAAATGACGTGATGTTTACCCTACATTAGAAGTTATACTTTATTTGATTATAATTGATTCAATCTTCTATTAGAAGTTATAATCAATCCTATTACCTATTCTATCATGTAAGTTTCTACAATGAAGAAAAGTTTTCTTGTCTTCAATTACTTGGGAAATGAGAAAGAAAACAAAGTTTGTTTATTATATAACCATTCCAGATACTTGATCAGATTGACTTTCACTTGTATCTGGGCAAAGCTCATACTAATTCTTTTAGTTTTTCCCTCTAGGTCAACTTTTCTAATTCTTTCATTATCTTTGGTTGGGGAAATGTCAAAGATACTTTTAGACAAGTAGGTAATTTACTAAAACATTTTCATTTCTAAAATTTTAACTATATACAAACCCACATATAAGCTACACAAGATGACTCTTGTATATCTATTCTTCAGTTTCAGTACTTACCAACTCATGACTAAATTATTTTAAAACAAATCTCAGACAAAAATTTAATTATAAAGATAATTATTTATAAAAAAATACTATTGACCAAGGAGGTGGAGCAAGATGGCTGCATAGAAGCCTCCACTGATTACCCTCCTGACAAAAACACCAAATTTAACAACTATCTCCACAAAAAAGCACCTTGTTAAGAACCAACAATCAGGTTAACGATCACAATACCTGGCTTTAACGTCATATCACTGAAAGGCACTGAAGAGGGTAGGAAAGACAGTCTTGAATTGCCTGCACAACCCCTTCCTCATCTCTTGGCAGTGGCAATGTGGCACAAAGATGGGTGTCACATGGGGTGTGCTTGGCGGAGGGAGACTGCAGCAATTGTGGGACTTTGCATTGGAACTCAGGGCTGCCAATACCAGGCAGAACTCAGCCAAAACCCAGAGGAAGCATTTAGACTAGCCCTAGCCAGAGGGGAATCGCCCATTCCAACAGTCAGAACTTGAGTTTCAGCAAGCTTTGCCATTGTGGGCTAAGAGGCTCTGGGGTCCCAAATAAACCTGAAAGGTAGTCTAGGTTGCAGTTCCAGGCAAGCCTCTAATTCCTAGGCAAACTCCAATGCTGCGCTGGGCTTGGAGCCAGTGGACTTGGGGGACACCCAGCTTGTGAGTCACACGCTGGAGTGGATAAGGGAGTACTTGCATCACCCCTCCCCTCAACCCCAGGCAGCACAATTCACAGCTCCAAAAGAGACCCTTCCTTACCCTGAGGAGAGGAGAGGGAAAAGTAAAGAGGACTTTGTCTTGCAACAGGGAAACCAGTTCGGCCACAGTAGGACAGGGCATCAAGCAGGGTTGTGAGGTTCCCCATTCCAGGCCCTAGCTCCCAGATAACTTTTCTTTTCTTTTCTCTTTTCTTCTCTTTTCGTTTCTTTTATTTCTTTTCTTTCTCTTTCCTTCTTTCATTTTTCTTTCTTTTTTCCTTCCTTCCTTTCTTTCTTTTTGAATATAACATTGAGGCTTTTTTTTTTTTTTTTTGGACAGGGTCTGGCTCTCTGGCTCTGTCACTGTCCCCCAGGCTGGAGTGCAGTGGCACGATCTCGGCTCACCGCAACCTCCGCCTCCCAGGTTCAAGTGATTCTCCTGTCTCAGCTTCCCAAGTAACTGGGATTACAGGTGCCCACCACCATAGAAAATACTATTTTTTTGAACTTTTAGTAGAGATGGGGTTTCACCATGTTGGTCAGGCTGGTCTCAAACTCCTGGCCTCAAGTTATCCACCTGCTTCGGCCTCCCAAAGTGCTGGGATTACAGATGTGAGCCACTGAGCCCAGCCACCATAGAGCTTTAATTATGATTCAGCATTCAAAATTGCATTTACAGACAAATGTTCAGTTATTAATGGAAGGAATGTGTCTATAATTATGGGCCTGAGGTTCTGAAAACTTCATACCCTGCCCCATGAGCAGCAAGCAAAATGGAACAGGTGGTTTTTGTTAAAGAACAAGTTTTTAAAAAAAATTTATTTATTTATTTATTTAGAGATGGCATCTTGCTTTGTTGCCCAGGCTGGAGTGTGGTGGCATGATCTCAGCTCATTGCAACCTCCGCCTCCCAGGTTCAAGCGATCCTCCTGCCTCAGCCTCCTGAATAGCTGAGATTACAGGCATGTGCCACCATGCCCGGCTAATTTTTGTATTTTTAGTAGAGACGGGGTTTCACCATGTTGGTTGGGCTGGTCTCGAACTCCTCACCTCGTGATCCACCTGTCTCGGCCTCCCAAAGTGCTGGGATTACAGGCATGAGCCACTGTGCCTGGCCAAAAATTTATTTTTTATTTCAATAGATTTTTAGGGAGCAGGTGGCATTTGATTACATGAATAAGGTTTTTAGTGATAATTTCTGAGATTTTAGTGCACCTATCACCTGAGCAGTGTACACTGTACTGAGTGTGTAGTCCCTGATGACATTTCTAGACACACCTTGTGCTAGAAGGAAACCCGCTGCCTTAAAGGGAAGGACCCAGTTGTGGCAGAATTCATCACCTGCTGACTAAAGAGCTCTTGAGTCCTGAATAATCAGCAGCAGTAACCAGGTAGTGCATAGTGTGAGCCTTGGGTGAGACTCTGAGATGTGCTGGCTTCAGGTGTGACCCAGCATATTCACAACTGTGGTGGCTATAAGGAACAACTCCTTCTGCTTGAGAAAAGTAGAGGGAAGAATAAAGGGGACTTTGTCTTGCAGCTTAGGTACCAGCTCAGTCACAATGGGGAAGAACACCAAGTGGGCCCTTGGGGTCCCCGATTCCAGGCCTTGGCTCTTGGATGGCATTTCTAGACCTACCTTGGGCCAGAGGGCAGCCCACTGCCCTGAAGAGTGAGTCCCAGGCCTGGTAGCATTTCACACAAGCTGACTGAAGAGCCCTTGGGCCTTAAATGAACATCAGCAGTACTGTCCAAGGGCCTTGGGGGTGGTGGATATGGAGACAGACTTCCCTGGTTGGAGAAACAGGAGTGGGGAGGGAAAAGGACTTTGTCTTGTGGTTTTGGTGCCAACTTAGCTACAGCAGAATAGAGTACCAGGTAGATTTTTAAGGTTTACAACACAAGGCCCTTGATCCTGGACAGCAACTCTGGACCTGCCAGGGCCCAGGGGAACTTACCACTCTGAAGAGAAGAACACAGACTGGCTGGTTTTGCCATCTGCTGGTTGTAGAGCCCTAGGGCCTTGAGCAAACATAGGCAGTAGCCAGGTAGTGGTTACAGTGGGCCTTGGGAAGACCTAGTACCGTGCTGGCTTCAGGTCAGATCCAACATAGTCCCAGTGGTGGTGGCCCCAGGCGTGCTTGTGTCAGTGCTTCCCCAGCCTCAGGCAGCTCAGCACAGAGAGAGGGAGTCCATTAATTTGAGAGAAATAAGGGAAGAGAACAAGAGTCTCTGCTTGGTAACCCAGATAATTCTCTTTCAAAATAGTTATTTTTTTATTTGTTTGAGACAGAGTCTCACTCTGTCTCCCAGGCTGGAGTATAATGGCATGATCCCAGCTCATTGCAACCTCCATCTCCTGGGCTCAAGTTATCTTTCTGCCTCAACCTCCCAAGTAGATAGGACTTACGGGTGCACACTACCATGCCTGGCTAATTTTTGTATTGTTTTGTAGAGATGAGGTTTTACTATGTTGCTCAGGCTGGTCTTGAACTCCTGGGCTCAAGCAATCCACCTGCTCAGCCTCCCAAAGTGCTGGAATTGCAGGTGTGAGCTACTGAGCCTGGCCTCAGAGAATTCTTCTGGCTCTTATCCAATACCACCAAGGCAGTACCTCTACAAATCTGTAAGAACCACAGCATTGCAGTGCCCCCTAATGCGGATACAGCTACAGTAACTAGAAACTTAGATTACAAAAGCAAAGTCCCTTTGAATAGATGAAAAACCTTCCCGAGAAGGAAGGGTACAAATAAGCCCAGACCATGAAGACTACAATACCTAACTTTTCGATGTCTAGACACTGACAAACATCCACAGACATCAAGATTATCTAGGAAAACATGACCTCACCAAATGAACTAAGTAAGGCACCAGGAGCCAGCCCTGGAGAGATAGAGATATGTGACTTTTAAGACCAAGAATTCAAAATAACTTTTGAGGAAACTAAGAAATTCAAGATAACACAGAGAAAAAATTCAAAATCCTATTAGATAGATTTAACAAAGAAATTACAGTAATAAAAATAATCAAACAGAAATTCTGGAGTGGAAAAATGCAATTGCCTTACTGGAGGATGCATCAGAGTCTCTTAATAGCAGAATGCATCAAACAGAAGAAAGAATTCAGGCTACTTGAAAGTACACGGTTAGAGGAGACAAAAGACAAAAAAATAAAAAAACAATGAAGCACAGTTAAAAGATCTGGAAAATAGCTTCAAAATGGCAAATCTGATAATTATTGAACTTATAGAGGAAGAAGGGAGAGAGAGATAGGGGGCAGAACATTTATTTAGAGAGATAGTATCAGAGAACTTCCCAAACCAGAGAAAGATATCAATACCCCAATGCAAGAAGGTTATTGAACACCAAGCACATTTAACCCAAAGAAGACTACCTCAAGAGATTGAAAAAACTCCCAGAGGTCAAGGATAAAGACAGGATCATAAAAGCAGGAAGAGAAAAGAAACAAATAACATACAATGGAGCTCCAATACAACTAGCAGCAGATTTTTCAGTGGATCGCTTACAGACCAAGAGAGAGTGGCATGCCATAGTTAAAATGCTGAAGGAAAAAAAATTACCCTAGAATAGTATATCTGGCAAAAAATATCCTTCAAATATGGAGGAGAAATAAAGACTGTCCCAGACAAACAAAAGCTGAGGTATTTTATTAACACCAGACATGTCCTACAAGAAATGCTAAAGGGAGTACTTCAGTCTCAAAGAAAAGGATGTTAATGAGCAATAAGAAATCATCTGAAGGTACAAAACTCACTGGTAATAGTAAGTACATGGAAAAACACAGAACATTGTAACACTGTAACTGTGGTGTGTAAACCACTCTAATCTTAATTAGAAAGATGAAAAGATGAACCAATCAAAAATAATAACTGCAGCAACTTTTCAAGCCATAAACTGTACAAGGAGAAATAAATAGAAACAACAATTTAAGTTAAAAAGCAGGGAGATGAAGTTAAAGTTTTTATTAGTTTTCCTTTTTCTTTCTTTCTTTTTTTTTGAGACGGAGTCTCTCTCTATCACCCAGGCTGGAGTTAAAGTATAAAGTTTTTATTAGTTTTCCTTTCTCTTTCTTTTTTTTGAGAGGGAGTCTACCTCTACCACCCAGGCTGGAATGCAGTGGCGCATCTCAGCTCACTGCAACCTCCACCTTCTGGGTTCAAGCAATTCTCCTGCCTCAGTCTCCCGAGTAGCTGGGATTACAGGCGCCTGCCACCACAGTCGGCTAGTTTTTGTATATTTAGTAGATAGAGTTTCACCGTGTTGGCCAGGTTGGTCTTGAACTCCTGACCTCAGGTGATCCACCCACCTTGGCCTCCCAAAGTGCTGGGATTACAGGTGTGAGTCACCACACATGGCCTAGTTTTCTTTTTACATGTTTGTTTATGCAATCAGTGTTAAGTTGTCATAAATTTAAAATAATGGGTTATAAGATATTATTTGCAAACCTCATGGTAACCTCAAATCTAAAAACATATAATAGATACACAAAAAATAAAAAGCAAGAAATTAAAACATACCACCAGAGAAAATTGCTTTCACTAAAAGGAAGACAGGAAGGAAGAAAAGAAGAAAGAAAAGACCACAAAACAACCAGAAATCAAATCACAAAGTGCAGGAGTAAGTCCTTACTTATCAATGATAACATGGAATGTAAATGAACTAAACTCTTCGACCAAAAGACATGGAGTGGCTAAATGGTTTAAAAAAGAAAGACCCAATGATCTGTTGCCTACAAGAAACCATTTACATTGTCTATGTGTGTCTTTATAGAAGAAATAAAGAAGAAATAAAGGTGTGTGTCTTTATGAAATAAAGGGATGGAAGAAGATATTCCATGCAAATAGAAACCTAAAAAGATCAGGAGTAACTATACTTATATTAGACACAATAGATTTCTATACAAAATCAAAAAAATAGAGAAAAATAAGACCCTTATATAATGGGTCAATAAAGGATAAATAAAAAGGGCATACTAATTGTAAATATATATGCAGCCAGCACTAGGGCACCCAGATATATAAAGCAAATATTATTAGAGCTAAAAAGAGACAGACCCCATTACAATAATAGCTGGAGACTTTAACATTCCACTTTCATCATTGGACAAATCATCCAGACAGAAAATCAACCAAGAAACATCAGACTTAATCTGCACTATAGACCAAATGGACCTAATAGATATTTACATGCTATTTCATTCAATGGCTGCAGAATACACATTCTTCTCAGCACATGGATCATTCTCAAGGATACACCATATGTTAGGCCACAAAGTTTGAAATATTCAAAAAAATTTCTAATAATATCAAACATCTTCTCTGACCACAATGGAATAAAACTAGAAGTCAATAATGAGGAATTTTTGAAACTATAGAAAAACATGGAAATTAAGCCATATGCTTCTGATGACCAGTGGGTCAATGAGGAGATTAGGAAGGAAATTGAAGTTTCTTGAAACAAATTATAATGGGAAAACAATATACCAAAACCTTTGAGATACAGCAAAAGCAGTACTAAGAGGGAAGTTTATAGCTATAAGTTCCTATATCAAAAAAGAATAAAAACTTCAAGTAAACAATCTACTAATGCATGTCAAAGAACCAGAAAAGCAAGAGCAAACCAAACCCAAAGTTAGCAGAATAAGAGAAATAATGAAGATCAGAGCAGAAATAAATGAAATTAAAATGAAGAAAACAATATAAAAGATTAATGAAATGAAAGTTTTTTTTAAAGCCGGGCGCAGTGGCTCATGCGTGTAATCCCAGCACTTTGGGAGGCCGAGGCGGGCAGATCACAAGGTCAAGAGTTCGAGACCATCCTGGCTGACACAGTGAAACCCCATCTCTACTAAAATACAGAAAAAAAAAATTAACCAGGCGTAGGTGGTGCACGCCTGTAGTCCCAGCTACTTGGGAGGCTGAGGCAGGAGAATGGCCTAAAACCTGGGAGGCGGAGCTTGCAGTGAGCCGAGATCGTGCCACTGCACTCCAACATGGGAGCAGAGCAAGACTCCGTCTCAAAAAAAAAAAAAATGTTTTTTTAAAAGATAAAGAAAATGAACAAACCTTCAGCCAAACTAAGAAAAAAAGAAGATCCAAATAAATAAAATCAGAGATGAAAGAGGAGACATTCCAGCTGATAACACAGAAATTCAAAGGATCATTAGAGACTACTATGAGTAACTATATACCAATTAATTTTAAAACCTAGAAGAAATGGTCAACTTCCTAGACCCATACAACATACCAAGATTGAAGTACAGAAAAATATAAAACCTAAACAGGTCAATAATAAGTAATGAGATATAAGCTGTATCTGTTATCCCTTTGAATAAATGTTATACCCCTATCTGCTAATAGTTCTTACATTTGCCATTTTGAGGCTAATTCCTAGATCCTGTAAGTATATTTTATTGTTTTTTATTCTTTTGTCTACGCTGGCTTTGTATTTTCAAATAGCCTGACTTCAAGCTCACTATGTTTTTCTTCTGTTTGATTCATTCTGCTATTAAGAGACTCTGATGCAGTCTTCAGTATGTCAACTGCATTTTTTCCACTCCAGAATTTCTATTTGATTATTTTTATTATTGCAATTTATTTGTTAAGTCTCCCAGTGAAGAAAAGGTTGAGACCCAATGGTTTAACTGCTGAATTTCACCAAACATTTAAGGAAGAGCCAGTACCAATCCTACTGAAACTATTCCAAAAAATAGAAGTGGAGAGAGTAGCTTCTTCTTTTTTTTTGGAGTCAGAGTCTCGCTTTGTTGCCCAGGCTGGAGTGTGGAGTGCAGTGGTGTGATCTTGGCTCACTGCACCTCCACCTCCTGGGTTCAAGCAGTTCTTCTGCCTCAGGCTCCCAAGTAGCTGGGACTACAGGCACATGCCGCCACTCCCAGCTATTTTTTTTTTTTTTGTATTTTTAGTAGAGACAGGGTTTCATCATGTTGCCCAGGCTGATTTCAAACTCCTGAACTCAGGCAATCCACCCGCCTTGCCCGCCTTGGCCTCCCAAAGTGCTGGGATTACAGGTGTGAGCCACCGTGCCTGGCCAAGTATTTTCAAACTCATTCTCTGAGTCCAGTATTACCCTGATACCAAAACTGGATAAAAATATGTCCAAAAAGAAAACTAGGCTTGTTGTAATGGCTCATGCCTGTAATCCCAACAATTTGGTAGGGCAAGGCAGTAGGATCACTTGAGCTTAGGAATTTCAGATCAGCTTGGGAAGCATGGTGTAATTATGTCTCTACCAAAAAAACACAAAAATTAGCTAGATTTGATGGCATGTGCCTCTAGTCCCAGCTACTCTGGAGGCTGAAGTGGAAGGATCACTTGAGCCTGTGAGGTTGAGGCTGCAGTGAACCATGATTATGTCACTGCACTCCAGCCTGGGTGACAGAGTGAGACCCTCTCTCAAAATAAGAAAACCAGAGAAAAGAAAAAAAGAAAAGAAAGAAAGAGGGAGAGAAAGAAAGAGGGCAATATCGCTGATGAACATTGAGGAAAAAATCCTCAGTAAAATACTAGCAAGCCAAATTCAACAATGCATTAAAAAGATCATTTATCACCACCAAGTGGGATTTGTCCCAGTATGCATGGATGGTTCAACATATGCAAATGAACCAATGTTATATATCATACCAGCATAATGAAGGACAAAAACCATATGATCATTTCAATTGGTGCTGAAAAAGCATTTAAGAAAATTTAACATCCCTTCATGATAAAAATCTTTAAAAAATTGGGTATAGAAGGAACATATCTCAACATAATAAAAGTCATATATAACAGACCCACAGCTAGTATGATACTGAATGGGGAAAAATGGAAGCCTTTCCTCTAAGATCTAGAACACAACAAGAATGCCCATTTTCATCGCTGTTATTTGATATTGTATGGGAAGTCCTAGCTACAGAAATCAAACAAGAGAAAGAAATAAAGGGCATCCAAATTGGAAAGGCAGAAATCAAATTATCCTTGTTTGCAGATTATATGATCTTATATTTACAAAAATCTAAAGACTCCACAAAAGAACTGTTGGAACTAGGCTGGGCACGGTGGCTCACGCCTGTAATCCCAGCACTTTGGGAGGCCGAGGTGGGTGGATCATGAGGTCAGGAGATCGAGACCATCCTGGCTAACATGGTGAAACCCCGTCTCTACTAAAAATGCAAAAAATTAGCCAGGCGTAGTGGCGGGTGCCTGTAGTCCCAGCTACTTGGGAGGCTGAGGCAGGAGAATGGTGTGAACCAGGGAGGTGGAAGTTGCAGTGAGCTGAGATCATGCCACTGACTGCACTCCAGCCTGGGTGACAGAGCGAGACTTCGTCTCAAAAAAAAAAAAAAGAGCTATTGGAATTGATAAACAAATTTAGTAAAGTCACAGCATACAAAATCAACACACAAAAGTCAGTAGCATTTCTATATGCCAACAGCAAACAATCTGAAAAAGAAATCAAGAAAGTAACCGCATTTACAATAGCTACATATAAAATTAAATATTTAGGAATTAACCAAAGAAGTGACAGATCTCTACAATAAAAACTATAAAACACTGATCAAAAAAATTGAAGAGGACACCAAAAAAATGGAAAGAGATTCCATGTTTATGAATTGGAAGAATCAATATTGTTAAAATATTCATACTACCCAGAGCAATCTATAGATTCAATGCAATCTCTATCAAATTACCAATGACATTCTTCACAGAAATAGAAAAAACTCCTAAAATTTATATTGAACCACAAAAGACCCCAAATAGCCAAAGCTATCCTAAGCAAAAAGAACAAAACTGGAGGAATCACATTACTTGACTTCAAATTATACTATAGAGCTATAGTAACCAAAGCAGCATGGTACTGGCATAAAAACAGACACATAGACCAATGAAACAGAATGGAGAACCCAGAAACAAATTTATATGTCTACAATAAACTGATTTTCAGCAAAGATGTCAAGACACACATTGGAGAAAAGACAGTCTTCAATAAACCATGCTGGGAAAAACACACACATGCATGTTTGCATTGCTATTGCATGCATGCATTATTCACGTGCAGAAGAATGAAACTAGACCCCCCCATCTCTTGTCATATACAAAAATAAAATCAAAATGGATTAAAAACTTAAATCTAAGACCTCAAATTATGAAACTACTGAAAGAAAACTTTGGGGAAAATCTCCAGAACATTGGTCTAGGCAAAGATTACTTGAGTAATACCCTATAAGTGCAGGCAGCCAAAGCAAAAGTGGACAAATGCGATCACATCAAGATAAAAAGCTGCACAGCAAATGAAACAATCAACTAAGTGAAAAGACAACCCACAGAATGGGAGAAAATATTTGCAAAGTACCCATCTAACAAAGTATATATGTATATATATATATATATATATATATATATATTTTTTTTTTTTTTTTTTTTTTTTTTTTTTGAGATGGAATTTTGCTCTTGTTGCCCAGGCTGGGGTGCAATGGTGTGATCTTGACTCACAGCACCCTCCAACTCCTAGGTTCAAGTGATTTTCCTGCCTCAGCCTCCCGAGTAGCTGGGATTACAGGCATGCACCACTATGCCTGGCTAATTTTGTATTTTTAGTAGAGACGGGGTTTCTCCATGTTGGTCAGGCTGGTCTTGAACTCCTGATCTCAGGTGATCTGCCTGCCTCAGCCTCCCAAAGTGCTAGGATTATAGGTGTGAGCCACTGCTCCCGGCCCTAACAAAAGCATTAATAACCAGAATATATAAGAAGCTCAAACAACTGTACAGGAAAAAAAATCTAATAATTTGATTTAAAAATGGGCAACAGATTTGAATAGACATTTCTCAAAAGAAAACACAGAAATGGCGAACCGTTATGTGAAAAGCTGATCATTGTCATTGATCAGTAGAGAAATACAAATTGAAACTACAATGAGATATAATTTCATCCCAGTTGGGTGGGGGGAGGGGGGAGGGATAGCTTTAGGAGATATACCTAATGCTAAATGACGAGTTAATGGGTGCAGCACACCAGCATGGCACATGTATACACATGTAACTAACCGGCACATTGTGCACATGTACCCTAAAACTTAAAGTATAATAATAAAAATAATAACAATAATAATTTCATCCCAGTTAAAATGGCTTTTATTGAAGGGAAGCATGTTTTGATCTGGATAGGAGTATTAAAAGATGTTAAATTGGGACTTTATTTTGGGTATTTGTTTTGTAAGACATCACAAAGGTGAAGAATAATATAACAGACATCAAGTGTCCTCTGATGAAATCATTTATTTTCTCCCTTCCTCCACTGCATTTTTGGGGATGGTGGTAGTACTGGAGGATTTTCAGAAGAAACAAGCTAACCCTATTGCCATTTGTCATATGTCACAAAAGTGAGGTGGGCCGGGGAGTGTACTGATTAACCCTATAACTTAGAAACATGGATTCTTGTGGAGGACAAACACTAATATGTCTTGGTGAATAACACAGCAGATAAAATAGAGCGCAATCTGGTCATAAATCCCTTGACTAGTGCCATCAATTGCTATGAGAAATTCCCTGAGAAATTTCCGGACAATTCTGTTTCCTGGATTCTGGGGGGTTTCTACCACTGAAGAACTCTGCCTGCTAGTGAGATGGCACATTGGTCAGGGTTCTTGTTGAAAGTAACAGAAGCCAGCTCTAACAGATACAAGTGCAAAAGGAATTTATAGAAATACATCAGAAAAAGAAAAGTAGTTATACTGGGTAGTTCACAGAGAAACTGGGAAGCCAGGAGAACCAGGCTGGGGCTGTGCAGGTGGAAAATGTGCCCTCGATTATGCCACTGAACTAGTCCAGAGATATGCCTGGGACATCCATGGGAGCTTGAGGCTTGCAGTATGTGCTGGTGACACTGCTGCTTGTGGACTCTGGTGTCACGGCTAGTGGTGCCATCAGAAGTAGGTGTTTTCTTTATTGCTTTTCTCAAATTTGGATGAGGTGAATCTGTAGCTCCACAGGATGGTGTAACGCCATTGAACATCTCACTGAATATCTTTTTGAAGTGTCCATTTTACTTGAATGTTTCATGCAAAAAATTTATGTTAAAATTAATATGCATACTAAAAATGGCTTTTATTCAAAAGCCAGACAATAACAAATGCTGGCAGGGATATAGAGAAAAGGGAACTCTTGTACATCTTTTGTGGAAATGTAAATTAGTACAACCACTATGGAGAACAGTTTAGAGGTTCCTCAAATACCTAAAAGTTGAGCTACCATATGATCCTGCCATTCCACTGCTAGGTATATACCCAAAAGAAAGGAAAACAGTATATCAAAGAGATACCTGTATTCCTGTGTTTATTGCAGCACTATTCACAATAGCTAAGATTCGGAAGCAATCTGTGTTCATCAACAGACAAATGGATAAAGAAAATTTGGTACTTATACACAATGTAGTACTTTTCAGCCATAAAAAAGAATGAGATTCTGTCATTTGCAATCACATGGTAGGAACTGGAGTTCATTATGTAAGTGAAATAAGACTGGCACAGAAAGACAAACTTCACATTTTCTCACTTATTTGTGTGAACTAAACAGTTAAAGCAATATGACTCATGGAGATAGAGAGTAGAAGGATGGTTACCAGAGGCTGAGAAGGGTAGTGGGAGGGTGTGTGTAGGGGGAAGTGGGGATGATTAATTGGTACAAAAAAATAGAATGAGTTAGACAGTATTTGCTGCACAACAGAGTGACTATAGTCAATAATAATTTAATTATACATTTATAAATAATTAAAAGAGGCTATTTGGGCTGACACTAAGAATAAATGCCTGAGGGGCTGGATACCCCATTTACCCTGATGTGGTTATTACACATTGTATTTCTGTATCAAAATATCTCATAGAGCCCATACATATATACACCTACTTTGTACTCACAAAAATTAAAAATTAAAATTAAAAATATAAAAAGTTATTCTTCTCACAAAACACTATTATCACTGTATTAGTCTGTTTTCACGTTGCTGGTGAAGACATACCTGAGACTGGGCAATTTACAAAAGAAAGAGATTTAGTGGACTCACAGTTCCACGTGATTGGGGAGGCCTCACAGTCATTTTGGAAGGCGAAAGGCACATCTCACATGGCAGCAGACGAGAGAAGAGAGCTTGTGCAGGGAGACTTCCGTTTTTAAAACCATCAGATCTCGTGAGACCCACTCACCGTCACAAGAACAGCTTGTGAAAGACCTGACTCTGAGGCAGAGTTCTTCGGTGGATTCAACCACCTCCCACCAGGTCCCTCCCACAACACGTGGGAATTCAAGATGAGATTTGGGTGGGGACACAGCCAAACCACATCAATTACTAATAAAAATAACTCCTTAAAGAAATAATTTATCTAGTAAATATTTAAAATCTCTTTCTTATCTCCTTCTTTTTAAAATTTTTTTTTGAACAAATAAGGTTGCCCTCCCTTGGTTGATCTAACTCTTACATGTCTTTTAATTAGTAGATTCCACTCTTCTTCATCTTTCTTTTTCCCCTCCCTTTATTTATTTATTTATTTCCTTGCAAATTGTTTGTGGAAGCAACTTGTTGTTTGTCCTGCAGAGATTCTGAGAGATTATATTTTGCTGCTTGTATCAACTATTTGACTTATTCTTTTATCTACATATTTTCTCTGCATTGATTATTAGAGCTATGTTCAGCTTATTATTTTTCTTTTGGTAAGAGAAAATTGTGGTGTTACCAGAAACCTTCTGGGGACTTACCAATATAGTGAAAAAAATTAATGTAATTTAGTTTGCCACAAGCAGAAATATTGAGGAAAAATATTTAGAAATATGAATACAATCATTCTACTTGCAATGTAAATACATTTATCTCAAAGTGGACACAGCCTGCACAAGTTGATCTTGGAAATGTTCCTTGCCTGTAATTATTTCCTGTTTATTCTAAAGCCCTGTTCTTGATATATTCCTCTTCTAAAAAAACCTATGTAAAAATCAGTCATACAAAAGAACACATATATGACATAATAAACATTAAGAGTAACAAAACATCCACCCCTATGCTTATCTTGTGCTTATATTCTTTTTTTTTTGAGAGAAGCATTGCATTTTTATTTATTTATTTATTTTTTATTTTAATTTATTATTATACTTTAAGTTTTAGGGTACATGTGCACAATGTGCAGGTTTGTTACATATGTATACATGTGCCATGTTGGTGTACTGTACCCATTAACTCGTCATTTAGCATTAGGTATATCTCCTAATGCTATCCCTCCCCCCTCCCCCCACCCCACAACAGTCCCCGGTGTGTGATGTTCCCCTTCCTGTGTCCATGTGTTCTCGTTGTTCAATTCCCACCTATGAGTGAGAACATGTGGTGTTTGGTTTTTTGTCCTTGCGATAGCTTGCTGAGAATGATGATTTCCAGTTTCATCCATGTCCCTACAAAGGACATGAACTCATCATTTTTTATGGCTGCATAGTATTCCATGGTGTGTATGTGCAACATTTTCTTAATCCAGTCTATCATTGTTGGACATTTGGGTTGGTTCCAAGTCTTTGCTATTGTGAATAGTGCCGCAATAAACATACGTGTGCATGTGTCTTTATAGCAGCATGATTTATAGTCCTTTGGGTATATACCCAGTAATGGGATGGCTGGGTCAAATGGTATTTCTAGTTCTAGATCCCCGAGGAATCGCCACACTGACTTCCACAATGGTTGAACTAGTTTACAGTCCCACCAACAGTGTAAAAGTGTTCCTATTTCTCCACATCCTCTCCAGCACCTGTTGTTTCCTGACTTTTTAATGATCGCCATTCTAACTGCTGTGAGATGGTATCTCATTGTGGTGTTGATTTGCATTTCTCTGACGGCCAGTGATGATGAGCATTTTTTCATGTGTTTTTTGGCTGCATAAATGTCTTCTTTTGAGAAGTGTCTGTTCATATCCTTCACCCACTTTTTGATGGGGTTGTTTGTTTTTTTTTTGTAAATTTGTTTGAGTTCATTGTAGATTCTGGATATTAGCCCTTTGTCAGATGAGTAGGTTGCGAAAATTTTCTCCCATTTTGTAGGTTGCCTGTTCACTGTGATGGTAGTTTCTTTTGCTGTGCAGAAGCTCTTTAGTTTAATTAGATCCCATTAGTCAATTTTGGCTTTTGTTGCCATTGCTTTTGGTGTTTTAGACATGAAGTCCTTGCACATGCCTATGTCCTGAATGGTATTGCCTAGGTTTTCTTCTAGGGTTTTTATGGTTTTGACTTTAACATTTAAGTCTTTAATCCATCTTGAATTAATTTTTGTATAAGGTGTAAGGAAGGGATCCACTTTCAGCTTTCTACATATGGCTAGCCAGTTTTCCCAGCACCATTTATTAAATAGGGAATCCTTTCCCCATTGCTTGTTTTTCTCAGGTGTGTCAAAGATCAGATAGTTGTAGATATGCGGCATTATTTCTGAGGGCTCTGTTCTGTTCCGTTGGTCTATATCTCTGTTTTGATACCAGTACCATGCTGTTTTGGTTACTGTAGCCTTGTAGTATAGTTTGAAGTCAGGTAGCATGATGCCTCCAGCTTTGTTCTTTTGACTTAGGATTGACTTGGTGATGTGGGCTCTTTTTTGGTTCCATATGAACTTTAAAGTAGTTTTTTCCAATTCTGTGAAGAAAGTCATTGGTAGCTTGATGGGGATGGCATTGAATCTGTAAATTACCTTGGGCAGTATGGCCATTTTCATGATATTGATTCTTCCAACCCATGAGCATGGAATGTTCTTCCATTTGTTTGTATCCTCTTTTATTTCATTGAGCAGTGGTTTGTAGTTCTTCTTGAAGAGGTCCTTCACGTCCCTTGTAAGTTGGATTGCTAGGTATTTTATTCTCTTTGAAGCAATTGTGAATGGGAGTTCACTCATGATTTGGCTCTCTGTTTGTCTGTTATTGGTGTATAAGAATGTTTGTGATTTTTGTACATTGATTTTATATCCTGAGACTTTGCTGAAGTTGCTTATCAGCTTAAGGAGATTTCGGGCTGAGACAATGGGGTTTTCTAGATATACCACCATGTCATCTGCAAACAGGGACAATTTGACTTCCTCTTTTCCTAATTGAATACCCTTTATTTCCTTCTCCTGCCTAATTGCCCTGGCCAGAACTTCCAACACTATGTTGAATAGGAGTGGTGAGAGAGGGCATCCCTGTCTTGTGCCAGTTTTCAAAGGGAATGCTTCCAGTTTTTGCCCATTCAGTATGATATTGGCTGTGGGTTTGTCATAGATAGCTCTAATTATTTTGAGATACGTCCCATCAATACCTAATTTATTGAGAGTTTTTAGCATGAAGCATTGTTGAATTTTGTCAAAGGCCTTTTCTGCATCTATTGAGATAATCATGTGGTTTTTGTCTTTGGTTCTGTTTATATGCTGGATTACATTTATTGATTTGCGTATGTTGAACCAGCCTTGCATCCCAGGGATGAAGCCTACTTGATCATGGTGGATAAGCTTTTTGATGTGCTGCTGGATTCAGTTTGCCAGTATTTTATTGAGGAATTTTGCATCAATGTTCATCAAGGTTATTGGTCTAAAATTCTCTTTTTTGGTTGTGTCTCTGCCTGGCTTTGGTATCAGGATGATGCTGGCCTCATAAAATGAGTTAGGGAGGATTCCCTCTTTTTCTATTGATTGGAATAGTTTCAGAAGGAATGGTACCAGT
Source organism: Homo sapiens (assembly GCF_000001405.40). Lineage (NCBI taxonomy): Eukaryota > Metazoa > Chordata > Mammalia > Primates > Hominidae > Homo > Homo sapiens. The sequence goes on from NC_000003.12 coordinate 109,458,503, forward strand.
TCCTCCTTGTACCTCTGGTAGAATTCGGCTGTGAATCCATCTGGTCCTGGACTCTTTTTGGTTGGTAAGCTATTGATTATTGCCACAATTTCAGATCCTGTTATTGGTCTATTCAGAGATTCAACTTCTTCCTGGTTTAGTCTTGGGAGGGTGTATGTGTCGAGGAATTTATCCATTTCTCCTAGATTTTCTAGTTTATTTGCATACAGGTGTTTGTAGTATTCTCTGATGGTAGTTTGTATTTCTGTGGGATTGGTGGTGATATCCCCTTTATCTTTTTTTATTGCGTCTAGTTGATTCTTCTTTCTTTTCTTCTTTATTAGTCTTGGTAGCGGTCTATCAATTTTGTTGATCTTTTCAAAAAACCAGCTCCTGTATTCATTAATTTTTTGAAGGGTTTTTTGTGTCTCTATTTCCTTCAGTTCTGCTCTGATTTTAGTTATTTCTTGCCTTCTGCTAGCTTTTGAATGTGTTTGCTCTTGCTTTTCTAGTTCTTTTAATTGTGATGTTAGGGCGTCAATTTTGGATCTTTCCTGCTTTCTCCTGTGGGCATTTAGTGCTATAAATTTCCCTCTATACACTGATTTGAATGTGTCCCAGAGATCCTGGTATGTTGTGTCTTTGTTCTCGTTGGTTTCAAAGAACATCTTTATTTCTGCCTTCATTTCGTTATGTACCCAGTAGTCATTCAGGAGCAGGTTGTTCAGTTTCCATGTAGTTGAGCGGTTTTGAGTGAGTTTCTTAATCCTGACTTCTAGTTTGATTGCACTGTGGTCTGAGAGACAGTTTGTTATAATTTCTATGCTTTTACATTTGCTGAGGAGAGCTTTACTTCCAACTATGTGGTCAGTTTTGGAGTGGGTGTGGTGTGGTGCTGAAAAAAATGTATATTCTGTTGATTTGGGGTGGAGAGTTCTGTAGATGTCTATTAGGTCTGCTTGGTGCAGAGCTGAGTTCGATTCCTGGGTATCCTTGTTAACTTTCTGTCTCGTTGATCTGTCTAATGTTGACAGTGAATAAAAGTCTCCTATTATTATTGTGTGGGAGTCTAAGTCTCTTTCTAGGTCACTCAGGACTTGCTTTATGACTCTGGGTACTTCTTTATTGGGTGCATATATATTTAGGATAGTTAGCTGTTCTTGTTGAATTGATCCCTTTACCATTAGGTAATGGCCTTCTTTGTCTCTTTTGATCTTCGTTCATTTAAAGTCTGTTTTATCAGAGACTAGGATTGCAACCCCTGCGTTTTTTTGTTTTCCATTTGCTTGGTAGATATGCTTATATTCTTAAATAAGAATAATAAAACATCCACCCCTATGCCAGTATCTTTGATGTTCCTTGGCGTCCTTCCCTAATTCCATCCTTTTTATTCTCTTCCAGGTGTTTATAATTCCCTTGGTTTTCTTCACAATTTCACCACATAAATGTGAGTTTTAAAATAATATATTTAAAATTTTTCTTGTTTACCAAAACTTTATTTAAATGATATAATGTATGTTTCAATTATATATGATATTTCTGTGACTTGCTTTTTTTGCTCAGTAGTATGCCTTTTTGATTTGCCTAGGTTAGGGTTTCTCAACCTCCACACTACTGAAATTTTGGACTGGACGATTCTTTGTTGTGACAGTCTGTCCTGTGCATCATAGGATGTTAGGTGCATAACTAGTCTCTAGCCATTAGATGCCAGTGACTTGACCCTAGCCGTGGCAATCACAAGTGTGTCCAGACATTGCCAAATGTCACCTGGGTGTTTGAGTTTGTGTTGGGGTGGCAGATTCCCTCGGTTGAAAAGTATTGGTCTATGTTGCTGTGTATGGATGAATTTCATTCAATTTCACTGATACAGATCATTTTATTAATATTACCTGAATATGCACCTGTTGATTTATCCATTCTTCTGTTGATGAAATTTGCATTTTCCCATGGTTTAGCTATTACAAACCATGCTATTGTGAATGTATCTATGCATAGCCCCTGGTATGTGTGTACTATAATTCTTCTAGGGGTGCATATCTAAGGATTAAAATATTGGCTTATGAAGTTTACCCATCTTCAACTTCAAAGATTAGGCAAAAACATTTTACAACTTTCTCTTTTTTTAAATTTACAGACAAGACAGACAGACAGACACATACACACACATGCACACATTTCCTAATCTCTTGTTTTGTAAATATTATAACACAGGACAATAGTATGCATGCACCCAATAGAAACAAACATGATGGTAAAGTCAAAGTTTCTTTTCTAAGATGCTAGAAGATGATCAGTTCAGTTTAGCATTTCTGGAACTCAAAATCTCACATCTATCTCCCCATAAATTGTGGTGTGGGAAATAATACCAAGGATGGAGCAAAAAAGAATTGTGAAGCTCTAAAATTTTCCTTCGTTTATTCAGTATGTAATTGCTGCTCCTCTACTATGTGCTTGGCACTGTCAGAGTCATCATGGTGAATAAAACACCATTCCTTCCTCAAGAAACTCGTATTAGTCAGCTAGAAATATATTAACAATTAAATTTAAAATAACAAGATATGAACAAAGAAAAAGGACCAGAAGAGTACAAATGAAGTGCCAAATTCAGTTAAAAGGGTAAAGAATAACTTCACCTAAGAGTGGCATTCATTCATTCATTAACTCAACACATATTTATTGTGTTCTTACTGTGCTCCTGGCACCGTTTTGGGACTGTTAATATCCTGCTGTGTCAACAAAGCAGTCACACTCTCATGGAGCTGACATTCTAGTTAGGGGGAGACAGACAGTAAGCAAACACAAATCACCCTGAGGTAGAACTCAGCTAGGCGTATGTGGGGAATAGGGAGATTAATAGGAGAGCTGGGCTTTGAAGGGTCACTAGGAGTTTTTGTGGTGGTTGTAGGGAATACGGGCAGCAGGAATATCATGTAGAAGCACAGAATATCCAAGAGTAGGGAATAGGGGGTTGTTCTGGCTTCTTAGGTATGTGGAAAAGGCAAAGGATAGGAAGGATTTTCTGGGAGAAGAGATGGGATTGAAAGAGGAGATGGGGTATAGAATGCTTATTATTAAGAAAAAAAAAAACTTCAAACATGCCACAAAAGTAGAGGAAATACTATACTGAACCCCTGTATCTCAATTGCCTAGATTTTATAATTATCAAGAATTTGCCCTCTTCCTTCTTCTATCCTCCTTTCTTCTTCTCCTCCTCCTCTTTTTTGCTAAAATATTTAAAGCAAATCTCAGACATTATGTAATTTCCCTAACATAACTCAGAATATATTTCTAGAGTTACATGAATTTTTGAAAATATAACCATAACATCATTATCACATTTGCCAAATTTAATGAAATTTCCTTGCAACATTCAATAGCCAACCCATATTGAAATTTAGCACATTGTCTGAACCAATTTTTAAACTGATTGATGTATTCAAATGATTATCTAAATGAGTTCTACTGTTTGTATTTGGCTATTAAGTCTTTAATCTTTATTTTATTTATTTATGTTTTTTGAGACAGGGTCTCACTCTGTTGCCCAGGCTGAAGTGCAGTGGCATGATCATGGCTTCACAGCTCACTACAGCCTTGACCACCTGGGCTCAAGAAATCCTCCCACCTCAGCCTCCTGAGTGGCTGGGAATACAGGTGCATGCCACCGCCATGCCTGGCTAATTTTTGTGTGTTTTTGTAGAGACAGGATTTTGCTATTTTACCCAGCCTGGTCTTGAACTCTTGGGCTCAAGTGATCTGCCCACCTTGACCTCCCAAAGTGTTGGGATTACAGGCTTGAGCCACTGTGCCTGGCCTAAATCTTTAATCTTTAAAAAATTTCTTTTGACATGGAACTCATTAGTTAGAACTAAAGATTTGAGTAGATTTAGGTCCATCATTTTTGGTTTGGCTCTGTGTCCCCACCCAAATGTCATGTTGAATTGTAATCCCCACATGTTAGGGGAGGGGCCTGGTGGGAGGTGATTGGATCATGGGGGCGGATTTCCCCCTTGCTGGTCTTGTGATAGTGAGTGAATTTTCACAAGATCTAATCATTTAAACATGTGTAGTACCTCCCCCTTCTCTTTCTCTCTCCTGCTGCCATATAAGACATGCCTTGCTTCCCCTTCACCTTCTACCACAATTGTAAGTTTCCTGAAGCCTCAGCCATGCAGAACTGTGAATCAATTAAACCTCTTTTCTTTATAAATTACCCAGTCTCAGGCAGTTCTTTATAGCAGTGTGAAAACAGACTATTCATAAGTGACACTTCATAAATGGTCTTGGATGACACTTCACAAGTGGTCTTGGATGCTGCCTGTGTTTCATGTCATGAAGCATATATTTTTGGTAGCCCTAATTTAATGATGCAAAGATTAATCATTGAAATTCACATGGTGACACTGTTTCTCTCATATATAAGTTCACTGTGGAACTTTCATTTATTTTTTTCACCAGCTGTTTTTTTAAGCTATAAACATTTTGTAGAGAAGTTTCATTCTTTAGTTATATCCCTTTGGTTATCCAAAATAAACTTCACAAAAAAGGTTAGATAATTTCTCAATTCTTTCCCTAAAGTTCTACCTTAGAAAGAGTGTTTGGGGTCTCAGTTACTGCCAGTGGTGACCAGTGTTCTGCCTTTCTCTCTCATACACATTAAAAACTCATGTG